>NC_000009.12:131044913-131358730 GCF_000001405.40 Homo sapiens
GAAAAAGTGGAGAAATCCTATTAAAGTCGCTGGGCGCGGTGGCTCAAGCCTGAAATCCCAGTACTTTGGGAGGCTGAGGCGGGCGGATCCCCTGAGGTCAGGAGTTCGAGGTCAACCTGCCAACATGGTGAAATCCCGTTTCTACTAAAAATACAAAAATTAGCCGGGTGTGGTGGCAGGCGCCTGCAATCCCAGCTACCCGGGAGGCTGAGGCAGGAGAATCACTTGAACCCGGGAGGCGGAGGCTGCAGTGAGCCAAGATTGCACCATTGCACTCCAGCCTGGGCCACAGAACAAGACTCTGTCTCAAAAAAAAAAAAAAACAACAACAACAAAAAAACAAAACCTAATAAAGTCTGGAGTTTAGTTAACTTAGTTTTGACAAATGTACTGTGGTAATGTCAGATGTCAGCATCAGGGGAGGCTGTCTGAAGCAGGTATGGGAACAATCTGTAATGTTCTTACTACTCTTCTAGAATTCTGAAAAAAAATTGTTTTTAAGTTTCTGCAGTGATTCTAGACTCTCATTGGTCCAGCTGGGATACCCTGGCCCCGCCCCTTCCTGGCTGATTCACGTGGCCCTCGTGGGCATGTCCTGCCTCCATTTCAGATGTCGCCCGGGGACCTTTAACCTGCAGCCCCACAATCCAGCTGGCTGCAGCAGCTGTTTCTGCTATGGCCACTCCAAGGTGTGCGCGTCCACTGCCCAGTTCCAGGTGCATCACATCCTCAGCGATTTCCACCAGGGTAAGAGATGCTCCCTGCAAACGCCTCCCAAGGGTCTGCTCCCAGCCTAGGCAGGTGATCCTGCCCTGGGGAGATCTTGCATTAGTGGATCTCCCATTGTGGAGAGGAGCCACAGGCCTGCACAGCCTAGGTGGGGTCGGGGGTGAGATGATGGCTCCCCAGTGCCCACCTGCGACCCCCAGCTCCCTCCCCAGTCCCTGACTCTTCTCTTTATACCCGTGGTGGGGTTGGGGGCCGGGTACGTGACGCTTTTTGGATCCTGTAGGGGAATTTCCCACTCACCCCGTTGAGACTGGCCTCCCTTGGTGTGTCTAAACACTGGGGATTCAGGCTCAGTCTCCTGGCCTCCACTTATTGAGCACCTGCTGTTTGCCAGGCACTGTGCTGAGCACCTAACATGCAAGGATTCTCATTCCCCTTTCAATGATGAAGTAACTGAGACCTACAAAAGGTAGGCCACTTGCCTGAGGCCACATAACAGTTGTGAGCACTGCATTTGTCAGCTCCTGAGTTTTGCTCCTTTTTTTTTTTTTTTTTTTTTTTTTTTTTGGACACAGGGTCTTGCTGAGTCACCAAGGCTGAAGTGCAGTGGTGCAAGATTGCACAGCACAGCTCACTGCAGCCACCACCTCCCTGGGCTCACGTGATCCTCCCACCTCAGCCTCCTGAGTAGCTAGGACCACAGGTGTGCACCACCGTGCCCGGCTAATTTTTATATTTTTTTCTAAAGACAGGGTTTTGCCATGTCTTTAGACCCAGGCTGGTCTCAATCTCCTGGGCTCAAGTAGTCTGCCCACCTCCGCCTCCCAAAATGCTGGGACTACAGGCGTGCACCACCATGCCGAGCTAATTTTTGTATTTTTTTTTTTTTTTTTTTTTTTTTTGTACAGACGGGGTCTTACCATGTTGCCCAGGCTGGTCTAGAACTCCTGAGCTCAGGCAATCCCGCCCACCTCGGCTTCCCAAAGTGCTGGGATTATGAGTGTCCGCGCCCAGCTGTTTTGCCCTTAACCGCTGTGGTGGCCTATACCGTGGTCCCTGACTCCAGGTGGCACAGCCGCATATTTAAAGAGGAAAGCAGCAGAGCTCGGAGCTCTGCATTAAACCAGAGGCTGCGTGGGCCCCAGCGATGTCCCACGGAGCGCCCCGCACCTTCCGCCTGTCCCCAGGAAGGAGCGAGGCATCAGCTGAAACAGAAGAACCTCAGGGCCGACGCTGGGGCGGCCCCAGACATGAGGGCCGCGCGCCCTCTGCTGGAAGCCGCGCAGAAAGCAGGACCGAGAGATGCGCGGACCGGCGCCGCGTGTCTGGGTCCTGGGTCCGGGGGTCTAGGGTGTCAGCGTTGGGCAGGACTCATTTTCTAGACCCTAAGAACAGTGTCATGATCTGTTCTCACATTGGGCCAGGCACTGGGTGTGGCCGGCCCTTCAGGGGTGTCATCTCATTTTGTCTCACAGTTGCCCTTGCGCAGGAGTTCTCAAAACTTTTTGGTCTCTGAATTCCTCTTTTTTTTTTTTTTTTTAAGACGGAGTCTCACTGTGTTGCCCAGGCTGGAGTGCAATGGCGTGATCTCAGCTCTCTGCAACCTCCGCCTCCCAGGTTCAAGTGATTTTCCTGCCTCAGCCTCCTGTGTAGCTGGGACTGCAGGCACCCACCACCACGCCCAGCTTATTTTTGTATTTTTAGTACAGGTCGGGGGTTTCACCATGTTGGTCAGGCTGGTCTTGAACTCCTGACCTCAACTGATCCACCCTCCTCAGCCTCCCAGAGTGCTGGGATTACAGGTGTGAGCCACCGCACCCGGCCTCTGGATCCCTTTATGCTCTTGAAAATTATTGAGAACCCCAAAGTGCTTTTGTTTATGTGGGTGGTTTGTATGGATATTTGCTGTCTTAGAAATGGAAACTGTGGCTGGGCGCAGTGGCTCACGCCTGTAATCCCAGCACTCTGGGAGGCCGGGGTGGGGGTGGGGGGAGCGGATCACCTGAGGTCAAGAGTTCGAGACCAGCCTGGCCAACATGACGAAACCCCGTCTCTGCTAAAAATACAAAAATTAGCCAGGCGTGGTGGCCAGCTCCTGTAATCCCAGCTACTCGGGAGGCTGAGGCAGGAGAATCGCTTGAACCTGGGAGGCAGAGGTTGCAGTGAGCCGAGATCGCGCCACTGCACTCCAGCCTGAGTGACAGGGTGAGACTCTGTCTCAAAAAAAAAGAAAACAAGTAGTTTTTAAATTTTTATTATTTTTATTTATTTTTATTTTATTTTTTTAGCAGAGACGGGGTTTGCCATGTTGACCAGGATGGTCTTGATCTCTTGACCTCATGATCCATCTGCCTCGGCCTCCCAGAGCGCTAGGATTATAGGTGTGAGCCACCACACCCAGCTGATTTTTTTTTTTTTTTTTTTTTTTTTTTGAGTCAGAGTCTTGCTCTGTCACCCAGGCTGGAGTGCAGTGGCACAATCTCAGCTCGCTGCAACCTCCGCCTCTCGGGTTCAGGCGATTCTCCTGCCTCAGCCTCCTGAGTAGCTCAGATTATAGGCAGCTGCTACCATGCCTGGCTAATTTCTGTATTTTTAGCAGAGATGGGGTTTCGCCATGTTGGCCAGGCTGGTCTCGAACTTCTGACCTCAGATGATCCACCCACCTCGGCCTCTCAGAGTGCTGGGATTACAGGCATGAGCCACTGTGCCTGGCCTTCTAGTTCCTTCTAAATGCCTGTCTGCAAACTTCTCTTCATGTTGACATCTTCCTTTCTCTGACCTCTTTCCCCACTCCGTTCCTTCCTTCTTACCCCTTGGCTGCCCCAGGTATTTGGCCTCTGCCTCATTGCCCGCTACCCCCTGGAGAGGCACCTCCTTAAGGTCACTCGCTGTGTGCTGGGCTGTGCTCCGTGTTAACTGCTGTGGCCAGAGGGAGGAGGCACTGAACTGGCACTGGGGACCAGAAGGCCTGGGCTCCCGTCGTGGCTGGGCCCCTTCCTAACCAGGTGGCCTCCTTGCCTGAGGTGCTGTTAATGACATGGGCCACTGGAAGGACAGGGTTCATGAGGTCACAGGTGAGAAAGTTCTCTGAGAACCTGAAGATGAGGTCAAGTCTGGTACTATTAGAGATGGCCCTGATGTCCCAGGGCCCCCATGTGGGGGTCTTCAGGCTGTCTTCATGCTGAGCTCAAAACCCCACTGAAAGGGCAGGGCAGGCTTCCAGGTCTGACCATGCCCCCAAGCAGATCCGGGTCCCTGAGCTTTCTAGCTTCTCCTGGGGCTCCCTCCTACCCCAGGGCCCCCACCTGGGGCTGGCACCTGGAGACCACCCTCCGGGGCCTCACACTGATCGGGGGGTGTCTGTGTTTGCTGTCTAGGAGCCGAAGGCTGGTGGGCCAGAAGTGTGGGGGGCTCTGAGCACCCCCCACAATGGAGCCCAAATGGGGTCCTCCTGAGCCCAGAAGACGAGGAGGAGCTCACAGCACCAGGTACCTCCAGCACCAGGTGGGGGCTGGCCGCCCTGTGTCGGTTCCTCCTGCTGCTAAACAACTTGCCGCATATTAGAGGCTGAAAACAATGCCAGTTTATTCTCTTAGAGTTCTGGAGAAGTCAGAAATAGGTCTCTCGGAGCTAACATCAAGGTGTCAGCAGGGCTGAGTTCCTTCTGGAGGCCCATGGGAAAGTCCCTTCCTTGCCTTTCCCAGCCTCTAGAAGCCGCCTGCATTCCTGGGCTCATGGCCTCTTCCTCCATCTTCAAAGCAGCTGAGTTTTTCTCACGCCCCATCACTGGCACCAACTCCCCTGCCTCCCTCTTGTGTATTTGCCATTAATCTCTAATGATTGATGGGGCCCAGCTGGATAACCCAAGAGGCTCTTCCTACCTCAGGTCAGCTGATTAACAACCTTAATGTCCCCTGCCACAGAACACACCATATTTATGGATTCCAGGGATTAGAATGTGGATGCCTTGGGAAGGCTGTTATTCTGCCATCAGACCACCGTATCTGATGAAACCCCCGTTTTTCTGGTCATAGCTTTGTCATGGAGGGCTTCTTCAGTGCCACAGGGCCATAGCCACTGTCATGGCCCAGAGAATCTGTGTTTCCCATCAGCCCCTCACCCGCCAGGCCACTGCACCCTAAGCCCAGGGCCATGGCATTCTTGCAAAAGGAAGGAGGTTCTTGATCATTCTGACCTCTCCACCCCACAGTGAGGGGAACTGTGGTCTCCTGGCGACTGTCTCAGCCCCAGAACCCAGAGCCTAGAGCCCATCTTTAGCCCCACTGTGGCTGATTCAGGACCTGCCAGCACCCCCGACCAGCTCTGCCCTTTCCCTCCCTCCCTCTGCCAGAGAGGCCGGGGAGATGATGTCACAGGTGGCTGAGGAGCCGTGTGCCCTGCAGCCAGGAAGTCAAAGGCGTCGGGCCCCTCGTGGGGCAGGCGCTCCAAGCTCAGAGGCCCATGAGCAAAAAACTCACTCTGTTCCATGGCCACTCTGCTGGCATATGTAAGAAAAGGGGCTTATTCCTGAAAGAAGCGCTTGCTGGGTGTTGGGCACACTGCAGGGGTGAGATGGATGGACGGCCTGTCCTCATGGTGCTCTCAGGCCGGCCCGCTCCCGGGGCACCCTGAGCAGCTGGAGGTGAGGGCATGGCAGGGGAGCCAGGCTTCTGCCTGTTGCTTACGGTGGGGACACAGAAACAAACGTCTGGGCTGGCTGGTGACAGCATCAGAGGGAATGAACACATCGACCCTCTGGCCAGCATGTCCACCTTCTGTATTCTGCCTACGAGCACTCAGTGGGGCAAAGAGCAGGAGCTGAGGGAAGATAAGTATTTAGGCCGAGCGCAATGGCTCACACCTGTAATCCCAGCACTTTGGGAGGCTGAGGTTGGGGGGGATCTTCTGAGGTCAGGAGTTCAAGACCAGCCTGACCAATATGGTGAAACCTCGTCTCTACTAAAAGTACAAAAAAGTTAGCCAGACGTGGTGGTGCATGTCTGTCATCCCAGCTACTCAGGAGGCTGAGACAGGAGAATTGCTTGAACCTGGGAGATGGAGGTTGCAGTGAGCCAGGATTGCACCACTACACTCCAGCCTGGGCGACAGAGTGAGACTCCATCTCCAAAAAAAGGAAAAAAAAAAAAAGAGTATTTAATGGTGCAAGCTTGGGGCAGTCCCAGGAGGGGCTGGGTAGCCTGTTGGTGGACTGTGATGCGGCCGGTTGTGGAACAGTGTGTGAAACCATCTCACGTGTAGAACGTGAGTAGCAAAGGATGGGAGGGGAGCATTGCGCTCGTGCTGGTGATTGATTCTGGAGGCCGAATCGGAGTGCAGCCGGGGCATGTGGCCACCAGCTCCCGGGGCTCCCCGCTTCAGGCCGCTTCTGCACAGGTAAGAAATTCCCCCAGCCAGGAAACGCTCTGGGGCAGAGGGACACAGGGACTTTCAGTGTTTCGGGAGCTGTCCACCAAAGCTGTGGCGGGGCGCGCTACAGAATTTGAGGGATGCACTGCAGAATTAAAATCCCACCCCCCCAGTTCCCAAATAGGGGGAAGTACTATTAAAGGTACTAAAATATAAACACTTTTTTTCCCCTGCAGTTTTGCCCTTTATTTGTCATGGTGTTTTTTGGTTTGCTATTTGATGCCATTCTAGGTAAAGGAAAATTTTAAGTTATTAGCATGAAACATATAAAGTTATTAGCATGAATTTTACCATTCTTTTTTTTTTTTTTTTTGAGACGGAGTCTTGCTCTGTTGCCAAGGCTGGAGTGCATTGGCGTGGTCTTGGCTCACTGCAACCTCTGCCTTCTGGGTTCAAGCAATTCCCTGCCTCAGCCTCCTGAGTAGCTGGGATTACAGGCACCCACCACCATGCCCGGCTAATTTTTTGTATTTTTACTAGAGATGGGGTTTCACCATCTTGGCCAGGCTGGTCTTGAACTCCTGACCTTGTGATCCACTCGCCTCAGCCTCCAAAAGTGCTGGGATTACAGGCGTGAGCCACAATGCCAGGCTGCGTATTTTGTTCTTACGAGGACAGTGGAAATACTGCACACAACAAGCCCAGCCACTTTTATTTCACTCCTTGACACACGCATGTTCCACCAACATGGCACACCTCTGTGGCTTTCTCACGGGTAAGGGAAAGACCACTGGGAAAGGAGGAGGGAGGGTACTGGGAAAGGAGGAGGGAGGGTGGCCTGTGTCCTTTCCTCCTGGGTCACGAACTTCTGAAGAAATGATGGGCTGATGCAGTGAAATGACATGAGTCAGAAGGTACCGCACAGCGCTTGGTGGTTCGTGTCTCAGAAAACTAGTGCCTTCTTTCCGAGTTCAGGGCAAGTTCTGATTGGAAGGGAAAGCATGGCCCGGGGCCCAGAGCACCTCTGCTCACTCAGCCAGCTCACTTACCTTGCTGTCACCTGGAGGTCCCGCTAAACTCCTGCTGCTGGGTGTTCCCTAGGAATTTCGTGCTCATGGGCATCGTGAATGCTACACATGAGCAGACGGCAGCCTCTCTGGTCACACGTGTGTGTATCCCCTCCGTTCACCCTCGGACTCCGTGTTCCATCGGACGTCACTTCTAAAACCCAAGTTCAAAGATAAAATTATTAAGAATGTGAAGATGGTCACAGCAGAGCATGAAGCCAAGTGTGGGGGCGTGTGTGACTGCAGAGGTGTGGGTGGGCCCCCTGCAGGGTCTGCTGTGCAGGAAGCTTTTGATTTTCTACCCACTGCACTTTTATCTTTTTTGAATGTTTAGTTGCCGATAAAATCAACATAGACATTTAAAATCAAGCTAACCATATGAAGACTGTCAAAGCCTTCTTCTCTTGTCTTCAGAGAAGTTCCTGGGAGACCAGCGGTTCAGCTATGGGCAGCCCCTCATACTGACCTTCCGGGTGCCCCCCGGGGACTCCCCACTCCCTGTACAGCTGAGGCTGGAAGGGACAGGCTTGGCCCTGTCCCTGAGGCACTCTAGCCTGTCTGGCCCCCAGGATGCCGGGCATCCCAGGGAGGTAGAGCTCAGGTTCCAGTAAGTATCCCCTTCTGTCCTGAGAGATGGGGAGGTGAGAGGGGTGGTCTCTGAGGTCCGGGCACATTTCAGATGCCCCTGTAGTCTGGGGGGCTACCCCCCATCCCCAGGCATGGTACCCCCCCACCCTATGTCGGGATCTCACTTTGACCGCTTCTCTCGCCAGCCTGCAGGAGACCTCCGAGGACGTGGCCCCTCCACTGCCCCCCTTCCACTTCCAGCGGCTCCTCGCCAACCTGACCAGCCTCCGCCTCCGCGTCAGTCCCGGCCCCAGCCCTGCCGGTCAGTAAAGACAACCACATGCCCAAGACCCGAGTGCTTGCCAGGTCTCAGAACTGGGCTGGGCTCCGGCGGTCACAGTCTTGTCAGGGCCTTGCGGCCGGGTGGTTATTGTCCTGTTTTGCCAAGAAGGAACCTTAGTCAAAAGTCAGGACAGTTGCCAGAGGCCATATAACCTGTGAAGGCAATGGGGATGGTGGCTGAGGTCAGATGCAGGGAATGGACAGGAGAGAGGCCTGAAGGATGGGCCTCAGAGGCAGGTGTGCGGCCAGCAAGCCACCCAGACCCGCTGGGTGTGCTCACTCCACCTTCACTGGATCCACCAAGCCCCCTGTCCCCGCTGGACACAGCCCACAGCCGGCAGTCCAGGAGTCCCCTGGCAGAGTGACTCCCCTGCTGGTCACTGGCGGTATTGTACCTAAGCCACCCTAGGAGGGTCTGGTCTTCCCAAAGAGGGGGCCAAGCCATCACACATCATTGATGGGGGTCTGTCACCACCTCCCACCCTGGTCACAGTGATTGACAGCCTTAGCCTCTGATCTGTTCCTCATTAGAACCTCTACCCACACGCTATTTTAAAAATCAATATAGGTCGGGCGCAGAAGCTCACGCCTGTAATCCCAGCACTTTGGGAGGCCAAGGCGAGTGGATCATGAAGTCGGGAGTTTGAGACCAGCCTGGCCAAGATGGTGAAACCCCACCTCTACTAAAAATACAAAAATTAGCTGGGCGTGGTGGCACACACCTGTAATCCCAGCTACTTGGGAGGCTGAGGCAGGAGAATCGCTTGAACCCAGGAGGCGGAGGTTGTAGTGAGCCAAGATTGCGCCACTGCACTCCAGACTGGGCGACAGAGCCAGACTCCATCTCAAAACAACAACAGCAACAATAACAAAAAACAGTCTGGTGGGGTGGTCTGCACCTGTAATTCCAGCTACTCAGGAGACTAAGACTGGAGGATCGCTTGAGCCCAGGAGGTTGAGACTGTAGTGACTGTGCCACTGCACTCCAGCCTGGGTGACAAAGCGAGACCTTGTCTCTAAAAAAAAAAAAACAAAACAAAAAACAAAACCCCTAGTGTATGTGTGTAAAATGAAGCTGAGCTCTAGGCTCAGATGTTTACAAAGGGGTTTTTCTACCCTTCCAGCACCACGCAGGACATTTGAAAGTCATGTGGGGAGTTTCTGGGAATGTCAATTTCTGGGAACTTTAGGCCTCTTCATCCACATGACAACCAACATGTCCTCAGATTTGCTTCCAGGGGAGGGAGATTTTGCTCTTTTTGAGGACCTCTGGCTCAGAGGGTCAGTCTTCCCCTGGGCCTCTTTTGAGTCCAAGGGTGCTGGGATGCCCTGGAGAAGCAGAGGACATAGCGACCCTCCCCAGCACCCGCAATCCCCAAACTTCCTCTTTCCATGGGTAATGTTTTGGGAGGCCTCTCTCTAAACCTTTCTGTGTGTACGTACTTAACATCTGTATTTTTTTAAAAACATAGAAATGTGATTACACAGCCGGGCGTGGTGGCTCACGCCTGTAATCCCAGCTCTTTGGGAGGCTGAGGCGGGCGGATCACTTGAGCTCAGGAGTTTGAGACCAGCCTGGGCAATATGGTGAAACCCCATCTCTACTAAAAATACAAAAATTAGCCGGGTATGGTGGCATGTGCCTGTAATCCCAGCTACTCGGGAGGGAGAATTGCTTGAACCTGGGAGGCGGAGGTTGCAGTTAGCCAAGATCATGCCACTGCACTCCAGCCTGGGTAGCAGAGCCAGACCTTGTCTCAAAGAAAGAAAGAAAAAGAAAGAGAGAGGGGAAGGGAGGGGGAGAAAGAGAGAGAGAGAGTGAGAGAGAGAGAAAGAAAGAAGAAGGGAGGGAGGGAGCAAGGGAGGGAAAAGAAAAGAAAGAAAGGTAATCACACAGTACGATATTCTGGGACTTGCTTTTTGTCAGCTAACAGTGCGTCGTGGAGGTTGTTCCTTGTCATTACGCGTAGAAAGCCTGGTTTTCTGTGTCTGGTGTGTAAGATTCTGTGGTATGGGTGCTCTGTGAGGTTTTAGCCATCCCCCTATTGACAGGCGCTTAAGTGGCCTCCAGTTTTCCCCATTACAACCGTGTCACAGGGAATAGGGACCAGCCTCATAGAAAGGTCTTGGTATTCCAGTATAAGTGTCGCTTTAGGACAGAGTGCTGGAAATGGAGATGTTAGGTCAAAGAGGGAGCATTTTCCATTTTGATCCACACTGCCAAATTTTCCTTCAGAAAGGCTGCTCTGATGAGGAGTGTCGGCCGCCTCCAGTCTCCCTGTTCTGTGTCTACAGATGGTCATTTTCATATTTTGCCCAGAGTTTATAGTTGTTTTCTGTGGGAAGGTTGATCTGCCAGGATCCCCTGCTCCTCTGTTACTGGAAGCAAAACCTTCTGATTAGTATTCGTACATCCACACTCTTTTTTCTTTTCTTTCTTTTTTTTTTTTTTTTTTTGAGACGGAGTCTTGCTCTGTCACCCAGGCTGGAGTGCAGTGGCATGATCTCTGCTCACTGCAAGCTCCGCCTCCCGGGTTCATGTCATCCTCCTGCCTCAGCCTCCCGAGTAGCTAGGACTACAGGCGCCCGCCACCACGCCCGGCTAATTTTTTGTATTTTTTAGTAGAGACGGGGTTTCACCGTGTTAGCCAGGATGGTCTCGATTTCCTGACCTTATGATTCGCCCGCCTCAGCCTCCCAAAGTCCTGGGATTACAGGCTCGAGCCACCGCGCCCGGCCCATTTTTTTTTCCAAATATCAGATTTCTTTATTTTTAAAATGTACACATTATAGTTGATCTAAATACAAGATGTTCACTTTCCTTGCAGGTAAGAAATGTCACTGACATTTCTGTGTCAATTAGCTTCTTTTACATCAAAATCCTGTTACATTCATTAGTCTCAAAATCTCCTATAACACTTAGAACTTTAGGCTGGGCGTGGTGGCTCAAGCCTGTAATTCCAGCACTTTGGGAGGCTGAGACAGGAGTCCTTGAGGCCAGGAGTTCAAAACCAGCCTGGACAACAAGGCGAAACCGTTTTTCTACAAAAAATTTAAAAAATTAGCTGGGTGTGGTGCCACACACCTTTGGTCTCAGCTACTTGAGCGGCTGAGGCAGGAGGATCATTTGAGGCCAGGAGTTCAAGGCTGCAGTGAGCTATGGTTGTACCACTGCACTCCAGCCTGAGTGACAGAGCAAGATTCTGTCTCTCTTAAAAACAACCAAAACAACAAGAAAAATCTTAAAACCTTAGAAATAGACCTTAAACTTTGCCTAAATGTAGCATTCAGTTATGAGTAGCCCAGGTGAGTTTCCTACACGCCATCCTCCACTAAAATTCATCTATAAAATGTTACCAGTCTGAGAGATGTGAATGGTATCATCGTTGTTTAAATCTATATATCGTTAATAACCTGTGGATGGATATCTTTCCATAAAATTCTCAGCCATATCTATTTCTTCTTGAAAATTGCCTAATCATCTCCCTTACCCTTGAATTGACAATTTGAAAAATAAAAATAAAAATCAACCAGCGCAGTGGCTCACACATGCAATCCCAGCACTTTGGGAGGCCAAGGCAGGAGGATTACTTGAGGCCAGGAGTTCAAGACCAGCCTGGGCAACATGGAGAAACCCCATCTCTACAAAAATTTTAAAAATTAGCTGGGCTTGGTGTCTTGCCTGTAGTCGCAGCTACTTGGGAGGGTGACATGGTGGGATCACTGGAGACTAGGAGTCGAGGCTACAGAGCTATGATTGCACCACTGCACTCTAGCCTGAGTGACAGAATGAGAATCTGTCTCAAAAAAAGAAAAATCATTGATTGCTAGTCTGCCTTTATATACGTGGGCCTGGTCCATATGTGAACAGGAAGGTTTTGGGGGGAAGCATGTGCAGGGAGCTTGTGCCTCCTCTCTTCCTCTCTCCCTTCTCGCTCTGCAGGTCCAGTGTTCCTGACTGAGGTCCGGCTCACATCCGCCCGGCCAGGGCTTTCCCCGCCAGCCTCCTGGGTGGAGATTTGTTCATGTCCCACTGGCTACACGGGCCAGTTCTGTGAATCCTGTGCTCCGGGATACAAGAGGGAGATGCCACAGGGGGGTCCCTATGCCAGCTGTGTCCCCTGCACCTGTAACCAGCATGGCACCTGTGACCCCAACACAGGTGAGTCTCCTGGCACCCCATCCGAAGGCACCTGGGTTATACCCAAAACAGCGGGATGAGTACTGACCTGAACAGGGCCAGCCTGGCACAGGCATTGAGGTGTTGGCCAAGCTGTGGGGCAGTGCGGGCACTGAGCTTTCCCGTGCTGCTCAGTGCCTGGGCACCTCATAGTTTAATAAAAGTTACTACTGGAATTTGTTGAAGCCTCAGGCTCTGTGCCAAGGACTTTGTATGTATCAGGTGATAACCATAAGCCAGCTGCTCTGTGGGCCATCTGTCCGCGCCACCTTCTCCCTGGGCTGGCCCTTTTCCCAGGAAGGACCAGGGAAAGACCTCAGGGGTCTTTACATGCAGAGGGTGCTGTGAGGAAGGGCAGAGGCACCAGCATGGCAGGTGACAGCAGGAGGGTTCTCAAGAAGGTCACACAGGTGACAGCAGCTCATAGGCACCAACCCAGAACCACAGACCTGCCACCCTCACCCCTTAGTGGCCATGGGAAAGTCACTTCCCTCCCTGAGCCTGCTTCCTCTTCTGTAAGGTGGAGATAATGACAGTATATACACTGCTTCTGTTTCTACACAAAGCCATATGGTGGTCAGGAGACGCTCAGGCTCTGAAAACACAGGCCTGGGTTGCATAGGAGCTCAGCCATAGCTAACTGGGAATGCCTTAGGGAAGCGCAGATAATGAAAGTCTCTACTTTTCAGGACACTTGGGAAATAATAAAATAGTGTCACCAGGTTCCTGCATGTGCTAGTCACCTTCTCTACACTATATCATTGACTCCTGCAGACATCCCTGCGGGGCCGGGACCCTTCCTGTCCCATCTCACAGGTGAAGGCCCCACGCTGCAGTGCAGATGCATGGCCAGCAGGTGGCAGAGCCGTGCCTCCCTCCAGCCTGGACTCCTGAGGCCTGGTTGCTGCTGGCTACTCATTCTCACTTCTTTTTATTTTATTTTATGTTTTATTTTTTATTTTTTGTGGGGGGTGACAGAGTCTCGCTCTGTTGCCTATGCTGGAGTGCAGTGGTGCAGTCTTGGCTCACTGCAGCCTCCTGCTGGGTTCAAGAGATCCTCCCACCTCAGCCTCCTGTGTAGCTGGGATTACAGACGCCTGTCACCATCCTCGGCTAATTTTTATATTTTCAGTAGAGATGGCGTTTTACCATGTTGAGGCTGGTCTCAAACCTCTAACTTCAAGTGATCCTCCTGCTTCAGCCTCCCGAAGTGCTGGGATTACAGGCGTGAGCCACCACGCCTGGCCAACTGATCCCCACTTTTATAGGAGCAGACCTGGCCTTGCTCAAGGTCACATGGCCAGGAGGCACCTGAGAAGGCTGGACTCAGACCTCTTCCACTCCCACACTGACGGCTTCATGCCTAGACACCTGCTGCCTCCCCAGAGCAGGTGGGGGCTGTCTGAGAAGAAGGCTGCTGGGCATTTTTCTTCCTGAAAAGACGGTAGCCAGGCGTGGTGGCTCACACCTGTAATCCCAGCACTTTGGGAGGCTGAGGTGGGCGGATCACCTGAGGTCAGGAGTTTGAGACCAGCCTGGCCAACATGGTGAAACCCCATCTCTACTAAAACTACAAAAATTAGCTGGGTGTGGTGGCAGGCACCTGTAATCCCAGCTGCTTGGGAGGCTGAGGCAGGAGAATCGCTTGAACCCAGGAGGCAGAGGTTGCAGAGAGCCGAAATCATGCCATTGCACTCCAGCCTGGGTGACAAGAGCAAGACTCCAGAGGAAAAAAGAAAAAAAAAAAGAAGAGGCCAGACTTGGGCTCATGCCTGTAATCCCAGCACTTTGGGAGGCCAAGGCAGGTGGATCACCTGAGGTTGGGGGTTCAAGACCAGCGTGGCCAACATGGTGAAACCCTGTCTCTACTAAAAATACAAAAATTAGCCAGGTGTGGTTAGGTGCCTGTAATCCCAGCTACCTGGGAGGCTGAGGCATGAGAATTGCTTCAACCTGGGAGATGGAGGTTGTAGTGAGCCGGGATCGCGCCGCTGCACTCTGGCCTGGGCGACAGAGTAAGACTCCATCTCAAAAAAATAAAAAAAGGCCGGGCACGGTGGCTCACGCCTGTAATCCCAGCACTTTGGGAGGCCGAGGTGGGCAGATCATGCAGTCAGGAGATCGAGACCATCCTGGCTAACACGGTGAAACCCCATCTCTACTAAAAATACAAAAAATTAGCCAGGCGTGGTGGCGGGTGCCTGTAATCCCATCTACTAGGGAGGCTGAGGCAGGTGAATTGTTTGAACCCAGGGGGCGGAGGTTGCAGTGAGCCGAGATCGCGCCACTGCACTCCAGCCTGGGCGACAGAGCGGACTCCGTCTCAAAAAAAAAAAAAAAAAAAAAAAAAAAAAGACGTCAGCTGACCTAGCCGGGGAGGGCAAGCACAACCACACGCCACACGCCACATACAGGGCACTCTGTCTTCTTGTGTCCATGGCAAGCATTGATAATCGAGCCCAGACAAGGCCACATAATCCCTCCCTGCTGCAGTGCTTCCTGCAGCCCCTGTGGAGGAAGCAGGGTCCTCCCATGACTGGGATCAGTTTGTCATCCCCACAGAGCCTCTGGCCCTGCCACAACTTCCTGCTCAGCTTGGGCAAGTCCTCATCTGTGAAACGGGCAGTATAGCCCCGCTGCCTAGGCTGAGAGGAGGAATGAGCCTATGGGTGCTGGGCCTAGGCTGGGACAGTTCCCCCTGGATGCCAGCCCTGCTATGCATGAGCGACCTGGTTCTCACTCTTCCTCCCAGGTCACCTGTGCCTTGGCTGCTGGGGTGCTGCCTGGGGACCTCCTGGAAGTGGTGGTCTTGGTTAACCCCTTCTCAGCCAGGCTTCTCACTCAGTCCCTGGCAGCGGGTCTCCCTTCCCAAGCACCCCAGGCTCTGAGCAGATGCCAGGTGCAGTCGGCCTGGGGAAGAAGAGTTTGCAGAATCCACCGTCATCAGGAGCCAGAGGGCAGGAACAGGGGTTCCCTCCCCTGAGACTAGGTATCCCTTGTGTATCCCAAACCCCATAAAGGGGAGCCTCTTTGCAAAGTCATGTGAAGGCCAGAATTCTGGGTCTGTGTCTCCCTTAGGAAACGTTGCTCTTCCTTTTGGTCCCTTGGCATCAAGAAAACAACAGTGTAGCGAATGGTAGCCATGTCACCTTTTGGTTCAGAGAGAGGTTTCGGAATACAAAATAATAACAGTGCTGGCCGGGCACGGTGGCTCACACCTGTAATCCCAGAACTTTGGAAGGCTGAGGCGGGCAAATCGCTTGAGGTCAGGAGTTTGAGACCAGCCTGGCCAACATGGTGAAACCCCATTTCTACTAAAAATACAAAAATTAGACAGGTGTGGTGACGCACGCCTGTAACCCCAGCTACTTGGGAGGCTGAGGCAGTAATATCACTTGAACCTGGGAAGTGGAGGTTGCAGTGAGCCAAATTGCACCACTGCACTCCAGCCTGGGTGACAGAGTGAGACTCTGTCTCAACTAATAATAATAATAATAATAATAATAACAGCAGCGATGAGTATGTGTGCCAGAGAGTGTGCAAGGTACTTTGAATGCATGGTCTTGTTGGACCCTGACGAGAACCCTTTGAAGTCAGTGCTGTGGTTGTTCCCATTTTGCAGATGGGGAGACTGAGGTGTGGGGGCATCAGACAACTTGCCCAGCTTTGCACAGGCAGTAAGTGGTGGACATGAACCAGGTGGTCCAGCTCCAGGCCTGGACCCTCAATCCCCAGGCCTTGCTGCCTCTGCCTGGGAAAGGTCCCCACCCCACTTCTGCCCGGGATGTGCTCCCTAACCTCTCCCACCGGGATGCCCACCATCTCTGGGCATTCTGGGTTCAGACAGTGGTGCTTGTCTTGCCCCTCAGGGATCTGTGTCTGCAGCCACCATACCGAGGGCCCATCCTGTGAACGCTGTTTGCCAGGTTTCTATGGCAACCCTTTCGCGGGCCAAGCCGACGACTGCCAGCCCTGTCCCTGCCCTGGCCAGTCGGCCTGTACGACCATCCCAGAGAGCCGGGAGGTGGTGTGTACCCACTGCCCCCCGGGCCAGAGAGGTAAGTGACTCCTGCCCCGGAGCCCTGCCCCGCAGAGGGCCAAGCCCCGGCACTGTGACTATGCCCTGGGCTCCAGGGTTAGGGCCCTGGGTTTAGGGTGTGGCAGGTGAGGGAGAGCCCAGCTTACGGGCAGCAGGCATGACCTCTGAGGACACGGAATCCCTCAGCCCCATAGCCAGAGCCCCAGGCTGCCGCACATTGCCAGCAGAATTTGGGCCATTGAGAATTTGGGCTATTTGAAAATACCCGTATCTGGTCCCTGGCCCCTTAGAGCCTGGGTTAGTGATAGCTGAACAAGTTCCCTGGGTGATTCTGTTACACAGCTAAGGTGGAAAACCTCGATTAAACTTCTAGCCTTTAAAAAATGTCATCAGGTAGGTAATGTGCAAAGCAGAACCACCTACGCCCACCCTTGTTCCCAGGCTCCTTGTATTCTTTCCTGCTCTGGACTCAGACATCCTCGACTCTGATTTTTTTTAAAAAGCAGCTTTATTGAGATACTATTCATATACCTGACAGTTCACCCATTTAACGCATACAATTCGGCTGGGTGTGGTGGCTCATGCCTGTAATCTCAGCACTTTGGGAAGCCAAGGTGGGCACATCACTTCCGTCCAGGAGTTCAAGACCAGCCTGGGCAACATAGTGAGACTCCCATCTCTAAAAAAAACACAAAAATTAGCTGGGTGTGGTGGCATGCACCTGTGGTCCCAGATACTCTGGAGGCTGAGGTGGGAGGATGGTTTGAGCCCGGGAGGCGGAGGCTGCAGTGTGCCGAGATTTCACCACTGCACTCCAGCCTGGGTGACAGAGCCAGACCCTATATCCAAAAAAAATTTTTTTTTAAATAAAGTACAGGCCGGGCATGGTGACTCATGCCTGTAATCCCAGCACTTTGGGAGGCTGAAGCGGGTGGATCACAAGGTCAGGAGTTTGAGACCATCCTGGCTAACACGGTGAAACCCGTCTCTACTAAAAATACGAAAAATTAGCCAGGCGTGGTGGCGGGCGCCTGTAGTCCCAGTTACTCGGGAGGCTGAGGCAGGAGAATCGCATGAACCCAGGAGGCGGAGGTTGCAGTGAGCCAAGATCGCGCCACTGCACTCCAGCCGGGGCAACAAGAGTGAAACTCTGTCTCAAAAAATAAAATAAAGTATAATTCAATGACTTTTGACATGTTACAATAGTAATTTTTATTATGGTAAAATATATATAACGTAAAATTTGCCATTTTAACCATTTCTAAGTGCATAACTCAGTGTCAGGAAGTACAATTTGCAATGCTGTGCAGCTGTCACTCATCCATCTCTAGAACTTTATCATCATCCCAGACAGAAACCGTACCCATCAAATGTGTTGTTGAGGCCAGGCGCAGTGGCTCATGCCTGTAATCTCAGCACTTTGCGAGGCTGAGGCGGGCGGATCACCTGCGGTCCGGAGTCTGAGACTAGCCTGGCCAACGTGGCAAAACCTCGTCTCTACTAAAAATACAAAAATTAGCCAGGAGCGGTGGCAGGCACCTGTAATCCCAGCTACTCGGGAGGCTGAGATAGGAGAATTGCTTGAACCCAGGAGGCGGAGTTTGCAGTGAGCCAAGAGCGTGCCACTGCACTCCAGCCTGGGTGACAGAGCAAGACTCCATCTCAAAAAAATTAAAAAAAAAAAAAAAGGATTGTTGAATAGCCCTTCCTCCCTCCAGCCCCTGATAACAGCTGTTCTCCTCTCTGTCTCTATGAATTTGACTGCTCCCAGTATTCCATTTAAACGGAACCATACAGTATTTGTTCTTTTGGATCTGGCTTGTTTCATGCAGTGTAATGTTTTTAAGATTCCTAGACATCTGATTTTGCTTTTGGTACGTGTGGCTGCATTAAATCAATTTGTCAAATGCCATGTGCTTTCACTGGGACTGTTCTGAAAGCAGCTCTCTGGCAGCCAACAGCCAACAGGGCAGGGCAGATGGCTCCAGAGCCGGGAGCTCAAGAACCGAGGGATGGAGATTGCACTGCGGGACCCTGCACCCCACTGGCCGCCATGCTGTCCCTCCATTCTCGTTATCTCCCTTACATTTTCTAGCTCCCGACTGTGGCTCCCCTGGCCTGCAGACATGCACGAGGCCCACCCAGTGAGAGTGGACAGTTAGAGAAGCTCAGGTGGACCCAGGCTGAGACATACTTGAGGGAGGATTTCAGGGGAGCAGGCAGTGCTGTGTGCAGAGGGAACCACCCTTGGGAGGGAGGGACACCTGGAGTGGACTTTAGACCTGGGACCTTCTGCCAGTGCCCTTCTTATCCACACCAGTGTCCTCTGGGCCCCGGGAGGGCCTAGCACACTGAGAGCTCACCTGGACATCTGAGTCAGGGTTGACCGGGGTCAAGTCCTGATGCTCACTTGTCCTGGGAAGACTCCTGCCTGCCATCCTGGCCCCTTGCAGCCCCTCCCAGGACTTCCAGAGCTGCCTCCTGCCCTATGAGCTGTCCTCACCTGGTTCCAGGTGAATGGCCACTTAACCATGGGGCTCACTCATCATCATCAGTTTCAATCTCCCCCTTTCCTGTCTAATTTTATTTCTATTTTAGAATCCACAAGGCAGGTGCTAGCCTCGACCTTGAATTCTGTTCCAGTTTGTCTTTTCCTTTCCGTTCCGTTCCGCCTTTTCCTTTTCAGGGTTGCCCTTAGCACTATTAACTTTTTTTTCTCTGGAAACAGAGTCTCACTCTGTCCCCCAGGCTGGAGTGCGGTGGCATGATCTCAGCTCACTGCAACCTCCACCTCCCAGGTTCAAGCGATTCTCCTGCCTCAGCCTCCCGAGTAGCTAGGATTACAGGCATGCACCACCATGCCCGGCTAATGTTTGTATTTTTAGTAGAGATGGGATTTTGCCATGTTGACCAGGCTGGTTTCAAACTCCTGGCCTCAAGTGATCCACTCACCTCAGCCTCCCAAAGTGCTGTGATTATAGGCATGAACCACCACGCCCAGCCAGTACCATTAACTTCATTTCAACAGACCGATGACTTTTGAGGACACAAGGAGCTCACAACTATTCTTCACAATGGCAGCAGCTATTTTTTAATTATAAAATTAGTACATACTCTTGACTGACTTAGTAACTTCATAAAAAATAAAAATAAATGAAAATAGAAATAAATGTACATGGCCGGGCACAGTGGCTCACGCCTGTAATCCCAGCACTTTGGGAGGCTGAGGCGGGCAGATCACAAGGTCAGGAGATCGAGACCATCCTGGCTAACACGGTGAAACCCCATCTCTAGTAAAAATACAAAAAATTAGCCGGGCGAGGTGGCGGGCGCCTGTAGTCCCAGCTACGCGGGAGGCTGAGGCAGGAGAATGGCGTGAACCCCGGGGGGCGGAGCCTGCAGTGAGCCGAGATCGCGCCACTGCACTCCAGCCTGGGTGAAAGAGCGAGACTCCGTCTCCAAAAAAAAAAAAAAAAGAAATGTACATACTCATTGTAATGTTGGAGCAGTGTAAAAATGTCAAGAGGAACATGAAAAAAACATGTGAGCAGCCGGGCGTGGTGGCTTACACCTGTAATCCCAGCACTTTGGGAGGCTGAGCCAAGGCAGGCGGATCACCTGAGGTCAGGAGTTCCAGACCAGCATGGCCAACATGACAAGAACCCGTCTCTAGTGAAAATACAAAAATTAGCTGGGTGTGGTGGTGCACGCCTGTAATCCCAGATACTCGCGAGGCTGAAACAGGAGAATCACTTGAACCCAGTAGGTGGGGCTTGCGGTGAGCCGAGATGGTGCCATTGCACTCCAGCCTGGGCAACAGAACAAGACTCCATCTAAAAAAAAAAAAAAAAAAAAGAAAAGGAAAGAAAAAATCATGTAAGCAAGGCAGCATTCTTGTCACCTCCAGGGGACCATGGCTATTATTTGGGCCTGACACTGGTTTCATGTAGATATAGGCAGAGAGATGGGCATGTTTACAAAGAGTGGCTGACACCATGTGAAGCACTTGGAACAAGTATGTTCTTTTATGCTCCGTCTATGTCCAGAGTAGACCTCTAGAACCACCCTCCAAAAGCCCCCTCGCACAGCATGTCTTCTGCAGCTCACAGGTAACCTGGAGGCTGGAAGATGAGCCAGAAAGCCCAGGTCAAACCCAGAAAGCAGGACAGGAGTCTGCAATGCACAGTCTAGAGGAAGTTCAGAAAACATGAGAAACAGAAAAGGTAAAGGGGCCAGGGATTGCAAAGGAAAATGCACCCAGCTAAGAGGGGGATGAGGAAAAGGACGAGGAGAAGCAGATGAATGACATTGGATGGTGACAATGAAGAGGGTGAGGAAGAAGAGAGTGATCAAGACAATAGTGATGAAGAAAATGAAGATAATGATCAAAATGATGACAATGAGGTGATGATAAAGATAAGGTGACGATGACAGTTGTGCCAGTGCAGCGGGAATGTGGACCTCAATGCTGTAGGCAACTGTGACCCGTGTCTGGCCACTGCCTGCACTGGCTACACACCACCACACGTGATCACGGGTGATGATGAGGATAATGGTCAAGAAGGTGATGTTGATGAAGATAATGGTCAAGATGACAATGGTGATGAAGGTGATGATGATGAGAATAATGGTCAAGATGATGATGATGGAGGAAGGTGATGATGAGAAGGATGAGGTTAGTGGTCAAGATGATGATGAAGATGATGGTCAGGATGATGATGAAGGTCAGGCACAGTGGCACATGCCTGTAATCCCAGAACTTTGCGAGGCCTGAGGTCAGGAGTTCGAGACCAGCAGGGCCAATGTGGCGAAACCCCATCTCTACTAATAATACAAATAAATTAGCCAGGCATGGTGGCACACACCTGTAGTCCCAGCTACTTGGGAGGCTGAGGCAGGAGAATCTCTTGAACCCCAGAGGCAGAGGTTGCAGTGAGCCGAAATTGCGCCCCTGCACTCCAGCCTGGGTGACAGGACGAGACTGCATCTCAAAAAAATAAAAATAGCCGGTTGTGGTGGCTCACGCCTGTAATTCCAGCACTTTGGGAGGCCAAGGCGGGCAGATCACTTAAGTCCAGAAGTTTGAGACTAGCTGGGCCAACATGGTGAAACCCCGTCTCTACTAAAAATACAAAAATTAGCCAAGCATGGTGGCGGGTGCCTGTAATCCCATCTACTAGGGAGGCTGAGGCAGGAGAATTGCTTGAACCCAGGAGGCAGAGGTTGCAGTGAGCCGAGATCGTACCACACTACACTCCAGCCTGGGTGATAGAGTGAGACTCCATCTCAATAATAATAATAATAATAATAATATAAGGATGATGATGAAGAAGGTCATGGTGATTGAGGTGCTGCTGGGGATAGTGGTGATGGTGAAGATAATGGTGACGATGATGATGAGGGTGTGAGGACAGATATGTGATGATAGCCACCACTCCTGAGTGCTTACTACATGTCAGGCTGGATGTTAAGCGCTTTTCACAAATTATGTCACTGAATCCTCCCCACAGTCCTGTGGGGAGCTGCCATTGTTGTCCCCGCTTTAGAGATGAGGAACCTGAGCTCCTAGAGGCGCAGTGGCTTGCTCAGGACCACACAGCTGTGGGCAGCCACTGGGGGCCGGTCCCAGGTCCTCCTGCCCAAGCCCGTGCTGCTCCGGGGAAGGTGGAGGGACGCTTGCTCTGCTTCACACCCACCCTCATCCCTGGTGGGTCCAGCCAGCTGTGTTCCCCACACGTGCTCCCTCTACACACAGGGCGGCGCTGTGAGGTCTGTGATGATGGCTTTTTTGGGGACCCGCTGGGGCTCTTTGGGCACCCCCAGCCCTGCCACCAGTGCCAGTGTAGCGGGAACGTGGACCCCAATGCCGTGGGCAACTGTGACCCCCTGTCTGGCCACTGCCTGCGCTGCCTGCACAACACCACGGGTGACCACTGTGAGCACTGTCAGGAAGGCTTCTACGGGAGCGCCCTGGCCCCTCGACCCGCAGACAAATGCATGCGTGAGTACCTACCTCCAGACCCCAGGGTGGCACATGGTGGGCCCCTTCTCTTCTGCCCTGGCTCAGGGCCCAGAAGGGGTGGCTGAGGAACCCACCAGAACCAGCTGGCTCCTCTGCAAGGCTGTCCAGCCTCAGGCAGGTCACTTCCCTTCCTGTCTCCATGTCCAGAAAGCACAAGGGTTTGCCCCTCTCCCAGGTCTCTTTCAGCCGGGAGATCTTATAAACTCTGATCCGAAGCCTGGATTGTCTAGTGCTTACCTCCCACTCTGCAGTCAGCACGTATGGCTGACCCGGTGATCGCCCTGCGCCGGGTCTCCATGGCCATGCCTCCCCTCATCACCTCAGTTAACACTCAGCCCCTGGGAGGCTCCCAGAGCCCTGCAGGAGGGAAGCTCAGCCTTTGCTCCACACTGATGTGCTTGGAGCCCTTTCCCACGCAGCAGCTGCCGGCTCCTGCTCACTCTCGCTTTGTGGAACCCCTGCAGGAAACACCGCTCTGGCCCAGAGTGAGATGCTCCCCTGGCAGTGGCCAGGAGAACAGGGTCACGGGACCCAGAGCCATGGGTGCAGGGCTGTGCCTGTGACCCTCGCCCAAGTCTCTGGCCCTCTGCAGCCTGCCAGGGCTCAGGGCAGGCTCAGAAGGATTGTCTGTTACCATGACCGTCCTGGGCTGTCCCTCTAAGGATATAGTCAATGGGCTGAGGCTTGAGCTTGGCCCTGGAGCCTTTTTCCAGCAGTGGCGTCTGAATCTGGGCTGAATGTGCCGTATCATCTCTGGAGGCTCCCCCATCTCCTCTGCCTCTGTTGGACCCCCAAAGTTGGAACAGACAATCTGCATTGTTCCCAACACCCCTTCCTGCTCCTGCCCCCAGCTTGCAGCTGTCACCCACAGGGCTCGGTCAGTGAGCAGATGCCCTGCGACCCAGTGACAGGCCAATGCTCCTGCCTGCCTCATGTGACTGCACGGGACTGCAGCCGCTGCTACCCTGGCTTCTTCGACCTCCAGCCTGGGAGGGGCTGCCGGAGGTAGGTAGGGTGAGACTGCCGGTGCCCTGGGGACCTCTCCAGGAGGGAAGAAGGCATCGGGCAGCCCCCAGGGAGGGGCCTGGTTTGGAAGGTGTTGTCCTAGGCCCACTGCCAGGCACATTGTGCCCTTTGCCGAAGGGGAGCAAAGGGATGGACTCTTGGCATCCGACTCATGCTCCTGCCAGCCCAGGATGCAGGCCAAGAGCAGCCCTAAAGGGTGTCCAGGCAGGCAGGTGGCCGGTTTGGTCTCTGATTCCCTTCTCAGTGACACTCTCCCTGGGTGGCCTTTTGGCCACAGTAGCACCTTAGACAAGTGTTCTTAGGGAACAGGAGGACTCCAGGGAAACACCAAGTGGAGCAAACAGGTTTCTTCCTTGCAGGACTTCTCAGAGCTCTTACTATGCTGATTGCATCATGACTTTCCAACAGAGGGGTATAGTCTCCCCGAGACACGTTTGTCCCCATAGCCTTATTTTATCTTCTTTTCTCCCTGAGCATCCTGGGAAACTTGTGCTTTCCAGAGCACAGCTGGGGAAGCTGTGCCATGCACCGAGAGGAGATGGGGTCTTGTCAGCAGAGGGCTGTGATCTGAGGCCCCAGCCAGCTGCAGCCGGCAGAGGCTGGGCCAGGAGTGGCCCTGAGCTTGCCTCAGACCCAGTTCCTTCCCTGATCACAGCTGCAAGTGTCACCCACTGGGCTCCCAGGAGGACCAGTGCCATCCCAAGACTGGACAGTGCACCTGCCGCCCAGGTGTCACAGGCCAGGCCTGTGACAGGTGCCAGCTGGGTTTCTTCGGCTTCTCCATCAAGGGCTGCCGGGGTAAGGAGGCTGGGTCCTTCCCGGGCTGCCCTGAGGGTGGGGCCCGAGGGTCTCTGGGCAGAGATGACTGATGGGGAAAATGGGCGCAGCAGGAAAGGATCGTCAGACATGGGACAGGGTCCCGAGAGCAGCCGGAAGCATGGAGCGAGTTGCTCCCGTGGCAGTGGCCGGGACAGCAGAGTCACATGACCCAGAGCAGTGGGTGCAGGGCTGTGCTTGTGACCCTCGCCCAAGTCTCTGGCCCTCTGCAGCCTGCCAGTGTCCTCATGCCGGCCAGGAATGTAGTCCCAGACGCGCTGTTAAGTGCCTGTGTGCCTGGGGCCATCATGTCACTCTCTGGGCCTCAGTTTCCTCACCTGTAGAGTTGGGCTGCATTGGCAGTTCCTAAACCTGGCTGGTCCTCAGATCCCGAGGGAACATTGGAATAAGCCAGGCTCTGTGCCACCTTCAACCTTCTGAATCAGAATCTCCAGGGAAGGGCCCAGGAATGTTTTTGATGCTGCCTAGGGCATTCTGGGAACACCCAGAACCCAGCACGCACTGCCCCTGGCCCCTCTAAACCCAGCACGCACTGCCCCTGGCCCCTCTAAACCCAGCACGCACTGCCCCTGGCCCCTCTAGCCTGCAGGTGCTCCCCACTGGGCGCTGCCTCGGCCCAGTGCCACGAGAACGGCACATGCGTGTGCAGGCCTGGCTTCGAGGGCTACAAATGTGACCGCTGCCACGACAACTTCTTCCTCACGGCAGACGGCACACACTGCCAGCAATGTCCGTCCTGCTACGCCCTGGTGAAGGAGGAGGTGAGTCGGCCCAGACCCACTCACCTTTCCATTCATTCTGTATTCCCAGCAAGTGCCAGCTCTATGCCGGGCACCAGGAACTGCCTGCTTACCCCCAGTGCTCAGGCTTTGCAAGCCCACCACCTACCTTCTCCCTGTGCCCACCCAGCTTCAGGCCTGTTCCAGCCTGGCTCGACCCTCACCTCGGCCCTTCCCCTGCTCTAGGTGGATGGGGGAAATGTGACTCTTGTCACCTGCCTTTCCCCACCACGCCAGGCTGGGGTCTCACTCTCTCAGGTTCGGTGGGGATGAGACCACAGATGACCCCTTGGTAAAGAGGGTTAACAGGAGGTGATTCTGAGTGGGAAGGTGGCTGGTGCAGAAGTCCGGAGTTCAAGCTCTAGGGTTAACCCATTGGGGTTCCCCTCCCCCAACTCCATTCATTGTCATGTGTCTGGGCAGGCAACAGCCTTGGTAAGCCTCTGTCTCTTTCGTACTCCAGACTGGAGATAGTTCAGGCCTGCAATCCTTTTCTAGAAACCAGTGGGGCCAGCTTTCAGAATGTGTGGCATTGTAGAAAGATAAGATGGCATACACTGAAGGCCGGGTGCTGTGGCTCACGCCTGTAATCCCAGCACTTTGGGAGGCTGAGGCGGGCAGATCGTGAGGTCAGGAGTTTGAGACCAGCCTGGACAACATGGTGAAACCCTGTCTCTACTAAAAATACAAAAATTCGCCGGGTGGGGTGGCGCGCACCTGTAATCCCAGCTACTCGGGAGGCTGAGGCAGGAGAATTGCTTGAACCCAGGAGGCGGAGGTCGCAGGGAGCCAAGATCATGACTGCACTGCACTCCAGCCTGGGTGACAGAGCAAGACTCTGTCTAAAAAAAAAAAGATGCATGCTGTGCTGAATATCACATAATCCCCCACTGTGAATGGGCAGCCCCCATAGTCAAGCCCAGTGATATTTATGCAGGAAAACAGACGACTATTTCCACGAAGTGGGTAAATGAAGACCACAAGTAGCCTTTTTCAGAACAGGTTTATTTCAGGTAAGGTTTTGCTCTCGAGTGAGGAATGGAATGCCTTGTGGCTTTTCAGAACATTTTGGACTTGGGAATGGAGGACAGGGCCCAGGACCTGTGCCTGCCACTTCACTTAGAGCGGTGACAGGAGGAATCAAGCTGGGACATGGCAGGCATTTGTGCTGAGACTGGCTCCTAGGAAGTGTTCTGTAAATGCAGTTATTGTTTGTCTGATGAAAAGATGGAGCTAGGGTATGTTCATAGCACATTCAGCCAGTGTCCATAGTGTGCTTTCTCCATGTGGCGTCCTGGGAACACAGCGAACAGGACAGGCAGAAATCCTCGTGGGGCATCCCTCCCCATCCCTTCCTCCCCACCTTCCGAGGTAGGACAGCAGTGTGGTCAGCGGTGTCGGCAGGTGCCGTGAGGATGGGAGGGGAAGGGACAGCTACCATGGGGTGGGCAGGATTGGCTCTCAGAGGTGTGGCATACCCTTAGCGCTGAGGCCCAGGGGAGGATTTGGAGAAGGGAACCCCCAGGGAGAGTGGCAGGGTAGAAGCCAGCGGGAGTGTCTGGGCAGGACCTCCATGCCACCAGCCTCATACACCTTTTCTTCCTGTCCTCTCCAGGCAGCCAAGCTGAAGGCCAGACTGACTTTGACGGAGGGGTGGCTCCAAGGGTCCGACTGTGGCAGTCCCTGGGGACCACTAGACATTCTGCTGGGAGAGGCCCCAAGGGGGGACGTCTACCAGGGCCATCACCTGCTTCCAGGTACAGCAGGAGCGCAGAGCGGGAGGGTGGGAGGCAAGGGGAGGCCCCCAGCGCCTGCAGTCTGGTGTCGTTGGATGCTTTGGGGGCCCTCCCAAAACAGCCCTGTTGCCATGGGCCTTTACTTCCCTAGCCCACCTGTAACTTTATTAATATCAGTCCTTGTCACCATGCCTCTGCCCTACTCAGACTCTAAGCTCAGTGAGGATGGGGCTGGGCTCATTCATTTATTCACTCCCTCCACAGGGGTGTCATGAGGCGCTGCTTCAGAGGCTGGACTGGGAGGGTCTTGCTGTCTTGATTCTTGGCCGTTTTGCTCTGCCATAGGCCAGCACGGTGCTCAGCACATAGAAAATCTTAATAAATGAGTAAATAAGACAAAAGAAGGAGGGCCAGGTGTGGTGGCTCGTTCCTGTAATCCCAGCACTTTGGGAGCCAAGACAGGAGGATTGCCTGAGCCCAGGAGTTTGAGATCAGTCCGGGCAACACAGCAAGACCTTGTTTCTATGAATGGAAGCAGGGAGGGAGGGAGGACCTGGAAATGGCGCTGAAATGGATTGGATTACTTTGTGAAGTTTTATATGTGTAAGTGCTACACTCCTTTAGCAGCCAGACAGAGGCGAGCTGAGAACCTGTTAGCAGGACTCACTGTGGAAATAGGGGCTATCAGATACCGTGTCTTAAAATGCCCACATGTGAGCCACATTGTGAATCAGAGCTGATTTGAAGGGTCCAGAATTGCTTGTGTGGCTCCAGAAGGCCTGGGTCTCTCCCGGTCCCTGTGTATGACTGACTTGCTGTGGGTAGGACCTCGGGTCATGTTTGCCTTCTCTGGGCCTCGGCCTGCACCTGGAAAATGGGGGTACTCTGCCTTTGGGACTACCTGTTGGTGCTCAGGGCTGCTGATGCCTGGGGAATGGAGGCCACAGAAGGGGACCCCTGGGGGTGGGGGCTTTTGTGTGACATCTCCACCACTTTGTGACCCCTGGGCTGTGGGCTTCCCATAGGGGCTCGGGAAGCCTTCCTGGAGCAGATGATGAGCCTCGAGGGTGCTGTCAAGGCCGCCCGGGAGCAGCTGCAGAGGCTGAACAAGGGTGCCCGCTGTGCCCAGGCCGGATCCCAGAAGACCTGCACCCAGCTGGCAGACCTGGAGGCAGTGCTGGAGTCCTCGGAAGAGGAGATTCTGCATGCAGCTGCCATTCTCGCGTCTCTGGTATCCCAGGGGACCCCCCTACCCGAACACACCAAACCTGGGCATTGGTCCCTGCCCCAGCCCTCCCATTGACCTGGTGACCTTGGGTATGACTCCCCACTTTGGGAGGCTTAATTTCATCTGCAAAGTGGGGATCACACAGTGCCTCCTCCTGGATTCAGCGAGAGGATGTTTGCAAAGGGCGAGGCATGTTCCGAGGAGACTGAATGCGCAGTAAGTGGTGGGCTGCATCCTTATTGGTGTTTCTGCATCCTAGGACTCCGCTCACTGAATGCCGATGTTGTGGCCAGCTTTGTGCATTTATAAAACGACGGGTGCCATCCAGTTCTGCCTCACAATTGGACCAGATGTGGCCCTTACCCTTTGGCGATGGGCCATCAGTTTCCTCCTCTTCCTCTTCTTTCTACAGGAGATTCCTCAGGAAGGTCCCAGTCAGCCGACCAAATGGAGCCACCTGGCCACAGAGGCCCGTGCCCTCGCCAGGAGGTGAGTCCCAAGACATGGTGAGCTTACACCTGGCCCTTCTCCTGGGGGTTCCAGGGTCAGAGTCAGCCCCACAGGTGCCCCCACCCAGAAGTTGGGATCAGATATTACAAGAGCTGTCTGATGGAGGCAGTGTCACCAGCATGGGGAGGGGCAGGCAAGGTGGGTATAAGTCCAGAGATGTTAGGGGCAAAGCTTGGTGGACTGAAGGCGTCAGAGAGCATCTGCCGGCTTTCTCTTTGTGAGAGTTGTGTAATATACAAGTTATTATATTGGGGGTATAGTTCACACTATACAGAGGCCTTTGCCCACTGCACTCCAGCCTGGGCAATAGAGTGAGACTCTGTCTCACTGTATAATTCAGTGGTTTCCCTATATTCTCAGGGTTGCAAAGCCATCACCACAACCAGTTTTAGGATTTTCATCATCCCAAAAACAAACCCCTGGACCCATCTGCCATCAGCCCCCGTTTCTCCTTACCTCCCCAGCCCCTGGAACCACTATTCTACTTTCTGTCTCTATAGATATGCCTATTCTGGGTGTTTCATAGAAGTGGAATCAGACAATGTGTTGCCTTTTACAACTGGCTGCTTTGCACAGTGTTTTCTTTTTTTTCTTTTCTTTTCTTTTTTTTTTTTTTTTTTTTGAGACGGAGTCTCGCTCTGTCCCCCAGGCTGGAGTGCAGTGGCGCTATCTCGGCTCACTGCAAGCTCCGCCTCCCGGGTTCGTGCCATTCTCCTGCCTCAGCCTCCCAAGTAGCTAGGACTACAGGCGCCTGCCAACATGCCCAGCTAATTTTTTTGTATTTTTAGTAGAGATGGGGGTTTCACTGTGTTAGCCAGGATGATCTCGATCTCCTGACCCCGTGATCCACCTGTCTCGGCCTCCCAAAGTGCTGGGATTACAGGCGTGAGCCACCGCGCCCGGCCAGCACAGTGTTTTCAAGGCTCATCCACATTGTGGCATGGGTGAGTGCTTCACTCCTCTTACAGTTGAATAATATCCCATTGTATGGAAATGCCACATGTTGTTTATCCGTCTTCTGTTAACAGACACTTGGGTTGTTTCATCCACTGCCTTTAAGGAGCAGCTTAAGGCTGGGTGCGGTGGCTCACGCCTGTAATCCCAGCACTTTGGGAGGCTGAGACAGGTGGATCACTAGAGGTCAGGAGTTCAATACCAGCCTGGCCAACATGGTAAAACCCCGTCTCCACTGAAAGTACATAAATTAGCCAGGCATGGTGGCACACACCTATAATTCCAGCTATTTGGGAGGCTGAGGCAGGAGAATCGCTTGAACCTGGGAGGTGGAGGTTGCAGTGAGCTGAGATTACACCACTGCACTCCAGCCTGGGCAATAGAATGAGACTCCATCTCAAAGAAAAAAAAAAAAAAAAAGACGCAGCTTAAGATCCTAAAAACACAGGATCTGTGACAATTTTCTCCTTTAGCTACGCTCCAGGGACCTTAGACTTATTTTACAGATGAGAAAACATTCAGAGAAGTTAAGGAATTTCCTAAGGACACACAGCTTGGAAGCAATAAAGCCAGGATTCAAACCCAGGCTGTCGTGACCACTCTCTTCTATGCTGTCTATATTGGGGTGACTGTACAATTTATTGTCCAAACTGAGATGCTTTCACGTGTGATAAAAGGTCCTATTGGCCAGGCACAGTGGCTCACACCTGTATTCCCAGCACTTTGGGAGGCTGAGGCATGAGGATCGTTTGAGGCAAGGAGTTACAGACCAGCTTGGGCAAGATGGTGAAACCCCCATCGCTACAAAAATAATTTTAAAAATTAGCCGGGCATGGTGGCACACACCTGTAGTCCTAGCTACTTGGAAGGCTGAGGCGAGAGGATCCCTTGAGCCTAGGAGTTTGAGGTTGCAGTGAGCTGTGATGGCACCACTGCACTCCAACCTGGACAACGGTGTAAGACTCCATCTCTTAAAAAGAAAAAAATAAGGCCCTGGCTGGGTGCAGTGGCTCACGCCTGTAATCCCAGCACTTTGGGAGGCCGAGGTGGGTGGATCGCCTGAGGACAGGAGGTCGAGACCAGCCTGGCCAATGTGGTGAGACCCTGTCTCTACTAAAATACAAAAATTAACTGGTGCACACTTGTAATCCCAGCTACTCGGGAGGCTGAGGTAGGAGAATCACTTGAGCCCAGGAGGGGAGGTTGCAGTGAGCTGAGATCACACCACTGCACTCTAGCCTGGGCAATAGAGTGAGACTCTGTCTCAAAAAAAAAAAAAAAAAGTCCTATTAATCCTTATGTCAGGACAACAGACACAAACTCTATGTCTCTGTGTAACAGAAACAGGGCATGGAGTACCTTTCCTGTCAGTCCTTGAAGTGCGTAACACAGAAAGGTGGAAAAGGCGTACCTGTCTTTGTGGCTGTCCTCTGTTAGGGGCAGCAGGAGGCCTGTGTAGTAGGGGGCGTAGTTCTGATCCTGGGCCCCTTCCCTGCGAGCCCTTGGTAATGCTCAGGTGGGTGTCCTCACACAGCCACAGAGACACCGCCACCAAGATCGCAGCCACTGCTTGGAGGGCCCTGCTCGCCTCCAACACCAGCTACGCGCTTCTCTGGAATCTGCTGGAGGGAAGGGTGGCCCTAGAGACCCAGCGGGACCTGGAGGACAGGTGAGGCCTCCCCAGGTGTGGGTAGAAACTTTGGGGTTGGCCTCCTGGAGCCAACAGGGCCTAGCCAAAGGCTGCTGGTTCCAGAGCCAGCTCCCTTGAGTCCTGACGTTCTTTGTCGTTGGTGTCTTGGGTCTGCATCCTCCTCGGAGTGGGGCCACAGGGTCTTGGGCCCACTCGGTGGTGAGTCGCAGTAACCCACTTTTGCCTGGGGGGATGCAACTCAGCCTCTTCAAGAGAAGAGACAAGAACTGGAACCCAGAGCAACAGATCCCTTGCTCTCCTTCTGCCGCATTCCCTGACCCCCCTGGCCCCGGCGCCCCAGCCCAGGGCAGCTCCTCTGAGCTCCTCTGAGGCACCAGCTTCTTTCTCTGCCTCTGCAGACAGACGGCTCTGCTTTTCTGCTTTGGTGACCCCTTCTGTCCCTCTCAGTTTAAAGGTTCATGGAGACTCCCCAGCATCTTGCTTGAGCCCCTTGACATTCCTAAACGAGACATTCCTAAACGAGAATGGGATTGGCTCCGCTTAGATCAGGTGTCCAGCCCTGAGCCAGTCACCATGGCTGGGGGAGGTCACATGACCCACCCCAGGGGCAGAGCGATGGCTCTCTAAGGAGGAGTAAGGGATGGAAGGGAAGCCAGAGGTCTCCACCCCAGCAATGCCCTTGTCGAGGAAGAATGGGTGGGACAGGATGTGGACAGCTGGTCAGGACAGAAAACCCATCCTAGCTGATTGGTTATAGACCACAGGCCTGTCAGGGCAAAAGGGCCCACAGGGATTCTGCAGCCCAGGGCTCTCCATTCATCAGTGGTGAGGACGTGCCCAAGGTCTCTGGAAAGGGCATGGCCGAGCCAGGACCAGGACCGGGGCCGCTGTGCTCCCCACTTCACCGGGCATTTTCCTCTTCACCATTCACCCAGAAGAGCCAAACATTTGCAAACATGTGATTCTTGAGTGGAAACCAAGCAGAGCCCTTTCAGCAAAGTGTGGCTGAGCTGAATGATGCAGAAACAAGAATGTGGCCCTTTCACAGCCCGTCTGGCTCATCTGAAAGCTTCAGAGAAGCAGCCACTTTCCGAGGCAGCTGTACCTACCCCGCAGAGGGCTATTCTGCCTGGGAAGTTGGCAGAGGCCTTTGCAAACCAGTGGCTCCAGCCTGGGGCCCAGACAGGGATGGGGAGGGCTAGTTCTGCACCCAGCTCCGTGGCCTCTGCTTCCTCCCAGGTACCAGGAGGTCCAGGCGGCCCAGAAAGCACTGAGGACGGCTGTGGCAGAGGTGCTGCCTGAAGCGGAAAGCGTGTTGGCCACCGTGCAGCAAGTTGGCGCAGATACAGCCCCGTACCTGGCCTTGCTGGCTTCCCCGGGAGCTCTGGTCAGCTCAGTTGTCTCAGAGCTCCGTGTGGGGTCGGGAGGATCTATTATAGAAGCTGGAGGCTGGGCACGGTGGCTCACGCCTGTAATCGCAGCACTTTGGGAGGCCGAGGCGGGTGGATCACCTGAGGTCAGGAGTTTGAGACCACCTGGGCCAACGTAGTGAAACCTAGTCTCTACTAAAAATACAAAAATTAGCCAGGTGTGGTGGTGCGTGCCTGTAACCCCAGCTACTGGAGAGGCTAAGGCAGAAGAATCACTTGAACCTGGGAGGCAGAGGCTGCAGTGAGCCAAGATTGCACCTCTGCACTCCAGCCTGGGCGACAGAGCAAGACTCCATCTCAAAAAAAAAAAAAAAAAAAAAAAAAAAAAAAAAAAAACTATTATAGCAGCTGGAGAAACCGGTGGGGCCCAGGCAGAGGCAGGTGATATGGCTCATTTTTAACTATATTGCAGCTAAGTCAAATGATATAACCTACCTATGGGGCTTGGCAGAGTCAGAGCTCAACCATTTCAACCATTCTCTGTTGATAATGTTAAGGCTGGGGCCTCTTCCTCCTTACAGTGACATTAGCAGTGTCATCAGATGGACACGGGATGCAATCCCAGCTCTGCCACTCCAGCTCTGTGACCTCGGCCAAGGACTTTCCCTTCCTGAGCCTCAGTCTGTCACATAGAACTCACCCATTAGGTTATTTCGAGGCTGCTTCCATGGGAGCTGGACAGAGATTCGGGAGCAATGCACGAGGTAGCTGGCCGACCCCTCTGTGCTCATCGCCTTATACTCATCACCTCTGCATGAACCGGGTCCATCGTGTCGATTCAGTAACCCTGAAATCCCAAAACTCAGAAACTGAACATTAAAGAACTCAGCTTGGCCGGGCGCGGTGGCTCACACCTGTAATCCTAGCACTTTGGGAGGCTGAGGCGGGCGGATCACGAGATCAGGAGATCGAGACCATCCTGGCTAACATGGTGAAACCCCATCTCTACTAAAAATACAAAAAAATTAGCCAGGCATGGTGGCGGGCGTCTGTAGTCCCAACTACTCGGGAGGCTGAGAATGGCATGAACCTGGGAGGCGGAGCTTGCAGTAAGCTGAGATTGCGCCACTGCACTCCAGCCTAGGTGACAGAGTGAGATTCTGTCTCAAAACAAAACAAAACAAAACAAAAAAAACTCAGCTTATAAAAATGCATTTGGGACAAGTGCTAACCCAGATTGATGCCCAAGGCTGCTTATTTGAGATCTTTGCTCCTCCCACTGCGTGCGGAGAGTAATGCACAGCTGTTAGTGTGTTTGAGCCCAGGTTCTGCTTCCAGCACCACTCAGGGTGTTAGGTCATAGGTAGAACCTGCACAGTTCTCCTATAAGTCTGGGAAATTCTGCATTCGGAAGCCATCCAGCCCCCAGATCTCAGTTCAGGGCTGTGGAGCTGGGGAAGCATTCCCACTTTGCAGTGGGGCAGTGTGGGTCAGGGAGGTTAGCTGGGTTGCTCAAGGCCACGCAGCTAGAAATTGGTAGGACTGTCATCTGAGCCCCAAGTAAGGGCTTCCCCAGCCTGGCTCCTCTCGCCCTGGGCCCTCTGCCTCCAGGGGTCCACACAAAGCCTGACCCCTGCTATTCCTGCCTCTGGGCTTCCGAGCTACCTGGGGCATCAGCTAGGCTCACCAGGTTTTCAGGGGGCTTGGGTTCTTGGCTGGCAGCCAGGGGCAGACCCGCCGCCTCAGCCCAGCAGGGCACCTCCCCCAAGGAGAGGATCCGCTGCTTGCCCTTCCTTTCCAGGCCCTGCCTGAGCGCATTGTCTCCCTGCAGCCTCAGAAGTCCCGGGCTGAAGACCTGGGCCTGAAGGCGAAGGCCCTGGAGAAGACAGTTGCATCATGGCAGCACATGGCCACTGAGGCTGCCCGAACCCTCCAGACTGCTGCCCAGGCGACGCTACGGCAAACAGAACCCCTCACAAAGGTCAGCTCTTGTGCTTTGAAGCAGGGGACCTGGGAGAGGTTGGGGCTACCCTGAAGGTGATCCAGGGTCAGGGTTGCAGGAGGGAGAAGGGCAGAGACAGAAGTAGCTCTGTCCGGCCGGGTGTAGTGGCTCACACCTGTAATCCCACCACTTTGGGAGGCCGAGACGGGTGGATCACGAGGTCAGGAGATTGAGACCATCCTGGCTAACATGGTGAAACCCCATCTCTACTAAAAATACAAAAAATTAGCCAGGCATGGTGGCATGTGCCTATAGTCCCATCTACTTGGGAGGCTGAGGCAGGAGAATCGCTTGAACCCAGGAGGTGGAGGTTGCAGTGAGCTGAGATCGCGCCACTGCACTCCAGTCTGGCAACAGAGTGAGACCCCATCTCAAAAAAAAGAAAAAAGAAGAAGTAGCTCTGTCCATCCCTCTGGTGCCTCCTGCAAAACTCCACATACAGCCTGAGATAGGGGAGGGGACCCTGATACCCCGAGAAGAGATGATGGATAGACTGACAGAGGACAGCAGCAGCAGCACCCGGGGCCACACCCACCATCCTGGGATCATTCTCTCTCATGCCTCCATTCATTAGTTCATTCTCTAGTTCATTCATGGCTCATTTGAAAGCTGCAGAGAAGCGGCCACTTTCCAAGGCAGCTGTACCGATAATTTTGTTTTTAATTTTGTTTTTGAAACAGTCTTGCTCTATTGCCTGGGCTAGAGTGCAGTGACACAATCTCGGTTCACTGCAACCTCCATTTCCCGGGTTCAAGTGATTCTCCTGGGTCAGCCTCCAGAGTAACTGGGACTACAGGTGTGTGCCACCGTGTCTAGCTAAATTCTTTTGTATTTTTAGTAGAGATGGGGTTTCACTGTGTTGGCCAGGCTGGTCTCGAACTCCTGGCCTTAAGTGATCCACCTGCCTCGGCCTCTCAACATGCTAGGATTATAGGTGTAAGCCACCACACCCAGCCTCATTCCTTTTTTTTTTTTTTTTTTTTTTTTTGAGACAGACTCTTACTCTGTCACCAAGGCTGGAGTGCGTGGCGCGATCTCGGCTCACTGCAACCTCTGCCTCCCAGGTTCATGCGATTCTCCTGCCTCAGCCTCCAGAGTAGTTGAGATTACAGGCCCTCACCACCACGCCCAGCTAATGTTTGTATTTTTAGTAGAGATGGGGTTTCACCATGTTGGCCAGGCTGAACTCCTGATCTCAGATGATCCACCCACCTCAGCCTCCCAAAGTGCTGGGATTACAGGCACGAGCCATCACACCCGGCTTCCATTCCTTTTAAAGACAGGATAAGGGGGCTGTCTGTGAGGCATGAGAATGTATCTGAAGAGCTGAGCCCAGTGCCTGCCGCTTACCCGGGGAGTTTGGCTTTGCCCCCGGGGTAGCACCTGCTGATCTGGTCCACTGCCCTCGTCCAGGGTGAGGTTGCCAGGAAGAGAGGTGACTTCCCCAGGAGTCAGGGCCAGGCCCCAGCGTGTACAGATGCCTCACCCCACCACAGCACCCATGCCTTCGTCCTCCTCCCCACCCCATGAGCAATCAGAATAGGCCTGAGGCAGTACTAGTGGCTCCTCAAACTACTATTTATTTATTCTTGTTACAGTGACATTCACGTGGCATACAAACACCCATTTTAGATGCAATGGCTTTAGCACGTTCACGATGTTATGCCACCTCCACCTCAGTCTAGTTTCAGAACATTCTCACCACCCCTAACTCCATGCCCACTCAGCAGTCCCTCCTCATTTCCACTTCCGAGGCCCGGGCAGCCTCCACTCTGTTCTCTGTCTCTGTAGATTTCCTTAGTCCAGCTCTTTTGCAGAAATGGAATCGTGTAATATGTGCCGATGGTGTCAGGCTTCCTCCTGATGGCATCACCTTTTCAGGGTTCACCTGCCTTGCGGCCTGGATCTATACTTCCTCCCTTTGAAAGGCTCGGTCATATTCCAGTGTGTGGATGAAGCACATTTTGTTTACCCACTCATCTATCAGACCCAAATTCTTTCAGTGTATCTAGTCCTGTTGAGTGGCAGTGGGGAAGAAACTGATCTTCCATAAGTCAAGGTGGTGTCATAAACAGATTTGCGATTTTCACATCCACTTGCTGAGATAGAGCAGTGTTCCCTCCCTCCCTCCCTCCCTCCCTCCCTTCCTTCCTTTCTTTCTCTCTCTTTTTTAGATGGAATCTTTATGCCACCCAGGCTGGAGTGCAGTGGCTTGATCTCCGCTCACTATAACCTCTGCCCCATAGGTTCAAGCCATACTCCCGCCTCAGCCTCCCCCAGTAGCTGGGATTGCAGGCATGCACCACCACACCTAGCTAATTTTAAATAAATTTTTAGTAGAGACAGGGTTTCACCATGTTGGCCAGGCTGGTCTCGAACTCCTGACCTCAAGTGATCTGCCCACCTCGGCCTTCCAAAGTGTTGGGATTACAGGTGTGAGTCTCTGTGCCTGGCCAATAGAACATGTTCTAAAGAGATGTTCAGGTGTTCTCGTTCCTTTAATTCTAGTGTTTTAGTTTTCCTCCGGGCTTTTGTGGACAGGTATCTCTTGGGAGACATTCGGAGTTCAACTTTTGTATAATAACACAGATCAGGTGCTCCTGGTGGACAGCGTGACCCAGCGTCAGGGATTTGGTGATGATTTGGGCACCCATGTATGTGGGTTTGGTGCCCACTGAGCTGCCCCTGGGCCCTGCTCCTGTGGAGCCAGCTGCCCAGCCTCTCCTCATCTCTCTCCAGCTGCACCAGGAGGCCAGAGCCGCCCTGACCCAGGCTTCCTCATCTGTCCAGGCTGCGACAGTGACTGTCATGGGAGCCAGGACTCTGCTGGCTGATCTGGAAGGTACGTGAGTCCAGCTGACCACTAGGCTGTGTAATGACGAACGCCCCTGACAGCCACTCACCTCTCGCCTCAGCCAGGGCAGGCTTGCAGAGGACAGGAGTCTGGTCTTGTGGGCTTAATTAAGCCAAACAGACTTTCCCTCCACCTCTCAGGATCCTGCCCCATCTCATACATCACTCACCTCGGACTTGCCCATGTGGCTATCCCATACACCCCAGGTCATCAGACCACATGCAGAGCCCCTCCAGACCAAGTGAGAGGAGACTCTAACATCATTGGCTGTTCAACCAGGTCAAGTCCACTCTGGCCTGGGCTCCAGTTAGTTATCTGATACAAATATGGCTGTCCGGGTCCAATGTTGAGTTGGGGCTATGGGAAGCAGATGGAGTTTCTCTTTAGAAGGGGCTATGGGTTGATGCCAGTCTAGTGCCCCCATTTTGCAGATGGGTAGGCTGAGGAAAGGAATTGCTATTCATCCCTGGGTCAGAGCTAAGCTGGGAATAGAAGCCAGCAAGTATTACGATTCTGCAAGTATCCACCTGTGTGATGGGCTTCTGTGATACCCAATTTGCTCCAGAGAGAAGCCCCCTCACCCTTTGTTTGTGGCTCCTTATCCAACGGGCTGGATAAGGCAGGAACACACTCTGAACCCCAGATGTCTCTTGGGGTCTGAGGCCAGAAGTCAGGCTTCTGCTGTTGTTCTGTGGCCTCCCTCCCCAGCCCTGCCCACTGCCCGGAAGAGATGGAGCGCTAGCTGTGGACCCAGCCCCTCTGGGGCAGAGGATGGGCTGGTCAGTGCTCCTGTTCCCCAGCTTCCTGGCGGCTTGAAGTCCTAGTCACCCATCGTTTGGGGACTTCCTGTCGGAAAGGCGTGGCCGTGTGTGCTTAAGTATCTAGAGTCATATTTAGAAAAAGGTACATTCAATGACTTATAATGATGGAATGTTAGGATCTTAGAACATTAGAATTATAAGAGGTCTTAAGGTCATCTGCTGCAAATCTCACACCTGGCAGTGGACTCGCCCACCCTCAGCTTGCCTATCTCCAACAATGGGGGGCTCACTACCTTACAAGCTTTTACCTTCTCATTGTCGGGTTCTGAGAATGAGAACATTCTTGTGTGTAGTGGATGGAAATTTCCTTGCACTGTTCCCATAATCCACAGGAGGGCTAACCTCAAACCTCTAACCCCAGGCTCTTTTCCCCATTCTGATCCCATTTTAGAGACACCCTTTCTTACCACCAGCTTGGCTGTGCTCAGTTGGTGTTCAGGATAAAAGGAAAATTCACAAGGTGAACTGTGGAGCAGTCTTCCCCAGGGTGTGGCCGGGGGTCTCCTAGCCTATTGATACGCTCTGCCAAGAGAGGGTTTGTGTTCAAATAAGTTTAGGAACTGTCTCTTGCTGCAGCATCCTCTTGAGGTCTTACAGAGAACGCTTGAGAATATTAAAGGTTCTGAGAAGGCCTGTAATAAAGAAACCTGCTTCACTTTCAACTTAATTGACACTTCCCCCTAACGTTTGTTAACACCGTGGAGAATTAGGGCTCCACACAATACATGCTGAGAAACATCAATTTTGTGTACAAGGAGCAAAGCAGGTCTAATTTCTGGATGGAACAATTCTATAATATTATGCCCTCAAAGATTAGAAGGCTTTATTCATTTTAAAAATTGACTTTTACTTTGTCCACTGTAATAAGTGCTTTTTTTTTTTTTTTTTTTTTTTTTTTGAGATAGAGTCTCGCTCTGTTGCCTAGGCTGGAGTACAGTGGCATGATCTCGGCTCACTGCAACCTCTGCCTTCTGGGTTCAAGTGATTCTCCTGCCTCAGCCTCCTGAGTAGCTGGGATTACAGGTGCCCGCCACCACACCCGGCATTTTTTTTTTTTTTTGTATTTTTAGTAGAGACAGGGTTTCACCAGGTTGGACAGGCTGGTTTTGAACTCCTGACCTCTGGTGATCTACCTGCCTCCGCCTCCCAAAGTGTTAGGATTACAGGCGTAAGTCACCGTGCCTGGCCTGTATTCAGTTCTTTTGATGATAAACTTCCTTTAGAATTTTTTTTTGAGTTGGGGTCTCACTCTGTCACCCAGGCTGGAGTGCAGTGGTGCAATCATAGCTCACTGTAGCCTCCAACTCCTGGCCTCAAGTGATCCTTCCACCTCAGTCTCGTGAGTAGCTAGGTCTATAGGTGTGTGCCACCATGCCCAGCTAAGCTTTTGTCTTTTTGTAGAGATGAGGTCTCACTATGTTTCCTAGGCTGGTTTTGAACTCCTGGCCTGATCCTCCTGCTTCAGCCTCCAGAGTAGCTGGGATTACAGGAATGAGCCACCGCACCTGACTAAATTTCCCTTAGAATTTTATCTGAAAGGAAAGGAAATAGTCTCTTTGTTTACCAAGAAATAAACTACTTCTTATTGGATAATAAAATCTATGGGAATTCTAACATTTCCTCTGGGTGTGGTGGCTCACACCCGTAATCCCAGCACTTTGGGAAGCCAAGGTGGGTGGATCACTTAAAGCCAGGAATTTGAGATCAGCCTGGCCAACATGGTGAAACTCCATCTCTACTAAAAAAAAAAAAATACCAGCCGTGTATGGTGGTGTGTGCTTATAATCTCAGCTACTCAGGAGGCTGAGGCAGGAAAATTGCTTAAACCCGTGAGGCAGAGGTTGCAGTGAGCTGAGATCTCTCCACTGCACTCCAGCCTGGGTGACAGAGCGAGACCTTGTCTCACTGCACTCCAGCCTGGGTGACAGAGCGAGACCTTGTCTCAAAAAAAAAAAAAAAAAAGAGAATTGTAACATTTCCCTTTTTGTCTTGATTGCTTGAAAGCTCAGTGGTCAATCAAACATTTGGTTTCTGCAATGTCATTATCGAGATTTTCTGGTACTTCTCCCTCTCCTCTGTCCTTCCTCATCCCTCCAGTTACATCAGACTCTTGGTTTTCCATGGTAAGGATCCATTTGTTGATTTACCCATCACTATACACTGCCTTAAAGCATTGTTTAGACGTAGGCAGTACATGAAAATGCCGAGCTGAGCAGACTGAGCCATGGACTGTGCTAGTCCCCACCACTGGCCCCAGCATTGACCACCATGTAATTCCTTGACTTTAATAGACATCCTAATAGAATGAATACTCATCTCAAAATTCCCCAAGCAGTATGTCTGTGTCTCGCTTGCTTTTGTTTTCTCCTGGATAAGCCTGAGAAGGCGATATGCACGTTGCATGCACTTCAGACCTCCACTCGTTGTCCAAGGGTCTGTGGTCAGCCAGGCAGCTCTGCCAGCGGCTGCCTGGGAGGCACCGGAGGTGTGAGCCCAGTTCCCCTGACCCAGCCTCAGCCGGGTTTGCAGGAATGAAGCTGCAGTTTCCCCGGCCCAAGGACCAGGCGGCATTGCAGAGGAAGGCAGACTCCGTCAGTGACAGACTCCTTGCAGACACGAGAAAGAAGACCAAGCAGGCGGAGAGGATGCTGGGAAACGCGGCCCCTCTTTCCTCCAGTGCCAAGAAGAAGGGCAGAGAAGCAGAGGTGTTGGCCAAGGACAGTGCCAAGGTCAGGGTGGTGGCTGTGACAACAGTGGCCTCCTTCCCTCCCGGGGGGACCGCCCTTCCGCGGGCCCCTTCCCGACATCCGTGCTGACTACTCCGCACTCACTCACTGCTCAGTGGGCCCAGGCAATTAGCTCAGAGACTTCACGGGGGTGAGTCTGTGGGTTCCTCACGAAATAGGTGTCATTGCTGTCCCCATTGTACAGGTGAGAATGCTGAGGTGCAGCCAGCTTCATGAACTTAACCAGGACTTACACCTGGGTCTGCTGGCTTTCCTGCCTAAACTTCTAGGTTTTTCTTTTCTTTTTTGTTATTTTGAAGTTTGCGTTTATTTATTTTACCTGCCTTTTTGTTTTCAATTTTTTTCTTAATTTTTTCAGACAGATTCTTACTCTGTGGCCCAGGCTGGAGTGCAGTGGCGCAATCTCAGCTCACTGCAATCTCCGCCTCCTGGGTTCAAGTGACTCTCCTGCCTCAGATTCCAGAGTGGCTGGGATTATAGGCGTGCTCCACCACACCTGGCTAATTTTTGTATTTTTAGTAGAGCGGGGTTTCACCATGTTGGCCAGGCTGGTCTCGAACTTCTGATCTCAGATGATCCACCTACCTTGGCCTCCCAAAGTGCTGGGATTACAGGTGTGAGCCACTGCACCCAGCTTAAGGGTTTTTGGTTTTGTTTTTTTTTTTTGCTTGTTTGTTTGTTTTTTGTAGAGACAGGGTCTCTGTCGCCCAGGCTGGAGTACAGTAGCACAATCACAGCTCACTGCAGCCTCAAACCCTTGGGCTTAAGTGATCTTCCTGCCTCAGCCTCCTGAGTAACTGGGACTACAGGTGTGTGCCACTGTGCCTGGCTAACTTTTTTTTTTTTGCAGAGATGAGGAGTCTCGGCCAGGTGTGGTGGCTAACTCCTGTAATCCCAGCACTTTGGGAGGCCAAGGCAGGCAGATCACTTGAGGTCAGGAGTTCGAGACCAGTCTGGTCAACATGGTGAAACCCTGTCTCTACTAAAAATACAAAAAAATTAGCCGGGCATGGTGGCTCGCACCTGTAGTCCTAACTACTCCAGAGGCTGAGACACAAGAATTGCTTGAACCTGGGAGGTGGAGGTTGCAGTCAGCCAAACTGCACCACTGCACTCCAGCCTGGGCAACAGAGGGAGACTCTGCCTCGAAAAAAAAAAAGAAAAAAAAGATTGGGGTCTCACTATGTTGCCCAGGCTGGTCTTGAACCTCTGGTCTCAAGCAAGCCTCCTGCCTCAGCCTCCCAAAGTGCTGGGACCATAGGCATGAGCCACTGCACCCAGCCCTGGCTGATTTTAACTAGGCTTTTAAAAAATTGGTGCCAAATTCTAATCAGTGCCTATCTCCCCAGCTCTGCTGCTGGTTCTGTTGCTCACACACCAAGGAAACTGTCTTTATGGTGCCTAGGAAAAGTGCTGGGTTTGCAGTAGGGGTCCCCGGGCTTGATCTCTTGTCATGCCCCTCGGGCTTTGGCCAGCCCCTCCTCCCCTCTGTGCCTCTGTTTCCTCACCTGTAAAATAGTTAGAATTGCTCCTCCTGAAACGGGTGGTATCCAGCAGTCTACACTGTGCCCAGCACTTAGCCTGCATTCAGTACATATTTGTTGCGTGCATGAATGAATGAATGATCTGCCTGGTACAGACAACTGCTTGGCATCATTGCCATAAGAGCTATTTACCTCCAAAAGGACTTGCTGCACTCACTTCTTCTCCCTGCCACTGCCACCCATCCCATAGCTTGCCAAGGCCTTGCTGAGGGAGCGGAAACAGGCGCACCGCCGTGCCAGCAGGCTCACCAGCCAGACGCAAGCCACGCTCCAACAGGCGTCCCAGCAGGTGCTGGCGTCTGAAGCACGCAGACAGGAGCTGGAGGAAGCTGAGCGGGTACGTTTGCCAGGGCCCCTACCCTATCGCCTCCTGCCCCTGGCAGCCCGGGTGGGGACGCCATTCAAGCTGTTTCTTCCTCCTCCCCCTGAAAGGTGGGTGCTGGGCTGAGCGAGATGGAGCAGCAGATCCGGGAATCGCGTATCTCACTGGAGAAGGACATCGAGACCTTGTCAGAGCTGCTTGCCAGGCTGGGTAAGGAGGCCCTAAGGCTGGGCCCTGAACCCCTGGGTCCCTGGGGCACCTCTAGGATCTTCCTGTGAGCTCCAGTCCTGGGGAAGATTTCCTCCTTGTCCTCATTGCCATGCTTCCCGCATCCCCATCTTTGTGGTCAATCACAAGCATTTATAACCATGCCCAGGCCCCCTTGCCATGTGGGACAGGGTTGGCATCTAGAAGTGAGTTCACTTTGAGTAACTGTTTGTGCCTCCAGGGCCCTCTATTCTTTGGGGCAGGGCAGGGGGCACACAGAAAACTCACCATTGGCAAGAACACCCACAGGCACCGGGTGAGCAGGTGAGCAGGTCAGTCCTCAGGAGCTGAGGGTTCAGGAGAAGAAGAAAGACTGTCACGGCAGAAAGTGTCATCAGGTGCTGGTCTGGGATCAGACTAAGATTCAAGTCTGGCTCTGTCCCTTCTTTGGCCATTAGACCTCGGGCAAGCCACTCCACCTCTCTGAGCCTCAGATCCCCCATCTGGAAAATGGGAGTAACAGTGGGGTGGTTTAGAAAGCGCTTACCACGGTGCGTGGTGTATGTTGAGAGTGAGTAAATAGCGGCTCGTAGGAAGGAGGTCAGATTCAAGATGGGCCTTAGCAAGGAGGCATTTTGGATGAAGGGAATAGCACCTCCCAAGGCACGAAGGTTGCAGAGGCCCAGTGTTGTGGGGAGGCTCAGGAGACAGCAGACAGGGCAGTTGGGCTGAAAAGAACAGCATGTATTTTTTTCAAATTGTAAAAGACACATAATATTTTCCATCTTAACCATTTTGAAGTGTACAGTTCAGCAGCATTAAGTATATTCATTGTTGTGCGATCATCACCACTACCCATCTCTAGAACACTTTCATCATCTCCAACTGAAGCTCTGTCCTCCTGAAACACTAACCCCCCATTTCCCTCCCCCAGCCCCTGGCAGCCATCATTCTACTTTCTGTCTCTATGAATTTGACTACTCTGGGCCAGGCAGGGTGGCTCATGCCTGTAATCCCAGCACTTTGAGAGGCTAAGGTGGGTGGATCATTTGAGGTCAGGAGTTTGAGACCAGCCTGACCAACATGGTGAAACCCTGTCCCTTCTAAAGATATAAAAAAAATTAGCCAGGCATGGTGGCACATGCCTGTAATCTCAGCTACACAGGAGGCTGAGGCAGGAGAATCGCTTGAACCTGGGAGGCGGAGGTTGCAGTGAGCCAGGATCACACCACTGCACTCCAGCCTGGGTGAGAGTGAGACTCCGTCTCAAAAGAAGAACTTGCTTAGAATCATAGGTGGGAATTGAACAATGAGAACACTCAGACACAGGGTGGGGAACATCACACACTGGGGCCTGTCATCGGGTGGGGGGAGGGGGGAGGGATAGCATTAGGAGAAATACCTAATGTAAATGACCAGTTAATGGGTGCAGCATACCAACATGGCACATGTATACATATGTAACAAACCTGCACGTTGTGCACATGTACCCTATAACTTAAAAAAAAAAAAGAATTTGACTACTCTGGGGACCTCATATAACTGGAATCATATAGTATTTGTACTTTTAAAATTTTTTTGGAGACAGGATCTTGCTCTGTTACCCAGGCTGGAGTGCAGTGGTGCAGTCGTGGCTCACTGCAGCCTCAAACTCCTGGGCTCAAGCGATTCTTCCACTTCAGCCTTCGAAGTAGCTGGGACCACAGGCACGCACCACCACACCCAGCTAATTTTTTTTTTTTTTTTTTTTGGAGACAAAAAAATATGTTCCCTATGTTGCCCAGGCTGGTCTCAAACTACTGGGCTCAAGTGATCCTCCTGCCTTGGCCTCCCAAAGTGCTGGGATCACAAGCGTGAGCCACCATGCCCGGCCTTATTTGTCCTCTTTTGACTGACTTATTTCACTTAGCAGAAAGTCATCAAGATTCACCCATGTGGCAGCAAGCATTTTCAATTTTCATTCGTAGTAAGAGGAGAGAGAATTGCCATGCTCTACACGTTGTCTGGACACCAGGCCCACACTAAGCTATTCACACACGTGATCTTACAGAATTCTCATACTCACTCTTTGACGCAAGGACAGTTATTCTTTTGCCGTTTTGCAGATGAGGAAACTGAGGTGAGGAGAGTTTATTTTTATTTTTTATTTATTTTTGTTTTTTTGTAGAGACAGCGTCTCGTTATGTTAACCAAGCTGGTGTTGAACTCCTGGCCTCAAGGGATGCTCCCACCTCAGGTTCCCAAAATGCTGGGATTACGGGAGACAGCCACCACACCCAGCTTAGCACAGAGTTTAGATAATGTGCCCAGGGTCCCACAGCCAGTCGGTAGGAAAGCCGTGGCTCACCTGCGGGTCCAAGTGACTCAGCGTGCGTGCAGGTAGCCACTAGTCGACACCTAAGGCCCTGTCGTGGAGCAGACACTCTCTTCAACCATTCCTGCATTGTCACTGTCATTCATTCACTTGTCACACTCTGTGTTGGCCTTGTGCTTGGCCTGGGGATGCAGAATGAAGAGCACACGCCTGGCCCCTTCTCCAGGAGCCCTAGGCAGCCTGGGCAGGTAGAGTGGGGGCTGTAATCCATTTCTGAATCTCTTCGAAGACCAGGCTGTTTGGATTTTGCTGTGGGCCATGGGGCCTCTTGAGGTCCTCCTAGGTCAGCAGGGCCTTGGCTCCCCTCTGCCTTCTCTTGCACACTGGCTCAGTGCTTGCAGCTGCTTGCCCAGGAAATCCAGGGCCTCGGGGATCCCAGGGGCCCAGTGGAATCCTGTGGGGTTAGAAGCAGCCACTTGGGGCTGGGCATGGTGGCTCATGCCTGCAATCCCAGCACTTTGGGAGGCCAAGGCGGGTGGATCACTGGAGGTCAGGAGTTTGAGACCAGCCTGACCAACATGGTGAAACCCTGTCTCTACAAAAAATACAAAAATTAGGCAAGGCGTGGTGGCTCACACCTGTAATCCCAGCACTTTGGGAGGCTGAGGCGGGCAGATCACCTGAGGTCAGGAGTTTGAGACCAGCCTGGCCAACGTGGTGAAACCCTGTCTCTACTAAAAATACAAAAAAATTAGCGGAGCATGGTGGCAGGCACCTGTAATCCCAGATACTCGGGAGGCTGAGGCAGGAGAATCGCTTGAACCTGAGGCCACAGTAAGCTGAGATCGTACCACTGCACTCCAGCCTGGACAACAGAGCGAGACTCCGTCTCAATAAATAAATAAATGCATCCATCCATCCATACATACATACAAAAATTAGCTGGGCATGGTGGTGTGGGCCTGTGGTTTACCCCAGTGATTGCCCACATCCAGGCCCACAGGCGGCATCTGTAAACGTGTGCTGTCAGTGAATTGAGCCAGCATGTTCAAGCTGGCAAAAATCACAGGGGCCTTTCTCCCACACTGTTTTGTAAATGAGTAAACTAAGACTCAGAGAGGACTCACCTGAGGCCTTCTTTTTTAACAATAATAGTAAAACCATCAACAAAAATGACATTTGTCAAGTGCCACCCAGGAGGATGTTCTAGAGTCTGCCCATGGGCCCGTTGGGATGCTATGGGTCCTCACCCACCTCCCAGCCCTTCTGCTCCCCATCTTTCCCTGGTGGATGGTGGGCCATTGGAATCCTGGGAGGCCTGAGCTGGGGAGAGGCTCAGGGGCTGGGAGGTGCCCTGGGGCCTGCAGGGCTGCTGGCTCACAGTGAGGCTGTTTGTGCCCCACCACAGGGTCGCTGGACACCCATCAAGCCCCAGCCCAGGCCCTGAACGAGACTCAGTGGGCACTAGAACGCCTGAGGCTGCAGCTGGGCTCCCCGGGGTCCTTGCAGAGGAAACTCAGTCTGCTGGAGCAGGAATCCCAGCAGCAGGAGCTGCAGATCCAGGGCTTCGAGAGTGACCTCGCCGAGATCCGCGCCGACAAACAGAACCTGGAGGCCATTCTGCACAGCCTGCCCGAGAACTGTGCCAGCTGGCAGTGAGGGCTGCCCAGATCCCCGGCACACACTCCCCCACCTGCTGTTTACATGACCCAGGGGGTGCACACTACCCCACAGGTGTGCCCATACAGACATTCCCCGGAGCCGGCTGCTGTGAACTCGCCCCCGTGTGGATAGTCACTCCCTGCCGATTCTGTCTGTGGCTTCTTCCCTGCCAGCAGGACTGAGTGTGCGTACCCAGTTCACCTGGACATGAGTGCACACTCTCACCCCTGCACATGCATAAACGGGCACACCCCAGTGTCAATAACATACACACGTGAGGGTGCATGTCTGTGTGTATGACCCACACGTGTTCAAGTCTAATCCATCCAGTCAGCAGCTTACGGTCCACACACATTACAGTCCACAGCTGTTGTGAGAGCCACCTGTGTGCTGGACACCCTCTGGATGTTGGGCAAGTTGTTACATGAGATGCCCTGGGGTGCTACATCCACTCACTCCAGATAGCAGGGAGGTCTCAGCAGATCTGCAGAGATCAAGGGGGTCAGCAACAGCCAAAGCCCCTAGTCCCAGAGCTGGCTGCCCTCTGTTTCACAGCAGCTCCCTGACCTGTGTTGCTGCGTGCACTCCCTACAGCTCGACACAGCCAGGGGACCAACAGGCCAAGAAATGCAAGATCCCGGGAGGGTTCTTAGCAGCAGAATCTGAGGCCCAGAGACCCTGAGGCCGTGGCCAGGCCTGCTAGTCTGGCTAGAGCAAGGCCCATTCCTGGCGGGGGTGTCATTGCCTTCACCGGACGCTTCCCTCTCAGGGTCCTGGGACTGCACCAGATGCCCTGAGGGAATGGCCCACCCTGGCCTGTACCCACTTCAGCCTGTGATCTATCCAAAGAGCCAGGCCCAAAAGCGCCTAGGTCAGGGTGCTCAGGCTACCAGGAGCACGCCTCTGTGCCCCCGGCAACCCAGTTGACCTTTAATTGACGCTTTCCAGACCAGCCCTGCGGCACCACTTGCCATGCGGGAGGCCACCAGGGTGTGCAAGCCTGGCTGCCATTCCAGTCTGTCCTGTCTGGGAATCGCCCTGTGGCCAGGCCCGCATGCTGGCCTCTGCCCAGGACTCCTCAGCATTTCCTCTTGGCATCCCTCCCCTCTCCCAGACCCTCTTCCAGCAGATGGCAAGGCCTCGGCATTGGGAAGTCAGGCACCTCTGCGGGCCCAGCCCCCTCCCGTGGCTCCCCTGACAGGGGCAGGGGTAGGGCAGCAGCACAGACCAATTCCGTTGAACGTGGAAATAAAGGACCCTTTCACTGGGCAGGGTGGTGTGCCTCACCCTCCCCGGCTGGTGGGCAGCCAGGGCCCTGGCTGTGGGTGTGCATATGACACACCTAGTAGGTGGCCAGCATGTGGACCGGACGTTGGTAGGAAGGTGGCAAAAGCCGAGCTCGTGGCTGGGCCAGTACCTCCCATTAGAGGGCTTTGCTGGGGTTGTGTGATCACAGGTACCTACCCTGTCCTCTCAGGCACTTACCACGTAAAGCCTAGGAGCTGGTGAGTTGGAGGGGTGGGGTGCGGAGAGGCCCTCAGCTGACCTCTGGTTCAGGCTCGAGACGAACTCACAGCCAAGTGTCCGAGGATGGTGAGGAGCAGGGAGGGGCGCCATCCAGGAGGGGGATGGTGTGGGTGGGGCCTTGAAGGGTGGGGAGGCAGAGAAGGAAGCATTCCAGGCAAGAGGGTGGACAACAGTCCGGGGCCCGCAGGGTTGGGGCTCGGCCAGCTTGCATCACTCCAGGACCCCAGGTTGAATGGGGTGGGATGTTGGAGCTGCTCAGTCAGGGCTCTTGGCCGCAGGCCTCAAACCCCTCCTGAGGTGGTTTCAGCAGAAAAGGGGTGTTGGGAGGGTCGCTTGGAACCCTGGAGTAAAAACGGCTGCCACGTGTTGGAGATAGCCTAGGGAGGGGAGCCTGAGGCTTCCGGGATAGGTTGGCTTCCCTCTTCCCCCCTCCCGCCTCTCTTCTTGGTCTGTGTCTCTGCTCTCCTCTCCTGTATCTGCTTCGTTCTTTTCTCTTTATTTATTGATTTTTTTTGAGATGGAGTCTCGCTCTGTTGCCCAGGCTGGAGTGCAGTGGCATGATCTCTGCCCACTGCATCCTCCACCTCCCAGGTTTAAGCAATTCTCCTGCCTCAGCCTCCCGAGTAGCTAGGACTACAGGTGCTTGCCACCATGCCCAGCTAATTTTGGTATTTTTAGTAGAGACAGGGTTTCACCACGTTGGTCAGGCTGGTCTCAAACTCCTGACCTCAGATGATATACCTGCATTGGCCTCTTAAAGTTCTGGGATTTCAGGCATGAGCCACTGCAACCGGCCCATTCTTTTCTCTTTGCAGAGTGGCTTTCTTTGTTTTTCTTGTGCCTGATAGGAGAGGACACCCACCCCTACCGCCATCCCCCATAATGGCCCCAGGTGTACATGTCATCAGGTCCAGTGCTTGCAAGAGACAAGCTGGTGACTCTGTCCTGATTCCAGCTTCTCAGCTTAGGTGAAGTCCCACCAACCCCCGTTCAGGATAATGAGGATCTCTGGATCTAAGGCCAATAATGGATGACCGGTGCCACCCCCCAACCTAATGGGAGATGGTGTTCAGAGAAGAGGTGTGCTCCTCCACAGAAAACTGTAAAATCAAGGCTACGGTGGGGGATTGACATGATTAAACTGAGCTAGGAGTGACTTGGTCCCTAGATGTCTGGGCAGAGGTGGAGAGGCCGAAGATGGGGGAGCTGCTGCTGCACAGTGAGTTTGGTGATTGGCGTCTGGTGTAAGTGATGTCGAGAATATGGAGTTCTTCCAAGACCTCTGGGATAGGGTCTGATGTCCCCCTCCCGCCTCCCTCCAGTTTCTCAGCCGATGGCACACAGTCGTCCTGGTGCCTGCTCTTGGCACTCAGCCTTTATCCACTCAAGCCGTGGGATCCAGCTCAGCTCAGTCCCAGCATCCCCGACGGGTGGAGAACTCGGGCCTGACATGTTGTGACTCACGCAGTCTGATCATGCCTGGTGCATGTGCTGATCTATTCTCTGGCCCCAGAGGTGGGGCCGCTGCCGGGTGGAATGCGGCAGCTGTTGAACATCTGGCTAGCAATGCAGTCCAGCAGCTGAGCAGAAGGTGGGGTGGCCCCTGCCCTGTAGGATGGCTGACTGGAGCCAACCAGCCCAACCGGCCAGGGCAATAGGCTGTTGGAGCCTGGAGAGGGAAGTGCATTATGAGGGCTCTGTCCTAAGTCAGCTCCCATCCACCAAGGGTGGTAACGCTAAGCTTTTACTCTCTGCTTAAACCATCCAGCAAGTCATCAAAGTTACAAAAGCCCCTGCTTAGTGCGTTCTGGGTTACTTCATTGTGAAGATCAGGGGACTGAAGCTCAGCCAGATCAAGTGCCTCGCCTAAGGTCATGCAGCTTGGCCAAATCCAAACCCTTGGGTGAGTGGACAGAGGAGCGTCAGCTAGGAGAGGTGGGCGCTGGTCTTACTGGGGAGGAGGGGCCTGCCCCCTGGACTGCTGCCCTGACCTCAGCCCCATCCCATTCTGCCTAGCCCCTTGCTGGGCACTTCCCTCCCCAGGGACAGCCACAGAAAAATGATGATCTCGGCTGGGCGTGGTGGCTCACGCCTGTAATCCCAGCACTTTGGGAGGCCGAGGCAGGTGGATCACCTTAGGTCAGGAGTTCGAGACAAACCTTGCCAACATGATGAAACCCCGTCTCTACTAAAAATACAAACATTAGCTGGGCGTGGTGGTGTGTGCCTGTAGTCCCGGCTACTTGGGAGGCTGAGGCAGGAGAATCACTTGAACCCGGAGGCGAAGGTTGCAGTGAGCCGAGATCAAGCCGCTGCACTCCAGCTCTGGGCAACAGAGCAAGACTCTGCCTCGAAAAAAATAAATAAATAAGAAAGATGATCTCAGGGTCCCTACCCTAGGAGTCAGATGCACGGTGGGGCCATTCCTAGCGCTGCCTGCCCTGGACAGCGCCTGTCTATGCCTGTGGCCCAGCATCATTATGAGGAGTGCTCCCTTGACTCTGGCTGTCCTGATTTGGACACTAGACTTCATGGTCACCCTGGCCACAGGTACCCTATCCTGCATCCTGAGCTCCGCTCTTCCTGGAGTCATGGGCTGGTCTTTCCTCCTGGTGGCCTTGCGCCCCAGCTCCAGCTTCCTGACTTTTCTCTTCTGGAAATGGGAATGCCAAGTCCTATTTCATGGAGTTTTGAGAATGAAATGACTGGTGTACGGTGCAAAGTGCCTGTGAGTGCCCAAGAAATCTCTTTTATTAACAAGACACGAATTCATTCCAATTGATTTGACGGGCCACTGTTGTCACAGCAGCCGCACTGCCCCAAAGGCAGCAGTGATGTTTGAGCGCCGACTCCCCGACGGCACTTGGTCCTCACAACCACCCCATGGAGTTCATGCTAAGATCCTCGCATTTCATTTGTGTGGCAGGGACTTGCTGAGGTCCGGGGAGGGGCAGAGAGGAGGGGTGCGGCCGCCCCGCGCTTTGCACTTTCCGCGTCCTCCAGCAGAGGGGTCGGCCGGCGGGCTCAGCGTCCCGCATAATAGCCGCTTTGAAGCCCGCGGAGCGGGTGGCGGGAGGGGAGGGGAGAGGCGGGAGGGGAGGGGAGAGGCGGGAGGGGAGGGGCGAGGCGGGAGGGAGGGAGGGAGGGGCCGGCAGCGGAGGGAGGGGTGTGTCGGCCGCCCGCGCCGTTCCTCCGCCCCTCGGTCCCGCGGCCACACGCAGCTAGCCGGAGCCCGGACCAGGCGCCTGTGCCTCCTCCTCGTCCCTCGCCGCGTCCGCGAAGCCTGGAGCCGGCGGGAGCCCCGCGCTCGCCATGTCGGGCGAGCTCAGCAACAGGTTCCAAGGTAGGCGCCGCCGTCCCCGAGCAGCCACCTGTGCGCGCCGGGCGGACCGCGGGGTCCACCGCGCGCGGGAAGCGGGCGGGGACGGGGGCGCGTGGCCCGAAGAGGACCCCGCTTCCCAGGCCGCCTCTTTGTCTCCTCCAGGAGGGAAGGCGTTCGGCTTGCTCAAAGCCCGGCAGGAGAGGAGGCTGGCCGAGATCAACCGGGTAAGCCCCGCGCCCAGGGCAGCACGCGAGTCCCGAGCCGCGCGCTGCGCGGGTGCCACCTCTCCTTCCGCGAGGCCGTGCCCGCCTCCAGATCTACCCTCTTCCTTCCCTTCCCCTGGGCTTCCCTCAGGTGCCTCCCTCCGCCCCCAGCCCCGTCGCCTCCGACTCCAGGTAGGTCCGCCTCCGCCTCCCGCCTCCGGTCTCGGGTTGCAAGTTGTTACTCTTGCAACTGGGGACTGGGGAGGTGGGGCCGGGTCAGGAGCTCGGATGCCAGCCGGCTCGTGGCTCCCCGCAAGCCCGCTTGGGAGCAGCCCAAGGATTTGGCGCGGGAAGGGCCCTAGGCCAGTGATCTCTCCAGCTCAGAACACAGGCTCCGGGTCATTTGCTGGTCTGTCGCCCAGGCTGGAGTTCGGTGGCCCAATCTCAGCTCATTGCAGCCTCCACCTTTGGGATTCAAACGGTCCTCCCTCCTCATCCTCCCGAGTAGCTGGGACTACAGGCATGTGCCCCCACGCCTGGCCTTAGCTATTGTTGTTATAAGGGATTCAAAAGTACAAATAGAAGACTCTGATGGGCGTAGAGATCCTGGCACTTCCCCGTGGTCTCCAGCCTCCCGCCTCCCTCAAACACACCACTCCTCTTCACTCCAACTTTCAGGAAAGATTGCCTTAAGGGATTCAATGCTTTTCTTGCTGGTCCTGGTGGATTTCTCAAAAGAAATCTTTCCTGTTGTTGCCAGGCATCCAGTGAGAGCTCCATAAATTTACATAGATTCTAGAAGATAAGGAAAGATATCAGGACCTGTCTGGGTTGGCCAAAGCTCAAAGGCAGCACAGCCAGTGGCTTTAAAGTTCTGCAAGACCTGGGCTCAGATCTGGCCTCCACTGTGTGCCAGCTCTGTGGTCCTCAGCAAAGGGCCTCTCATCTCCAAGCAGGGCATTGTGCAGGCTCAGAGAGGGAAGGCCCGTGGCCTGCATGGCCCAGCACCCAGCATTCAGGAAGCACTCACAGAACTAGCATTATTTCCTGAGGTGGATGTCTCCCAGTTTCCTTCTTAACTGGTGGCAGAGGCACGCCCGCTGAAACAAGGCTTGGCATTCCCCCTGCAGGCTCCTCTGGTCCCCTGGACACCCAGGGTCTAAGCCCAGCTGACAGTCTGGAAGTGGGCCGCTGGTGAGGTCAGCAGAGCCCGAGAAGGCTGTGGGAGGCGGGTCCGAGCCTGGGGCCAGGTTGTGGTATTGCCTCTTGCCAGCAGTGTGCAGCCTTGATTCCCCCTTGGTTTTCTTGGACTGCTTGGATGTAGGCAGCCTGTCTGTTTTCCATCCGCTGGCTACAGGACTCCCATTCGGTCCCCAGCTACAGGGCTCTGGGGACCTCAGGGTTCCCCCTCCAGGTAAGCTCCGGCCTCCTCACCGCCACCCTCACCCTGCTTCCTGGGGGCATCTTGAGCACAACTGGAAGGTTGCCCGGACATCTGGCTGGGGTGCTCAGGGGTCTCGGATCCCTGCTGGGCTCCTTCCCAGATCACTGTGTGCCTGCCCAGCCTGGGGCTTGGCTGCTCTAGCCCTCTGGACAGAAGGCTGGAACCCCGACCTCATATAGCCCCCTGGGTCACTTGGCCAGGCGGGTTCTGAGCTGGCTGGAGCCACCCACAGCCAGCGGGACCCTGAGCCACAGACAGCTGGAGATGGGGGTGAGGTGACCATGGTTGGACAAGCCAGAAGAGCTAAGAGGGCGGGGCCAACCTAGCCCTTGGGGAGGTGGGTTGGGGGAGGGGGCGGCTCCAGGGTTGTTTTGGGAAACCGACTAGCTTGGCTTAGAAAGAGGAGGGACTTTAACAGCTGTCAGGGGCTGATCTGGGCAGCACTGGGACTAGGGAAAGTGAGCAGGAAGGAGCTGTGGTCTAACCACCTCAGGACAGCGCCCAGAGAGGGCAAGCAGCTGACCCAAGGCCACGCAGAAGCCAGTGACAGAGCTTGCAGCCCAGCGTCCTTCCCCTGCCAAGACGCTGTACTGAGACCCACCATGACAGCCCAGCCGCTGTAGGGCTGCTGAGGCCCAGGATCTGGGGCCCTGTAGGAAGGAGGCGCCAGGATCACACGGGAAGCTTGAGCTGCTTCACCACAGTGGAGCAGGGTGGCCCCACCAGTTTAGTCATGAGGTACCCACAAGCACTGATCTGTGACTCTGGGCAAGCCACTCACCTCTCTGAGCCTCCTTCTCCAAAAAGATAATGGTTGTGATTTTTTCAGTGAGACAATCTATGTAAAGCACCCAGGAGAGCTGGCTGCGGCCCTGATAGCTATCAGGACAGTTTCTTTGTTCGTGGCCTCAAGGTGCAGGGAGTGGAAGATACTCCGCCCTGGCTCATGCTGGTTGCTCAGCCCAGCAGAACCTCGTCTTCCCCAGCCTGAAATGGGAGCAGGGATCTCTGCCCCTCTGGAGTCCCTGCAACAATTAACCGATGGAAGTGGATGGAAGCTCTTTGCAGACTGTGGGGGAGTCACTCTGTGTGAGAGTCTGAATTGGTTCACCCACGGCCATGGGGGCAGTGCAGAGGGCCTGAGCTAGGTGGATTGTAGGCAGAATTGTGCTGGCAGCCCGGACTGCCTTCCTTTGGGGTGCAGCTTCACTGCCCCACTGGAGTGTGGATTCTGGGGGCCTGGGCTAAGCCCAGGATTCACTGCCAAAGCCCTGCTTCTGTGCCAGGCAGCTTGGGCACCGCCATGGCTGCTGCCTGGGGCACAGCCCAGCTTGGCTGGCAGATCTAGGGGCTTCTCTGGGCCGATACCTAGTTCCCTTTGGGGCCTTTCTCCTCCCTTGGTGTAGGCCAGCTTCCAGAGGGGCAGGGTAGCTCAGCCTTAGCTTTTTTTTTTTTTTTTTTTTAGACAGAGTCTCTGTCACCCAGGCTGGAGTGCAGTGGCGTGATCTCAGTTCACTGCAACCTCCGCCTCTCGGGTTCAAGCGATTCTCCTGCCTCAGCCTCCCGAGTAACTGGGACTACAGGCGCTTGCCACCACGCCCAGCTAATCTTTGTGTTTTTAGTAGAGACAGGGTTTCACCGTGTTGGTCAGGCTGGTCTCGAACTCCTGACCTCAGGTGATCTGCCCGCCTCAGCCTTCCAAAGTGCTAGGATTACAGGCGTGAGCCACCCCACCCCGCCCAAATTTAGCTTTTTGTTGTTGCTGTTGTTAACAGAGACAGGGTCTCACTCTGTTGCCCAGGCTGGGGTGCAGTGGCCCAATCTCAGCTCATTGCAGCCTCTACCTCCCCAGCTCAAGCAATCTTCCATCTCATCCTCTCAAGTAGCTGGGACTACAGGCATGTGCCCCCATACCCTGCCTTAGCTATTGTTATTATAAGGGATTCAAGAGTAAAAATAGGAGACTCTAATGGGCCTAGAAATCCCAGTAGAGGAAGGGAGGTGGGGGAGCCGCATGAAAATGCACCTCTTTTTGGTTTCACTTTAGTTTTTGCTGTAGTTTTCTGAACACTTGGTATGTGCCCGTCCTGTGCCAGGTGCACTGTGGGCATTATCTTGCGAATGCTCTCTCTAACCCAGGGAGTATTGTTGCTCCCATTTTTGAGAAAACGAGACTCAGAGAGGCTGGGTAAACTGCCTGGGTTTAAACAGCCTCGACTTGAACCCAGCCTATTTTCTCAATCGCTCAGCTTGGCTGGGCCTCCTGCTGCGTGTCCACCCCCAGCTCCATTTGCTGTGTGTTTGTATGTGCACGCACGTGTGTACATAGCAGCACTACTGGAGTGGGCAGAACTGGCCAGCACCTCCTACTCCCCCTACATAGCTGGCATTCCCCGAGCCCTGATGGCATGGTTGGTGACCCCAGGCCAGCCAGGCATGGCCTTATATGGCAATGGGAGAGATTTTCTCCAGCTTCCCACAGGGACAGAGAGAAGCAGGAGTGGGGCTGGGGGCGCTGCCCCTCAGGGTGGCTGTGCCCTGGGACTTAGCAGGAGGCGCTCAGGGGACAGTGAGGGCTGCCACATGAGCTGGCTAGCAAGTGAGGTCTTTTTTCTTTCTTTCTTTTTTTGAGACGGCGTCTCGCTCTGTCACCCAGGGTGGAGTGCAGTGGCGTGATCTCGGCTCACTGCAACCTCCACCCCCTAAGTTTACGCGATTCTTCTGCCTCAGCCTCCCAAGTAGCTGGAACTATAGGCGCGCACCACCACGCCCGGCTAATTTTTGTATTTTTAGTAGAGACGGGGTTTCACCATATTGGTCAGGCTGGTCTCAAACCCCTGACCTCGTGATCCGCCCCCCTCGGCCTCCCAAAGTGCTGGGATTACAGGTGTGAACCACCACACCCGGCCAACAGGTGAGATCTTCAACACAGTAACGAGCTGTGGCTGTGCTCCATGCCCACAGATTGACATTCATCATCTCGCTGACCCCGCAACAGGGCACCCCAGCAGACAGATGCACAGTGAGAATCTGCAGACAGCCCCATGGGATAAGGATTATCATGACTCCTTTTTTTTTGAGACAGGGTCTCACTGGGTTGCCCAGGCTGAAGTGCAGTGGTGTGATCTCGGCTCACTGCAGTCTTGACCTCCTGGGCTTAGGTGATCCTTGCACTTCAGCCTCCTGAGTAGCTGGGACTATAGGCGTGCACCACCACGCCAAGCTAATTTTTTTTTTTTGTGGAGACAAGGTTTCACCATGTTGCCCAGGCTGGTCTCGAACTCCTAAGCTTAAGCAATCTGCCCACCTTGGCCTCCCAGAGTGCTGAGATTACAGGCATACATCACTGTGCCGGGCCTTGACTTCCATTTTAGAGATGAGGAAACAGGCTTAGCTAGATGAAGTCACCTGCAAGGTCACCCAGCCAGGAAGTGGCAGATCTGGGATTCAAACCCAGTCACCCTGGCCCCTGTCACCAGGTGGCTGCAGCCTAGCTATGACACAGGCCTCTCTTGCTTATATCGATAAGGATCTCTGGCTACTGTCCCAATGGTCCAGCCCTCCTGGGTCGAATGAAGGGCACTCAGCATTCCCTGTCACATTTAGGTACCTGATGGTTTTTTGTTTTGTTTCGCTGTTTTTCATTTTGAGACAGAGTCTCACTCTGTCACCCAGGCTGGAGTGCAGTGGCATGATCTCGGCTCACTGCAACCTCTGCCACCCAAGTTCAAGCGATTCCCCTGCCACAGCCTCCCGAGTAGCTGGGATTACAAGTGCCCACCACCACGGCTAATTTTTGTATTTTTAGTAGAGACAGGGTTTCACCATGTTGGCCAGGCTGGTCTCGAACTCCTGACCTCAAGTGATCCACCCGCCTTGGCCTCCCAAAGTGCTGGGATTGCAGGTATGAGCCACTGCACCTGGCCCCTGATGTTTTTTTCAGAAGCCACATGTCATCTGCACTGGGAAGGCAGCTGGGCAGGGTAGGCTGGGTATCTCTGCCCAGGGGTGTATATATCCCCTGCCCTTCCCCCAGCAATGGGGGGCCTCTGAGACCTGACCCAGGCAAGTATGCAGGTGTGTCTTTTTTCCTATGTACCTGGCAGTGCCACTCTGTCCCTGCCCAGGCGAATGTATGCAGCTGGCATTGCTGGGCACCCACCTCTCTTGCTCTTCCTTAATATATTATAAGGGAGATGGTGATAAGTGGCCACGTGAGCCTCTGAGGATTCAGTGTCCCCTGCAGGTCCAACCAGTTATGACCTTGGTGTGGCCGTGTCACAGGAAGCTGGAGATGGAATTTCTGCAGGGTGTGCTTTATTGCATAGCTGCTTGGGAGTTTTTCTTTAGCTGCCCCATCTGTTGGCGAGGATGCGGCATCTGAATGAGGCCCAGGGCTGCAGTGGGGAATGTGAACCCGCTGTCCTTGTGGGTGCACATTACAGGCTTCTGCTACTCACCAGGTGCCAGCACCACTTGTGGCCTGGCCCTGGCCCTTTAAGAGCCTGTGGGCTGCGTCAGAGGTCCTACGCCCCGGCATGGTGCTTCCTGTCCTTGGAGTTCTTGTCCAAGGCCTGAGCCACCAGCCCCTTGGATGGCCTCCAAGATGGTGATATCCGCCCACCCCAAAATTCTGCTGCAGCTGATACAGAAAGACAAGCCTGGAGGGCCAGGAGCAAGGGTTCGCCAGAAGGTGCTAGAGGTACCAGCCCAGAAAGAGAGTTAAGTCAGCGAGGAGCAGGCAGGTGGGAGGGCTTCTGAGGACAGGCACGGCAGGGGCTGCCAGCTTCTGATGGGTTTGGAAACAGCCCCTCCTGGGCATAGCACTTGGGGGCCTCGCTGGAGGCTGGGATGGGCTTGGGGGACTCTGGCGAGCATCAGAGGCTGTAGGTGACCAGGAAAGGCGGCAGTGAACAGATGCTATTGGGGACTGAGATGGGAGGGTTCAGGCAGGTTGGATGGCCCATCACTGCCAGGTCAGCCGGGGGCTGAGGACAAAGCAAAACTTGCCCTTGAGGGATGGCCAGTGGGCCAAGACTTGCCAGGAGGACTTCAGGGCATCACGGAGGAGCACAGCATGGTCGGTGGGTGATGTTCTTTCCCTGCCCTTCCCCCGCACACACACCTGCCTCTCGATGTGGCTTGAGTTTGGATGATCCTAAGACATAATAATAATTTTGAACACTTAGCAAGTGTACTAGGAGCCAGGCTCCTTCTGTGCAATTAGCTCGTTTAATCCTTACCGCAGGCCAGGCACTAAGGCAGGAGGATAGCTTGAGTCTGTGAGGTTGAGGCTGCAGTGATCCTGCAGATCGTGCCACTGCACTTTAGGCTTGGGAATGGAGCAAGACCCTGACTCAAAACAAAACAAACAAACAAAAAAATTCCTTACAGCAACTCAGTGAGGAGGTTCTGCATATCATTATGATCCCATTTGATAGATAAGCCCACTTTATAGATGAAGAGACTGAGGCCTAGAGTGGTAAACAGGTAAAGTTGCCCTGCCCAGAGCCACAGAGCTAGTATGTGCTAAAGCTGGAATGGCAACCCTGGCAAGTTATCCCCTATGTCCTACACACCCTGGGCTCAGAGAGATGATGTGACGTTTTCAACTGTTGTGAACTTGGGCAAGGCCTGTCCCTTCCGGCACCTCGGTTTCCCCAGCTATTGAACAAGGAGGGCAAGCTGAACGCTGTGAGGAGTCCCTTCTGGTTCTGTGGCTGGGTGGATAATTTAACAGCTCTGCCACCTCCCAGGCCCCAGCCTTGGATGCTCTGGTCCCCGGGGACTGAAAAGTGGGCTCAGCTGCCTGTGTGTCACCCCCCAGCTCCTGCCCGCTTGCATTTCCTGGCCCTTTGCTAGGGACTGATCAGGCCACTGTGGCCTCCAGGCCTGCCCCTCTGCATGTCAATAGCCACTTTCAGGGCCCAGAGGCCCCCTGCACTTCTCACACCTGCTCCCCCACCCCAGCACTTTCTACTTTCTGCAGCCGGGAAAACTTGTCTTTGGGGACAGTGGGTTAGATTGTGTGAGGAGGATAGGGGATAGAATAAACCACCTACCCCCACATCTCCCTGGAGGGCTATAAAGTGGTTCCCTGGCCTCTGGAATAACCTCCTGCAGCTGCCGAAGAGGAAAGGTAACTCCCAGTATTGACTTTCTTTGCCCAGAAACCTGCAGCCAGGCTACCTTCTTGTTTGGGGCAGGCATAGACCTTGAATTGCTAAAACTTGGCAATCCTGAGCAAGTTGAGCAACCTCTCTGGGCCTCAGTTGTCCCATCTGTCAAATGGGGATACCTGGAAAGAGGAGAGAGAAATCATAACTGGCCTACTCCACGGGGAGGGGGCCTCCTTCCTAATCTGCTGAATAGTCTGTGAGGGTCTATGGAGGTTATAAGCTGATTGTATGGGCATAAGTATTAGAAAAAAATAATAAACAGCTAACATTTATTTAGTATTTGCTGGCCGGGTGCGGTGGCTCATACTTGTAATCCCAGCACTTTGGGATGCTGAGATGGGCGGACTGCTTGGGCCCAGGAGGTTGAGGTTGCAGTGGGCTATGATTGTGCCACTGCACTCCAGCCTGGGCAACAGAGCGAGACTCTGTCTCAAAAAAAAAAAAAAAATTCATGCAGCCATGAAGTGGATTCAAACTCAGGCATTCTGGCTCCAGTCTGCCTTTTTTTTTTCTTTATTTTGCTTTTCTTCCAAACACCTGGGGTGGCTTCTATCTCTGTCTCCTCTGCCTATGGACCCAGGGTCAGGGCAGCCAGGGGTCCTGGAAAGACAGGGTACCTGTGCCTTTGGCAGGGACGGGGGGAGGATGCCTGCAGGGAGGGAGCTGTGGGTGGTACATGAGCAGGAACCAAGAATCCAAAGCTCAGAGGTGGAGCAGGCGTGGCAGCCTGGCTGGTGGAGTCCTGTTCCTGCCACTGCCCGCCGGGCTCCCCCATCCCCTACCCAGGCATGGTCAGCACAGCTGCCCTAATCCCAGAGCCAGTGAGGGCTGCCCACACATGAGGAGCTCAGCTGCCTCTCCCACCCTGGTCACTTGTGGCCCAAGCATTTGTCATGTTTTGTTTTGTTTTGTTTTTTAAGACAAAGTCTCACTGTGTGGCCCAGGCTGGAGTGCAGTGGCGCGATCTCAGCTCACTGCAACCTGCACATTCCGGGTTCAGACAATTCTCCTGCCTCAGCCTCCCAAGTATAGCTGGGATTACAGGTACGTGTGGTTTTTAGTAGAGACAGGATTTCACCATGTTGGCCAGGCTGGTCTTGAACTCCTGACCTCAGGTGATCCGCCTGCCTTGGCCTCTCAAAGTGCTGGGATTACAGGCGTGAACCACCACACTGGGCTGCATTTGTCATTTTTGGCTCTAAGGAAAAATAGGATTCCAAACCCTAAGCCCCTCCAGCCTCTGTCATGCGTGGGCACACACTTTTGCAAAGCTGCCTGATCGTTGCAGGGGTGAGGATGGAGAAAATAATGGACCGAATGGCAGGCCTGTCCATTCATTCAATGGATGTTTTGTTGTTGTTGTTGTTGCTTTTTTTTTTTTTTTAGAGACAGGGTCTGGCTGGAGTGCAGTGGTGCAGTCAAAGCTCATTGCAGCCTTCACCTCCTGGATTCAAGTGATCCTCCAGCCTCAGCCTCCCAAGTAGCTGGGACTACAGGCACGCACCACCACACCCAGCTAATTTTTTAATTTTTTGTAGAGATGGGATCTCCCTATGTTGCTCAGGCTGACTTCAAACTTCTGGCCTCAAGTGATCCTCCCTCCTCGGGCTCCTCAACAGATGTTTATTGAGTGTCTACGATATGCTGGGCACTTCGACGCTAAACCTGTGGCTGGGGCCCTGCCTCCTCCGAGCTGCCTCCTGATACCCACTTCCTCCTCAGTACTGTGCAGGGAGGGAGCCGCAGCTACAGAGGATTTCATGTTCCCAGCACAGCTGCTTGCTGGCTCTGCTGTTTCAGGCAAGTTAGTTAACCTGAGTCTCAACTCCTCCACTCATCCTGCACATGTTTATTGAGCGTCTGCTATGTGGAACCTACATTCTAGCCGGGGAGGCAGAGAGGGTGTAGTAACCTCAGTAAGCAGTGGCAGTGGAAATCATGTTTGGAGGTGACCCATCCTAAGGAGCTGGATAAGGGCGATTGGAAGTCGGGGCAGCTGAAGTGGGCAGGCAGCAGTATAAAACAGGGTGGACAGGGCTGGGCATGGTGGCTCACACCTATAATCCTAGCACTTTGGGAGGCCGAGGCAGGCAGATCACTTGAGCCCAGGAGTTTAAGACCAGCCTGGGCAACAGAGGGAGACCCCATCTCTACAAAAAATACAAACATTAGCTGGGTGTGGTGGCATACACCCGTAGTTCTAGCTGCTCTGGAGGGCTGAGGTGGGAGGATTGTTTGAGCCCAGGCAGGTCGAGGCTGCAGTGAGCTGTGATCGTGCCAACAAAGAATAAATAGGGTCGGCCGCATTGAGAAGGTGACATTCGGCCGCATTGAGAAGGTGACATTGAGGCTGGGTGTGGTGGCTCACGCCTGTGATGCCAGGAATTTGGGAGGCCGAGGCAGTCGGATCACCTGAGGTCAGGAATTTGAGACCGAACTGCTCCATATGGTGAAACCGCATCTCTACTAAAACAAAAATTAGCTGGACGTGTTGGTGCGCACCTGTAGTCCCAGCTACTGGGGAGGCTGAGGCAGGAGAATTGCTTGAACTCGGGAGGGGGAAGTTGCAGTGAGCTGAGATCGCGCCACTGCACTCCAGCCTGGCGACAGAGTGAGACTCCGTCCCAAAAAACAAAAATAAAACAAAACAAAAAAGACAAGGTGACATTGAGCAAAGGCTTGAAGTTGGTGAGGGAGAGAACCACGCAGATCTGTGGACTCCAGGCAGGGTGCACAGCTAGTGCAGGGTGCAGCCCAGGGCAATCTTCCCAACCACTGCTGCCGTTCATGCTGTGCACGTGGCCTTGCTCTTCATCCCTGCCTGGTTGGTCTGTGTCTGTCTGTGTGCAATTTGTCTCTAAGGCCAGGGACCATGTCCTTCCACTTGCACCCATCCACCTACAGAGTGGCCCAAGTAAAACTGGATCTCTAGGGCTGGTCGGTCCAGGCTGAGGCAGGATTTCTGGTCAACCAGACCCCAGGGGCTGGGACAGCCCCTCCAAATCTCTCCCCAGAGGTTCCCAGATGTTGGTGCTCTTGTGCCTCCCCAGGAAGGTTCTCTAGTTCTTGGTAAAGTGAAGGAAATGCAGGGTCACTGTGGTGAGTTGGACCTAGGCTGAATGGATTCCATTTAAACATTCAGAGATGGTGAACTTCCTACTTTTATGAAATGTTCTTTTCTGAACTCATGGCAACAGTCAATGGCCATTGTTTAAAAAGTCTTTACTTGGCAAAATAAAAAGTTGGCACTCGTATATTAGTGCGCCCCTCTGCCCCGCCTTTAAAAATGTTTCATGTCTGCGTGACCCCAAAGTCTGGGAATCACTGATCTAATATGTCCCTTCACTGGGCAGATATGGGATCTGGGACCCTGGGAGGTGCCTGGTTTGCTCACAGTCACAGACAAAAGTTAATTGTCCTCCTTTTGGGCAGAGGATGGGGTGAGGGAGCAGTGCCGAAGAGCTATGAGAGGGAGCCAAGAGGAAAGGAAGTCCTCGACAGAGCCAACTAGGAGGAGGGCGGCCTCCCAGGCTGCCGAAGAAGGATCCAGCGTCAGCTAAGTGGAGGCGGGGCCGTGCCCAGTGCATTGCAATGAGGCCTGGAGTGAGGCTGTGGCCAAGCCAGCAAGACCCCATAGGCCCTGGGACTGCCCTCTGCCCAGGTGCAGGAGGACACAGGTCCTGGAGTCAGATAGACCCAGGTTCGAAACCAACCTTCCTTAGCTGTCTGTGAACCTTTTTTTTTTTTTTTTTTTTTTTGAGATGGAGTCTGTGGCCCGGGCTGGAATGCAGTGGCACAATCTCGGCTCCCGGCAACCTCCACTTCCCAGGTGCAAGTGATTCTCCTGCCTCAGCCTCCCAAGTAGCTGGGATTACAGGCACACGCCCCCATGCCCGGCTAATTTTTGGACTTTTAGTAGAGACAGGGTTTCACCATGTTGGCCAGGCTGTTCTTGAGCTCCTGACCTCAAGGGATTTGCTCACCTCGGCCTCCCAAAGTGCTGGGATTACAGACGTGAGCCACTCACTGCGTTTGGCCTGTCTATGGACTTTAGATGTGGTATTTAACCCCTCTCATCCTCATGTTTTAACTTGTAAAATGGGAATAATAGTGGCTGTGAGGATTTAGTGAGATAGCACAGTGTCTGCTACAGCCAATGTTTTACCAAAAGCTACAGGACAGCCAGACCCCTCTCCCAACCCAGTGAGGGAAGCCCTGTTGCCAGGTAGGTTTCTCCTGTGGTCAAGGGGTGCTGAGTTAATGTGGAGAAATTTGAGCCATAGAAGAGGCCATATTCTGCCTCATACTCATAATCTTATCTGTTGCTCATTGAGAGCTGAACTATGAGCCCAGTGCCCAAGGAGTGGGTACTATTGAACCTATTTTAGAGCTAGTAAAAAGGGAGACTGAGATCCAAACCCAGATTGCTTTATAGTCAGTTAGTTCTTGTCATCCTCTATTCTGCTTGAAGCCTCTTAGGAGTTTGCAACAATAGACTAGGAAGGTAGTGAGTTCTCTGTCCTAAGAGATATGTAAGAACAGACTTGGCCATCATGTATTAGGAAGTAGGTCAAGTGATTAATGTGGGTGACATTGCACATCATTTTAAACACCAGCTTTCTGTAATTTCAGGATAAGGACCTTGTCATATTCACCATGGTCTCCTCTGCTCCCTTGATGCTAGCACAGTGAGTGCTGTGTGCACTGTGTCCCCCCAGAATGTTGAATGAGTGAATGAATGAATGAATGAATGAATGAAGGAGCAATGTCCATGTCCAGTGAGCTCAGTAATGAAGAATGGAAGGTCCACTGGCCGGGCTCAGTGGCTCACACCTGTAATCCCAGCACTTTGGGAGGTCGAGGTGGGCGGATCACATGAGGCCAGGAGTTCAAGACCAGCCTGGCCAACATGGTAAAATCCCGTCTCTACTAAAAATACAAAAATTAGCCGAGCATGGTGGCACACTCCTGTAGTCCCAGCTACTTGGGAGGCTGAGGCACAAGAATCATTTGAACCTGAGAGGCAGAGGTTGCAGTGAGCCAACATTGCGCCACTGGACTCCAGCCTGGGTGACAAGAGCGAGACTCCGTCTCAAAAAAACAAAAACAAAAACAAAAAAAGAATGGAAGCTCCAAAGAAGAGGGGTTATTTGCAGAGTTCGAGTGGTAGGAGGGGAACAGGCCCTGTGCTTCCCCATCTGAATACAGGTTCCAGGGCTGCTGAAAGATTAGCCGCAAGATACATAAGTTACCTGGCACTGTATCTGGCAGGTGTTCCCTCATTGGTCGCTTTTTGCTGTAAGGTCAGAGACCAGGCCAGATGAACACCTGCAATCTGCCCACCTTTAAAGAATGTAGGGGCTAAGGATGCAGGCTCCAAATGAGATGGAGCCGAGTTGAAGCTCTGGCTTATGAGCCTCAGTTTCCTCACCTGCAAAATGGGTATAATAATAGTAGCTACTGGCCGGGCGCCGTGGCTCACACCTGTAATCCCAGCACTTTGGGAGGCCGAGGCGGGCAGATCACTTGAGTCCAGGAGTTTGGGACCAGCCTGGGCAACAGAGTGAAACCCTGTCTCTACAAAAAATACAAAAATAAGCCAGCCGTGGTGTGGCGCCCATCTGTAGTCCCAGCTACTCAGGAGGCTGAGGTGGGAGGATCACTTGAGATCGGGAGGCGGAGGTTACAGTGAGCTGAGATTGCATCACTGCATTCCAGCCTGGATGACAGAGCAAGACCCTGTTTCAAAATAATAATAACAATAGCTCCCTCTTGGGACTCCTAGGAGATGTGAAGAGATCACATAGGTAAGGGCTTCACCCTGGAGGCCATTGTTAGTGTCCAATCCTCCCCACCCTGCCCATCTGGTCCTGAAAGGACTCATTTGAGTCTCTCCAAGCATCTGAAGGGAAGGCAGGCCAGAGATTAAAACCCCCATTTTACAGGTGAGGAAACAGGTGAGAGGGTAAGTGTACAGTCATTTTCCCGTTAGAGCAGAGACGACGAATTCACACTCTCACTGGATTTCTTTTTTCTTTTCTTTTTTTTTTTTTTTTAAGATGGAGTCTCTCTCTGTCTCCCAGGCTGGAGTACAGTGGCATGATCTCAGCTCACTGCAACCTCCACCTCCCAGGTTTAAGCTATTCTCCTGCCTCAGCCTCCCAAGTAGCTGGGATCACAGGTGCCCACCTCTATGCCCAACTAATTTTTGTATTTTTATAGAGACGGGGTTTCACTATGTTGGCCAGGCTGGTCTCGAGCCCCTGACCTCAGGTGATCGGCCCACCTTGGCCTCCCAAAATGCTGGGATTACAGGCGTGAACCGCCGCACCTGGCCTCACTGGATTTCTATACAAACTCAAGAAGCAGATCATGATTCTCATTTGGTAGATAAGGCAATAGAAGTGTGGGGAGGGCCGGGCGCGGTGGCTCACACCTGTAATCCCAGCACTTTGGGAGTCTGAGGCGGAGGGGTGGGAGCGGGGGGATCAACTGAGGTCAGGAGTTCGAGACCAGCCTGGCCAACATGGTGAAACCCCGTCTCTACTAAAAATACAAAAATTAGCTGGGCATGGTGGCAGGCGCCTGTAATCCCAGCTACTGGGGAGGCTGAGGCAGGAGAATCGCTTGAACCCAGGAGGTGGAGGTTGCAGTGAGCTGAGATCGCGCCATTGCACACCAGCCTGGGGGACAAGAGCAAGACTTCTTAAAAAAAAAAAAAAAAAAGTGCACGGAGGAATGAATGAGCTCAGGATCACATTCCTAAGAAGTTAATGATGGAACCAGGGGCTTGTCTTTGGAGCTCACAGCTTCTCGGATCTGAAGCTGGGGTGTCTTGGGGGAGGGGCACGGGTCCCAGCATTGGTAATGTAGCTGCTGGCTGGAGGGCTTAGTCACCCGTAGTGAACCCTCTGGGGCCTCCCCAAGCTGCTGGGCAAACTTCCTACCCACAGGGTGGCCAGTGCAGATCTGCCTCCAAGGGGCGACAGGAAGCCGGGGTGAACAAGGGACAAACTGGGTCTGGTCGCACCTGGTTACCCGATAGGAGGGAAGGCCCCCGGACAGTGGGCCCATGTGTGGGTGACTTCTGTCCCCAGTCCCTTGCTCAGCACTGTCCTCTCACCTCTGTAGGAGTTTCTGTGTGACCAGAAGTACAGTGATGAAGAGAACCTTCCAGAAAAGCTCACAGCCTTCAAAGGTAAGCTGGGGCGGGCTGCCCTGCATTTATTCCTGGGGGAGGTGGGCTGGCCCCTCATCCTTGCACACAGGACCCCTCAGCCCCACAGGACTAGGCTGTGGCCCTGTTTTGTCCAGAATGCCCTTCTTCCTGGAGAAGGCTTGGAGACAGGGACCCCCTGAGAGGTGGGGAGAGGCCCCTCCACCTGCCTCCCTGCCCCTGCGGGCCCCGTCACCCCTCGCCTGCAGCCCGGTCCTGGCCCTGCCCCTCTCTCTCCCCTCACTGCCCACGGGGCTCAGGCTGGTTCCCGTCCGCCGCTGCCCAGGCCCCGTCACTCCCGGGCCCCGCACACAATCAGCTCTTTGTGAGCAAGCCTTGCCTCTCCCCCTCCCCAGCAGAGCGTCTCAGGAGCCCCTGCGGAGAATGGACGTTTGTGTCACCGCAGTGGGGCAGGGGGGCAGAGTTTCTGCCCATTGAAACCCGGCAGCACGGGATGAAAAGAAAGCAGGGCCTGGGAGCCGGCGCGGGGAGAGGGGCAGCATAAAGGTCCCTCTGTTTGGGGCCCTGGCGCTTGGTTCCCAGCCAGCACCTCGAAAGGAGAGGAGCCGGGCACATAGGGGGCAGCGCAGACCCACCTTCCCTGCCAGGGGAGGCACTTAGGCGCAGGAGCCCTGGGCTGTCATGGAAAATATCCTGGAGGTTGCATTCCCCTCCAAAGTGTTTGCAGTGTGAGCATCCTCCCGGCTCCAGGGCAAAGAACTTGGCCAAGTGTTCCTCAAATCACTTCCAGTTGTCCTTAGGCTGGACATCTAGGGCTAATCATATTAATAACAGCTGGCATTTGTTGGACGTCGGCCTGTGTGAAGCACTTCTCGTGCGGCGTGGCGAGCTCCCCACATCACCCCAATCGGCCTGGAGGAAGATGGCGCACTTGTTAATGTGCAGATGGAGAAACTCGGGCTTGGAGGGCGGGGTTGTTGGCATGGGGACACATAGCTCGCCTAGGGCAGAGTTGGGACTTGAACTCATGTCGGTCTGGCTCCAAAGCCCCTGCTCTCAACTGTTACGCTATGATGCTTTTTACATGAAGAAGAGAGAAGGGAAATAGTAAAAGACACTCCTGACCCCACCCCATCCCAGCCACCTGTAGGAGAGCTGTGAAAAAGAGAGCAGTCTATTCCCTTCTGTCTGCATACCAGCGTGGCCACTCCCAGGGGTGGCTCTGGGAGGAGGCACGGGTCTCAGGGCTCTGGCACCCTTTCTACTTGTCTTCACTGGAATGTTGGGCCAGACAGGAAGTTACATCATTCACTCATTTGTTCTCCAAATGCGCACCTGTACATGTGCCAGGACCATTCCAGGCCAGGGGCACCATGGTGAACGTAAAAGGCAGCTCCCACCCGGGAGCCTGTGTTCTCGCTCGGGGGGCGGTGTGAGAGGTGGTGGGAGACTAAACAGAGAGCCGGGAAATACAAGGTTAGCAGACTGTGGTAGGTGCTTCAGTGAGAAATGAGGGAGGGAGGACAGGAGTGCTCAGCTGTGGGGAGGGGGTGCAATTTTGAAAGGGTGGGGAGGCCAGGCACGGTGGCTCACACCTGTAATCCCAGCACTTTGGGAGGCCGAGGTGGGTGGATCACCTGAGGTCGGGAGTCCAAGACCAGCCCGGCCAACATGGCGAAACCCCATCTCTATTAAAAATACAAAAATTAGCTGTATGTGGTGGTGGGTGCCTGTAATGCCAGCTACTCGGGAGGCTGAGACAGGAGGATTGCTTGAACCCAGGAGGCAGAGGTTGCAGTGAGCTGAGATCAAGCCACTGCACTCAAGCCTTGGTGACAGAATGAGACTCCATCTCAAAAAAAAAAAAAAAAAAAAAAAGCATAATGGTTAAGAACGGGGGCTTTGGAGCCAGACTAACATGGGTTCAAGTCCCAACTCTGCCCTAGGTGAGCTGTGTATCCCCCCTGAGATCACGCCACTACACTTCAGCTTGTGTGACAAAGTGAGATGGAGCAAGACTCCTTCTAAAAAAAAGAAGAAAAAGAAAGGGTGGGGAGCCCTGAAGCCATGAGGAAGGGTGCTGAGAATACTTGGGAGAACATTCCAGGCAGAGGGGCAGCGAGCTGGAGCAGGCAGGGAGTGGGCGGGGGCAGCACAGCCTGCAGGAGGGCCTCGGCTTTCTCTGCTGGCTGCTTGTGGGGCAGGATGGACCATGAGGGCCCCACTCTGCCCGGGCAGGGGGTGACCTGCAGAGGCCCCACGGTCCGTTTGACACACTGCTCCCATCTGAACATACCAAGCCCACTGCTCCGACATCCTCCCTCACTGCTAGAAGTTTTCCTGGACTCCTTGATCAGGGAAGTATAACTCAGTCTGTGTGTGAGGTTTGGGGTGATGGTCTGTGTACCCCGGGAAACTGTATGTCCACTTTGTGGGCTAGGGCAGGCCTTTTTCCTGGTTTCAGAATCACAGGTCCCCTGAATCAGTGGTTCCCACACCCGGTTGCCCATCAGAACTGCCTGGGACGCTAAAAAGCACACCCATGCCTGCCCCCACCCTGTCCTTCCACACCCATGAGCCAGAATCCTGGGGCAGGGAATCAGAGCTAGTCACTTTGCTACTAACTCAGATGCAGCTGGTCTGTGCTGCTGGGGACCCGGGAGAAAGCAGCTGCCCTCCTGGTAAGAGGGTCAGAGTGGCCCCCAGCCATCTTTCCCTCGTGGCACCTCTAGGAGAGTAGTCCAGGCAGGATGAGCTCTTTCCCCAGAGGCCATGGCTCAGCGGATGGGGGACTCAGGTCAAGACCCTTGGTAGGGTGCGGGAGGTGGTTCAGACTCCTGAGGACACGGTCATTTGCCCACAAGGGAGCCACTGGGTCCCCACAGGGAGACGCTGCTTCCAAACTAATGCTAGTTTTTGCTCTGTGATTTCCAGAGAAGTACATGGAGTTTGACCTGAACAATGAAGGCGAGATTGGTGAGTGAAGCCTTGAGTGTGTTTAGGGAGGAGGGTGTTAAGTGGGTAGAGGGCTTGAGGGACCCTCTGTGCGGGTGAGGGGCATGGGGCAGTCCGGAAGGCTGGTGAATATGTTGCGCCGAGCCAGCCCCAGCCCCTTGCCTTCTGCCCTGGCACCACTGCCCTCAGACTCCTCCAGACCCTTTGATCCCCTACTGCTTCCCTCCCCACCCACACCTCAGCCTCCCACCCCAGGTGCTACGGGGACTCAGGACAGAGGGTGCCACACCTGCCCAGGGCTGGAGACACTCAGGGTGGACAGGCCCTGGGCCTCCTGGCTGGCATTTCAGTGGCCCTGAAGTCTGTCTTTCCATTGTATGTCATTCGGCAGTTGACAAGTTGCTTTTATATACGTTGATTCTCTCCTTATTGCATCCTGCTGTGCAGCTACTGGCACTTACGTTCTGGTAGGAGACCATACCTGGACCTCACCCGCAAAGAAGTGGTTAAGGCTGGTTTAATTATCCCCATTTTACAGATGAGGAAAGCAAGACTCAGAAAGGTGAAATGGGCCGGGCGCCATGGCTCAAGCCTGTAATCCCAGCACTTTGGGAGGCCAAGGCGTGGGGATCACCTGAGGTCAGGAGTTCAAGACCAGCCTGGCCAACATGACGAAATCCCATCTCTACTAAAAATACAAAAATTAGCTGGGTGTGGTGGCGGGTGCCTGTAATCCCAGCTACTCGGGAGGCTGAGGCAGGAGAACTGCTTGAACCCAGGAGGCGGAGGTTGCAGTGAGCCAAGATTGTGCCACTGCACTCCAGCCTGGGTGACAGAGCGAGATTCTGTCTCAAAAAAAAAAAAAAAAAAAAAAAAAGCAAAAAGAAAGGTGAAATGACTTGCTTACATGGAACACTGGCAGTGAACCAGGGCCCAGCCGTTGGTTTCTGAACAGTTTCCCCCTTTTCCATTTCATCCTGCGTCTCAGATTGATGCTGCTACCGGCATTTCTACTCCTCTTCCTCTGTCCTCTCTCTTTTCTTCTCCCTTTAGAATATTTTGATCATTTTTTTTTTTCTTTAGAAAGAAAATTTGGCCAGGCACAGTGTCTCACGCCTGTAATCCCAGCACTTTGGGAGGCCAAGGCGGGCGGATCACATGAGATCAGGAGTTCGAGACCAGCCTGGGCAACATGGTGAAACCCCATCTTTACTAAAAATGCAAAAATTAGCCGGGCATGGTGGCAGATGCCTGTAATCCCAGCTACTCGGGAGGCTGAGGCAGGAGAATTGCTTTAACCCAGGAGGTGGAGGTTGCAGTGAGCCCAGATTGCACCATTGCACTCCAGCCTAGGGGACAAGAGCAAGACTTCGTCTCAAAAAAAAAAAAAAAAAATTTGGCTTATCAAATAAACACATTTTCATCATTAAAAAAATTGGGGAAACACAGCAAGACAAAAAGACAAAAATGCATCACCCACAACCCCACCTCCCAGAAGTAACTGCTACAAACATTTCCGTTTCTAGCCTTCCACTCTTTATTCTAATCACAAAAGCTGTTTTATATCATTTTTGAGCCTCCTTGAAAAAAATAACTTTCTATTGGTCAGCCCGGCCAGAAAAAATAAGTGAAATAAAACAATGGTGAGTATTTTGATTTATTATTGATTTTTCTTTCTTTTTTTGAGACATAGTCTCATTCTGTTGCCCAGGCTGGAGTGCAGTGGCACAATCTTGGCTCACTGCATCCTCAGCCTCCCAGGTTCAAGCGGTTCTCCTGCCTCAGCCTCCCAAGTAGCTGAGATTACAGGCACGCACCACCACGCCCGGCTAATTTTCGTATTTTTAGTAGAGACGAGGTTTCACCATGTTGGCCAGGCTGGACTCAAACTCCTGGCCTCAAGTGATCCGCCTGCCTCGTCGTCCCAAAGTGCTGGGATTACAGGCATGAGCCATGGCGCCAGCTGATTTTTCTTTTGAAATATAGTTAATGGCTGCATTGTAGGAATGGATTCTAATTTGTTTAGCCGATGCCTTTGTGTGGACCATTTGGATGCCTTCCAATTTTAACTATTATTGATAATCCTGTAAAGAACCTCTTTGTACATGAGTGCTTGTTCACCTCCCTGGTTATTTCTGTAGAGGAAATCTCAGGAAGGGGACACTGGGTCAAAGGCTTTTGAAGCATCTTGCCGAACTGCCCGAGAAAGGTCCTGCCAACTTCAGAGTCTGGCAGTGCGTGTGCAGCCCTTTCCCCCTTTCCTGGAGAAGGCTGCCCAGCTCTCTCTGAATGCGTGGACATCCTGGCACCTTTGGGCCTGGCCCCAGTCCCGCCCGCCTTGCCAGGAGGAGCATTGGCTGCGCCACGGCCCATGGCCCCTACCCCAGCCCTCTCCTGCCATCCTTAGATGACCCATTGTTCACTGGAGAACAATCCAAAGGAAATTGCCTCAGATCTTGGTGGGAGCTGGGCGGTCAGAGACAGCACCGCCTCGGGCTGGAGTGACATTCTGGGGCCTCCCTTGTTTTTCTTGAATTTTGTTCTTTTGTTGGTTTTCCTGCTCTGTGGGATATTTTTGGCATCCTCTCCCTTCCAGCCGGGGCAGAGCCCTAGGACAGCAGGACAGGAGTGGCACGTGGGGAGAAGCCACCTGCCACTCGGCACCCAGCAGAGTTACTTTCAATGCCTGACTTCCTGACCCTGCCACACTGGGCATAACTCCCCAGGCAGCAGGAGAGTGGGCACCCAGCCCACCCTAACTGCAGGAAATAGCAGAGCCCACAGTCATGGTGTGAAGAAAGTGCTCTGGGCCGGTGCTTCCTGCACAGAGATCCCTGAATGATCCCATCCACCCGTTCCACCGTTGGTGGGAGCAGGGGTTCAGAGAGGTTAAGTAGTGTGCCCCAGATCCCAGAGCCAGGAATAGCAGAGCTCGATTCCAATGCAAGCCCGTCTGACTCTAGAAGCCCAGGTCACTAACCACTAGCCTATACGGCCTCCAAAGAGAGCAGGGAGGGCGTGATGGGCTCCTCCTCCCTAGAGAAGGAGTGCAGACGCCAAGTTTCTAGGCGTGGGGTGCCTGAGTGGAGCTTTCCCAGCTTCCCTGCTAAGCCCCAGCAGCCCATCTCCACTTAACAGATCTGCTTTTCCCCCGGCAGACCTGATGTCTTTAAAGAGGATGATGGAGAAGCTTGGTGTCCCCAAGACCCACCTGGAGATGAAGAAGATGATCTCAGAGGTGACAGGAGGGGTCAGTGACACTATATCCTACCGAGACTTTGTGAACATGATGCTGGGGAAACGGTCGGCTGTCCTCAAGTTGTGAGTACCTCCTTCCTCCCTTGGGATCTCTGAAGGCAAAATCATTCTGTGCAGAGAGGCCCCTGGCTCTGGGCACCCCAGCCATTCCCCACCTAGTAGGTAACTCATTGTGCGACCTGCTGGACAAGGTACTTACTTCTCCTGATCCTGATTTCCTTATCTGTCAATTGTTTGTTTGTTTTTTTTTCTTTTGAGATGGAGTCTTACTCTATTGCCCAGGCTGGAGTGCAGTGGTGTGATCTTGGCTCACTGCAACCTCCGCCTCCTGGGTTCAAGTGATTCTTCTGCCTCAGCCTCCCTAGTAGCTGAGATTACAGGCATGCACCACTATGCTTGGCTAATTTTTGTATTTTTAGAAGAGACGGGGTTTTGCCATGTTGGCCAGGCTAGTCTCAAACTCCTGACCTCAGGTAATCTGCCCTCCTCAGCCTCCCAAAATGTTAGGATTATAGGCGTGAGCCACCACACCCGGCCCAAATGGTCATATTAATATGTACCCTGTAGGGGAAATTAGCTTGTAGCAGAGTCAGGCAGAATCAGTACTCAGTAAGTGGCAACTGTGATGATGATGATGGTGGTGATGGTGATAATGGTGATAAATCTGTTGAAACTTTCCGAGCCTTAGTTTTCCTTTTTTTTTTTTTTCTTTTTGAGATCTCGCTCTGTCACCCAGGCTGGAGTGCAGTGACATGATCTCAGCTCACTGCAACCTCCGCCTCCTGAGCTCAAGTGATTCTCCTGCCTCAGCCTCCCGAGTAGCCAGGATTACAGGTGTGCGCCACCACACCCAACTAATTTTTGTATTTTTAGTAGAAATGGGGTTTCGCCATGTTGGCCAGGTTGGTCTCAAACTCCTGACTTCCAAGAGATCAGACCCCCTCGGCCTCCCAAAGTGCTAGGATTACAGGCGTGAGCCACCATGCCTGGCAGTTTCCCCATTTGTAAAGCACCTCCACTACCCCCACAGGCTTGTAAGCATAAAATAGAGTCAAAAATTGGCCCCAAAGGGAGGCAGGGTTTGCATCTTGATGCTATTACTTGCTACCAAAATGACCCTGGGCAAGTTACCTTAGGTCTGCGAGTCTCAGTTTCTTCATCTATAAAATAGGGGTGATAATCATGTCTTCCGTGATGTCCTGAGGGCTAGTGAAATGACACTTATGAAGATTTCAGCCTTGTGTGGCTGATGGCAAACACCTACTACGTGGTAGCACATTGTGGGTGCTGCCCCATTGAAGAGCGTTACAGCATTGCCCCAGGGCAGTCTCATTGTCATTTGTCACAGCTGAAAATAACACTCTGCCAGGTGCCCTGGCTCACGCCTTTAATCCCAGCGCTTCGGGAGGCTGAGGCCGGTGGATCACCTGAGGTCAGGAGTTCGAGACTAGCCTGGTCAACATGGTGAAACCCCGTTTCTACTAAAAATACAAAAATTAGCTGGGTGTTGTGGCTCACGCCTGTAATCCTGGCTACTCGGGAGGCTGAGGCAGGAGAATCACTTGAGCCCAGGAGGCGGAGGTTGCAGTGAGCAGAGATCGTGACATTGCCCTCCAGCCTGGGCGGCAAGAACAAAACTCTGTCTCAAAAGAAAAAAAAAAAAAAAAAGAAAACAGAAAATAACACTTACTTGGCTTTTATGAAATAAGATTCACTTTTTTAAAGTACGAATGTAAAATATACCTGTCTCATTTTACAAAGGAGCTTGTTGAGGCCCAAGGAGACTGAGTACCTGGCCCATGAGCCCACGGTCCAATCTGGCCAGATCTTCTAGCACCCCACTTCCAGGGAGAAACGCCAAGGATCAGAGAGGTCAAGTGTCTTGCTTGAGCCACCCGGCTGGGAAGTAGCAGGGCTGGCATTTGAATCTAGGCAGTTGCCCTAGAGGTTATACGCTGAGCCCCTACCCTCTACTCCCCAGACACCACTCTCAGAGCAGTGGGCAGGTTTTTGAAGATCTTTGCGCAGAGGCGTGGCCCAGCCTGGCTCAGCCTCCTCCAGGCAGTGTGGTTAAGGGAAGGGTATGGCCTGGAAGTCAGAAGCCTGGAGTCGTACCCAGCCTCTGCCCTGGACCGCCTGTGTGGTTCTGAGGAGTCATATCACCACTTTGCGCCTCCATTTTCTCCTCTGTAAAATGGGACTAGCAGCCCCTTCCTTGGAGCTGCTGTCTTGGGCTTCTGCAAGGATCCCACTGGAGAACAGATTTAAATTCTGTTGAGGACCCTGCTGACATGAGGCTGGGATGATCTTTCCCTGGATGAGGGAAGGATCCTAATCTTGTTTTTCTTTCTTTTTTTCTTTTCTCCATCTCCAAACCAGAGTCATGATGTTTGAAGGAAAAGCCAACGAGAGCAGCCCCAAGCCAGTTGGCCCCCCTCCAGAGAGAGACATTGCTAGCCTGCCCTGAGGACCCCGCCTGGACTCCCCAGCCTTCCCACCCCATACCTCCCTCCCGATCTTGCTGCCCTTCTTGACACACTGTGATCTCTCTCTCTCTCATTTGTTTGGTCATTGAGGGTTTGTTTGTGTTTTCATCAATGTCTTTGTAAAGCACAAATTATCTGCCTTAAAGGGGCTCTGGGTCGGGGAATCCTGAGCCTTGGGTCCCCTCCCTCTCTTCTTCCCTCCTTCCCCGCTCCCTGTGCAGAAGGGCTGACATCAAACCAAAAACTAGAGGGGGCAGGGCCAGGGCAGGGAGGCTTCCAGCCTGTGTTCCCCTCACTTGGAGGAACCAGCACTCTCCATCCTTTCAGAAAGTCTCCAAGCCAAGTTCAGGCTCACTGACCTGGCTCTGACGAGGACCCCAGGCCACTCTGAGAAGACCTTGGAGTAGGGACAAGGCTGCAGGGCCTCTTTCGGGTTTCCTTGGACAGTGCCATGGCTCCAGTGCTCTGGTGTCACCCAGGACACAGCCACTCGGGGCCCCGCTGCCCCAGCTGATCCCCACTCATTCCACACCTCTTCTCATCCTCAGTGATGTGAAGGTGGGAAGGAAAGGAGCTTGGCATTGGGAGCCCTTCAAGAAGGTACCAGAAGGAACCCTCCAGTCCTGCTCTCTGGCCACACCTGTGCAGGCAGCTGAGAGGCAGCGTGCAGCCCTACTGTCCCTTACTGGGGCAGCAGAGGGCTTCGGAGGCAGAAGTGAGGCCTGGGGTTTTGGGGGAAAGGTCAGCTCAGTGCTGTTCCACCTTTTAGGGAGGTTACTGAGGGGACCAGGATGGGAGAATGAGGAGTAAAATGCTCACGGCAAAGTCAGCAGCACTGGTAAGCCAAGACTGAGAAATACAAGGTTGCTTGTCTGACCCCAATCTGCTTGAAACCTGACTCTGCTTCTCTCATTTGTCTTCCTACCCTACTCACATAATTCACTCATTGACTCACTCATTCACCAGATATTTATTGACCTGCTATTATAAGCTTTACATCCTCCCATGTTGTCCTGGCATGTGCAGTATACACGGTCTAACTCATCTCTCCCCAGATCTCTCAGAACCTTGAGCTTGGGAATTGAACTGGGGTCACCTGTGTCCTTTCTTATGGACTCGCAGGATTTTAGAACCCTAATGCACCCTGGAGGGTAGCTGGGCCAGACTTCTCATTTCACAGGTGAGGAGACTGGTGCCCCACAGGGATTAAGTGCCTTGCCCAAGGTCAGGCTTATCTCCAGAGGGAGGTGCCCTGGACTGGGGCCCAGATGTTCAGGGACCCTGCCTACACCTCATTTCCAGTGTGGGCTGCCTTAGTTAGTTATGAGAACAGGGAAGGGCTGGGAAGAGACAGCCTCCAAGGTCAACACTTGGAGAGGGTTTCACTTGCTCTGAAGACCCTGGTCCAGGATTCGCCCTCTCCCATGCCTTCAAGTCAGCATCAGGCTTAGGGCAAAGACCAGGCCTCTGAAGCTGCCTCTTGTAATTCATGCAGGAAGATGTCAAAGTCAGCCCCATCTTGGCTGATCAGGGTGTTCAGCCTTAACCCCACCTGTGTTCTGAAGTCTCTTACCCTACCTGCTCAGGACTGAGACAGTTATTCACTGAACATATTTATTAAGCACTTGCTGTAGGCCAACAGTTAAGAATCCAATAATGAAATGGACAGATTCATGGAACTTAGAGTCCAATAGGAAAGTGAGACCCAGACAATGACAATGAGATAAATGTTAGGAAGGGGGAGGTATGGGGTGACTTCCCTGCAGTCCTGGGGGCCTAGATGGGCCCAAGACTGGGTGAGAGTCTTGGCAGAGCCTTTGCAACACCTTAAGTGGACAGGACTGGGAGGTCTTGGTGGTTGGAGCCAACGTGGGTTCCCTGCGGCTCCTTAGTCACCTCTGATAGCAGATTGAGGGAGGAAAACAGGTAAGGCATGAGGAAATGGCCAGGTTGGGTTAACCCACTGGTTTCAACCAGTTCAGGAATGAGGTTATTTGGCCATGACTGGCTGATCTTGAGCTCAAGGATCTGCTTCAAATGCACACAGGCCTAGTTGAAGTTTAAACCCCAGCAAAACATTCCTCCCTGTAAATGGAAAATCCTACTTCTACCCCCACCCTGCCCTGTTTTTTGTTTTTTTTTTCCCCAAGATCATTAGATGTCCTCACCCCTCCTCACTGCCTCTCCTCTCTGGGACAGGCTGGGACCTTTGAGGAAGATAAAGCCTTCCTTCACTACCCATCATATTCAGTGTCCCTGTTCCTCACTCAGAGAGGAAGGCAGAACCAGTCAGGCTTATTTCAGTAAGTTCCACAGTTCTACAAGACTGCAGGAATTCTCCTTAAGGGAGGAGAGCAAGCAGGTGTGGCCCCAGCTTCTGGAAATGGCAGAAGAGAGGGTTTTCTCATTGAATGGGGGTGGGGGCTCGTGTGTCCTGGGAAACCCCATCAGTCCCTTCATTTCTTGAGACTCAACTCCTGGGAGGAGAGGGTCTCAAGAGTTGTCCCTGGAAGGAGGGCGGGGGCAGTCTGCATCTATTTCAGGTTGTGGCTCTTGGTTCTAGGACTCTTACTTCTCTGGCTAAGGGCTCAGCTTCTTGGGACTTCAACCATCTTCTTTCTGAAAGACCAAATCTAATGTAACCAGTAACGTGAGGACTGCCAAGTATGGCTTTGTCCCTATGACTCAGAGGAGGGTTTGTCGGGCAAATTCAGGTGGATGAAGTATGTGTGTGCGTGTGCATGGGAGTGTGCGTGGACTGGGATATCATCTCTACAGCCTGCAAATAAACCAGACAAACTTACCAACGTCTTGATTGGTGTATTTTGGGGCTGGTTCTGGGCTCAGCAAATTGCGAACTAGCTAATATAGTAAGAGATTAAATGAGCATGTCCTGTGCCTTTTGTCTGAGACAGCTGAAATTCACTTATCCTAACCACCTCCCTGCAAGAGACAGGTTCTATTATGTCATCCTTGTTTCACAACTGAAAAGTAGGCTTGAATAAGCAATGTGCTGCAAGCCAAACAGTAAATGGCACAATCCGACCCCCCTGGAGCCAACCCATGAGGTCCAAGTTAAGAACCTCTGTCGGCCGGGCGCGGTGGCTCACGCCTGTAATCCCAGCACTTTGGGAGGCTGAGGTGGGCGGATCACGAGGTCAGGAGATGGAGACCATCCTGGCTAACACGGTGAAACCCCGTCTCTACTAAAAATACAAAAAATTAGCCGGGCGTGGTGGCGGCCGCCTGTAGTCCCAGCTACTTGGGAAGCTGAGGCAGGAGAATGCTGTGAACCCGGGAGGCAGAGCTTGCAGTGAGCCGAGATCGCGCCACTGCACTCCAGCATGAGTGACAGAGTGAGACTCCGTCTCAAAAAAAAAAAAGAACCTCTGTCCTAGAGCATTTATAATTCACTACAGAAATGTATTCTATGAAGGACTTTAATACCATCAGTCAGCCTTATCCAGACGATCTCAATTCTAATCCTGTCACCACCACTTTCTGACTGAGGGCTATTGGAGAATTTTCTCAACTTCTCTGTGCCTCCCTTACCTCATCAATTATTATTATGTATGTGTATGTGTGTGTGTGTATATATATATATATGTGTGTGTGTGTATATATATATGTGTGTGTGTGTGTGTATATATATATATATATATATATTTTTTTTTTTTTTTTTTTTTTTTTCTGAGACAGAGTCTCACTCTGTCACCCAGGCTGGAGTGCAGTGGCACAATCTTAGCTCACTGCAACCTCCACCTTTTGTGTTCATGCGATTCTCCTGCCTCAGCCTCCTGTATAGCTGGGAACACAGGCGTCCGCCACCACACCCGGCTAATTGTTGTATTTTTAGCAGAGACGGGGTTTCACCATGTTGGCCAGGCTGGTCTCGAGCTCCTGACCTCAGGTGTTCCACCCACCTCGGCCTCCCAAAGTACTGTGGTTACAGGCGTGAGCCACTGCTCCCAGCCTATTTTTATTTACTTTTTTTTTTTTTTTTTTTTTGAGACGGAGTCTCGCTCTTTCGCCCAGGCCAGACTGCAGTGGCGCTGTCTCTGCTCACTGCAACCTCCGCCTCCCGGGTTCACGCCATTCTCCTGCCTCAGCCTCCCGAGTAGCTGGGACTACAGGTGCCCGCCACCGCGCCCGGCTAATTTTTTGTATTTTTAGTAGAGTCGGGGTTTCACCGTGTTAGCCAGGATGGTCTCCATCTCCTGACCTCGTGATCCGCCCGCCTCGGCCTCGCAAAGTGCTGGGATTACAGGCGTGAGCCACCGCGCCCGGCCTTTTATTTACTTTTTGAGACAGGGCCTGGCTCTGTCACCCAGGCTGGAGTGCAATGGTGCAATCACAGCTCCCTGTAGCCTCAACCTCCTGGGCTCAGGCAATTCTCCCACCTCAGCCTCCCGAGTAGCTGAGACTACATACGCATGCCATCACTGCTGGCTAATTTTTGTGGTTTTGTTTTGTTTTTTATAGAGACGGGGTCTCGCCATGTTGCCGAGGCTGGTCTCAAACTCCTGGTCTCAAGCAATCCTCCTGTCTCCGCCTCCCAAGTGCTGGGATTATAGGCATGAGCCACCCGCGTCTCATCAATTAAATAAATAACCCCTAGGACGACTAAGATGTCTTCAAGATTACATGAGATCCCACATCTGAAGGTTTTTGCAAAGGACTTGGCACAAACTCGTGCGACTAGACATGGATATGGCTCTTGCTCTGGAAAGGATCACCTTGATAGGAGCAAACAAAGCTGGTCTTCGGTGCCCTTTAATCTCCCCTCCCAGCCTTCCACCTTCCACACTTTAAGAGTCGTCCCTGCCGACCCCCCGACCCCGTTTTTCTGAACCTCCCTTCCTCCCCTTGCATAGTCCAAAGCCTCTCTCTAAAGCAGCCCCCCGAAAACATCTGTCAAGTTCCAAACTTATCTGAATCGGAAGCTACCAATAGCCAACCTACATCTAAGGGGAACTGTAAGATTTCAGAAGAACAAGAAGCATAGGTCGCTTAGGCGTGGGCCACCCAAGAAGAGAGACTTAACACTAGGTAAGCCCGCGCTGGCTGCGAAGGCGGGAGCGGCACCAGGACCATCCAGGGCGCAGGCGCAGGGACCTCACGGCCACGCCACTACTCAGCCCGAGCTGGCCAATGGGGAGCGGCGGCCGGAAGAACGCGCGGCTTCGCTAGGTTCCGCGGCTTCCTCTGACCAAGCTTGACGTCACCAAAGCGCGCCGGAAATGCGAGGTCAACTGCGCGCCGCTGGCGCTGAGGGGAGGAAGTTTGCTGTCGAGCGGCCTGGGTTCCGTGGGCAAGGCCGTGGGAGGCAGCGTTGGCTGCTTCGACACACTGAGGGCGGCGCGATGGGAGACGAGATGGATGCCATGATTCCCGAGCGGGAGATGAAGGTCAGAGACTAACCGGGGCCTCCCTCCCTTCTTTAGTCCTGGCGTTGCCTTGGAGCCCAGCTGAAAGGCGAAGCGCGGTGCTGGCTGTCCCGCCTCCTGCTTGAACAGTTTACCGCGTTCACAGCTCTCACCAGCGCGTCTGCCGCGCCGCTGGCGTGATAGCCCCACCGAATGCAGTTTCCCAGTCCCATCCTGGTCTCGTGCACGGCTGTTGAGTTACCCTAGCTACTTCCTGGGGCGGTCACAATAGTGGCAATAACTGCTGTTTATTGAGTGTTGACTGTGTGCCAGGCACTGTGGTAGTCATCGCGGCAGCCCTACGAAGTAGTCGTTAACGTAGAGGAGTAAGTTGAGGCTCGGAAAGTAATTTCCCTAAAGTCACATTTGACGCGGGGCTGAAAGCCAGCATCATTTAAGACCTTTGCTCTCCCAGTACTTCTGTAAGGTGATACGGGCTTGCCTAACGTAGAGTCAGGGAAGGTCATCCATCCTGCAGAACCTTTAGTTGATTGGACTAGGAAGACTATTTTGACCTCGGTATATCAGCCTAAAGTCAGGAACCTAAAGGGAGGGCCAAGTGGTCCCAGTGATAGCAACGTGGGAGTCCCCCAGGGATAACTTCAGGATGGTGTGTTTAATAGTTCTTATATGGGTTCTGACAGAATGAGGGTACAACAGACGGGCTACATCTGTTTTAAATAGTGAAAAGAAGTAAGTTGCAGGAAGATTTTAGGCATCTGTGTGAACAATAAATCACTAAAATGCATTTAGGGCATAGTAATACCATGTTTAGAATAGTGATTTTTTTTTTTTTTTGAGACAGAGTCTTGCTCTGTCACCCAAGCTGGAGTGCAGTGGCATGATCTCGGCTCCCTGCAACCTCCACCTCCCCGGCTCAAGCGATTCTCCTGCTTCAACCTCCCTAGTAGCTGGTATTACAGGCGCCTGCCACCACGCCCCACTAATTTTTTATATCATTTGGTAGAGACTGGGTTTCACGATGTTGGCCAGGCTGGTCTCGAACTCCTGACCTAACGTGATCCGCCCTCCTCTGGCTCCCAAAGTGCTGGGATTATAGGCGTGAGCTACCGTGCTGTCCTAGAATAGTGATTATTTTTTGAGAATCACCACCTGTGGTGAGCCACCTAATGGGGTTGTGTCATATTCCTCAGATATGCTGGGGTAGAAGAAAAAAAGGTTTTATTAATAGAACCACAGACTTAGAAGATGGTAATCTCGCACTCCCTTTGGCAGCACATATAAAATTGGGATCATGCAGAGAAGACTATTATGGCCCCTTTACATGGATGACAGACAAATTCATGAAGTGTTCCATATCAGAAAAAAATGAGGGCCGAGTGTGGTGGCTCATGCCTGTGAGCTTGCACTTTGGGAGGCTGAGGTGGATGGATCACTTGAGGTCCGGAGTTCGAGACTAGCCTGGCCAACATAATGAAACCCTGTGTCTACTAAAAATACAAAAATTAGATGGCCATGGTGGCGGGTGCCTGTAATCCCAGCTACTTGGGAGTCTGAAGCAGGAGAATCGCTTGAACCTGGGAGGCAGAGGTTGCAGTGAGCCAAGATCGCTGCACTGCACTCCAGCCTGGACGACAGAGCGAGACTCCATCTCAAAAAAGAAAAAAAGACAATTGAGACAGACCTTGGTCTCAGTAATACATATTTTTGTTGTACTGAAATTGGGTCTACTGAATATAACATGTTTTAATTTCTTTCTTTATTGAATTGATCTCGTTTTGATTCTTCACAACAGGATTTTCAGTTTAGAGCGCTAAAGAAGGTGAGAATCTTTGACTCCCCTGAGGAATTGCCCAAGGAACGCTCGAGTCTGCTTGCTGTGTCCAACAAATATGGTCTGGTCTTCGCTGGTGGAGCCAGTGGCTTGCAGATTTTTCCTACTAAAAATCTTCTTATTCAAAATAAACCCGGAGATGATCCCAACAAAATAGGTAAGTTCCCTGGTTTATGTTGCAAAGTAGAGAGAGGAGTATGGTGGCATGCTCTTGTGTTTCCTTCCCAAGAAGTCATTCTAATACTAAAATGAACACTGCTGTCAGTTTGAAGGTTGACTCCCAAGAAGATTAATGGAAGCCTTTCTAGGTTTTCTCCTTGGTCCTTTGTATTTCTCCTTACATGAGTTGTTCCTCTCAGCTCAACAGGGAAGAACTTAACCATTATGCCATGCTTTTATTTTTGCTCAGTTGAACTTGGGCTCTGGCTCTCTGGGTGAAGGGTTTTATTGGCATGGGTTTTCAGTTGGCACAACAGTATGATCCAAACTATTGGCAAGGTGTACTATTTAGAGCATTGTTGCAAAAATATTTTCAACAAGGGCAGCAGCCACAGTTAGTTTCCCCAGATTGTATGAGGAAGAATTCCAGGGATACTTAATCCATCATTATATATCTTTAAGAAAGTTAAGATTTATCTGTATAACTAGGTATTGGGGTGTATGTGTGTTTATGTAGATGCAAAAATTTTTTCACATCGAACTGGATAGAGGTTGTGGCTTTATGCTTAGAACATACCGTTTTCTGCTTTGTATTTTTTTGTTTTCATAGTTGATAAAGTCCAAGGCTTGCTAGTTCCTATGAAATTCCCAATCCATCACCTGGCCTTGAGCTGTGATAACCTCACACTCTCTGCGTGCATGATGTCCAGTGAATATGGTTCCATTATTGCTTTTTTTGATGTTCGCACATTCTCAAATGAGGTAAGCTACTGTTATACTGTGATGTCAACATGAGAACCCTAAGCAGATTTCCTTGTATTGAATTACAACTTGGAAGCTTCATAGGTTAACCCTTGAAGTTTCTCTCTAGATTAAAATATGGGTTAAAAAAAAATCCTTAATTATAGAATCATAGATCTTTGAGACAGAAGGGACTTCAAGAAATTCTTTCATAACGCCATCTGCCCTAAGTTGTTATCAGGAGGCTTAGGTGACTTGCCCAAAGTCATAGATGAATACATAATGTCAAAAGTTCCTACATTTTGGATGTTCTTCCATTCCAAGCAGTTTAAGAATGATAATAATAGTGAGTGTTTATACTGACTGTGTGTGTTAGACTCTGTACTAAGTGCTTTATATGCCTTGTCCCTCGTTCATGCCTACCACAGCCTTATGTAGTAGGTACTATTATCTTCATTTTATAGGTAGAGAAACAGGCTCAGAGTTTAAGTAACTGTCCAAGGTCCCAACATTATTAAGAAGCAGAGCCAAGATTTTAATCTATTGTCTGCTATTTATTGGTTATTTTGCAATTGTGCATTCCCCTTCTGAGAGTCCCCCTAAGCATGTTAGAATAATTGATTGCCATTTTCAAAGTTGTGTTGAAATTGTCTATAGCAAATAGATTGATGCATAAAACAATCTTTTTTTATGGTTATGGAGAAAAATAAACTGATTTGAGATACCTTGTGTATTCAGTAATTTCCATTGAATATTAAATGTTTCTGCATTTACTATTTGTTAACTTATTTCACTTTTGCATATTTGTTTTAAAAGGCTAAACAGCAAAAACGCCCATTTGCCTATCATAAGCTTTTGAAAGATGCAGGAGGCATGGTGATTGATATGAAGTGGAACCCCACTGTCCCCTCCATGGTGGCAGTTTGTCTGGCTGATGGTAGTATTGCTGTCCTGCAAGTCACGGAAACAGTGAAAGTATGTGCAACTCTTCCTTCCACGGTAGCAGTAACCTCTGGTGAGTAATAAAGGCTTTCACACTGTAGCATACAATCATGGTCATCTACTTAAGAATTGATTTCTAGAAGTGAAAGTGGATAGCTTTTTGTGTTTTGGTTTTTTTTTTCATGACGAGGGAGGTTAAGGATGGAAGGTATTCTTTTTTGAGACAGTCTCACTGTGTCGCCCAGGCTGGAGTACAGTGGCATCATCTCAGCCACTGCAACCTCCACCTCCTGGGTTCAAGCAATTCTCGTGCCTCGGCCACCCAAATAGCTGGGATTATAGACATGCGCCACCATGCCCAGCTAATTTTTGTATTTTTTGTAGAGACAAGGTTTCACCATGTTGGCCAGGCTGGTCTTGAACTCCTGACCTCAAGTGATCTGCCCTCCTCCACCCCGCATATGCTAGGATTACAGGTGTGAGGCACTGTGCCCGGCTGAGAGTATTCTTTATACCCATAGTTAATGTCCTTGAAGCCAAACAGCATACATAATTTAACCTGAATGTACTTGGGATTTCTGGAGAAATATTTTGGTACAGCTGGTTTAGAAGTGTTTTTTGGGAATAATTGTTTCTGGATCTGTAACGGTGGTACTCTGAAAGTCATTTGTACCTTTGGGCGGAAAAGCATTTTAAATATTAAATGGGAGCAGGAGAATGATTTCTGGTTTTGTTTTTTTTTTTTTGTTTTTTTTTTGAGACAGAGTCTTGCTCTGTCGCCCAGGCTGGAGTGCAGTGGCGCGATCTCAGCTCACTGCAACCTCCACCTGCTGGGTTCAAGCAATTCTCTTGCCTCAGACTCCAGAGTAGTTGGGATTACAGGTGCCTGCCACCATGCCCAGCTAATTTTTGTATATTTTAGTAGAGACGGGGTTTCACCATGTTGGCCAGGCTGGTCTTGAACTTCTGACCTCAAGTGATCCGTCCGTCTCATCCTCCCAAAGTGCTGGGATTACAGGCATGAGCCACTGTGCCCGGCCAGTGATTTCTTGGTATTTGGAAACCTTCTCTGTTCTCCTTGTCTTATGTAAAGACTACAGAGTTTTCTGTATTTTGCAGCTTTCTGGGCAGTAATCTATTGAAAAAGCATTTTTAGCTTTCAATTCAATAGCCCAGTGATAAATCAATTGGCTTATATCGTTAAAATGATTTTACTTTTTTCCACTTTGCCTGATAGAGATGATCCTACAATCTTCCATGGACTGACAGAGGAATGAGAATTGATAATTAGCTGTGTGTGATAGATCTTATTGGTTTGCTCCATTTTCTTGTTTTCATTTGGTAATACTGTCTTTGCTCAGTGTGCTGGAGCCCCAAAGGAAAGCAGCTGGCAGTGGGAAAACAGAATGGAACTGTGGTCCAGTATCTTCCTGTAAGTTCTTATCTTGAACTTCAGAATTTTTCTTAAGTTGCCCACTTTTTTGGGGGTGGTTTGGGAGTATCTTTCTTGTTTTTCCTATTAAAAAGTAATTTATACTCATTGTAACAAATCCATCAGTGAATGAAGAGTGGAACTCTTCCCTTTCCCATAGTCCTTCTTCCAGAGGCACCCACTATGTTGTGTTGAGTAGATAGCCTTCCATACTTTTCTGGATGTTATACAAATAGTCTATGGGTAGCTGCTTTTTTTTTGTTGTTGTTTTTATGTAAAATGTGATCATACGCTATGCGCTGTTCCCCACCTTTTTCAGTCCATTCCATAAAAACAGCTCAAGGGAAAAGAGTTAGTGAAAAAACTATGATGATAATGCAGAATCACTCTGGGTTAAAGCACAGTATTTGTCTTTTAACTGAGTCTGTCTTTAAAGGTCTGTTTGTCTAACTATGGGCACCAAAGAAAATGGATACTCTTGTTGCATGTGCACTCTGTCATCCTCCCTGTGAATTTCTTGAAATAATGTTCACAAATATCCTTCAATATCAATTGAGTTGCAAGGAACCCCCATATGTCTATTGAGCCTGGACACGAAGGAGGGATTCACAGGTGGTGCTAAGGCCTTTCTTGTGCCTTCCTCCTCAAGACTGTTCTCTGGCGAGGAGGGGAGCAGAGTGGTGAATGTAGGTGGTATAGGTTTAAGGTTAAGGTTATGTTTCTTATTTGTTATTACCAAAAGTTACCTGAAATTTGGTACATAATCTTTTAGGACACTAACCTGTAAAAAGATAATGCAATTTTTTAAATTTTCTTGCTTTGCTGTTTGCCTTAATTTTTTATTTATTTATTATTATTTTTTTTTGAGAGATGGTCTTGCTCTGTTGCCCAGGCTGGGGTGCAATGGTGTGATAACGTAATGGTTCACTGCAGCCTCAGCCTCCTGGGCTCAGGTGATCCTTCCACTTCAGCCTCCCGGGTAGCTGAGACTACAGGCACTTGCCACCATGCACAGCTAATTTTTGTATTTTTTGTAGAGATAGGGTTTTGCCATGTTGCCCAGGCTGGTCTCAAACTCCTGGGCTCAAGCAGTGTGCCCACCTTGGCCTTCCAAAGTGCTGGGATTACAGACATGAGCCACCTCGCCCAGCCTTATTCCACTATTGATGATTGTCTGCATCAGTGCTAGTGGCGTTGCTGCTGCAAATGGTGTTGCATTGACTACTCTCATTACCTATATCTGAACATGTTCATGCGTTCATGCGTTTCTTTTCTTTTCTTTCTTTTTTTTTTTTTTTTGGAGACCAAGTTTTGCTTTTGTCACCCAGGCTGGAGTGCAATGACGTGATTTCAGCTCACCGCAACCTATGCCTCCTGGGTTCAAGCAGTTCTCCTGCCTCAGCCTCCCGAGTAGCTGGGATTACGGCACCCGCCACCACACCCAGCTATGTATTTTTAGTAGAGACGGGGTTTCGCCATGTTGGCCAGGCTAGTCTCGAACTCCTGACCTCAGGTGATCCACCTGCCTCGGCCTCCCAAAGTGTTGAGATTACAGGCATGAGTCACCACACCCAGCCACGTTCATGGGTTTCTGTAGGATGAAGTCCTGGAAGTAGATAGCACTATTCTGTTTCTTCAGTCTCTCCCGGCCAAGGAGATGGAACAGGTAGCATCTAAGGAATAGATTAGATTTGACAGTTTGATTGGTTTAGGATTTGTTTCATTTGATACTTTATTTTCCCCTCCAAATCTCTTTCAGACTTTGCAGGAAAAAAAAGTCATTCCTTGTCCTCCGTTTTATGAGTCAGATCATCCTGTCAGAGGTAACAACTGCTTTTCTTATTGGGCTGACCTCTAATGACATGTTATGTATATTACAGAAATTCAAAATCATGTAATGTACCTGCTCAGTGAGGTATTGGTGTTTGCTTTATGAATAATGTCACTATTTCAAACAGCTAATTAAGTCAGTGTAAATTATGGCCCTCTGGGTGACATCTGTGTTTCACGATAAATGACATGAAATGGATCCCGACTTTTTATTACAATTCTTCATAATTTGCCCTGATTATAATCCAGCAGAAAAATTACCATTTGGGGATGAGTTTGGGCTTCTTGGGTCATTGTACCTGTGCATTATATTTAGTCAATGAAATCAGGGCCTTTGATTTTTTTTTTATCCATAGTGGCTATTCCAAACATAAGCTGCTTTTTCTTGTATCTGGTTGCTGTCATTTTTATGAGCTACTGATTAAGATGTGTCTTTCAGTTCTGGATGTGCTGTGGATTGGTACCTACGTCTTCGCCATAGTGTATGCTGCTGCAGATGGGACCCTGGAAACGTCTCCAGATGTGGTGATGGCTCTACTACCGGTATGCCTGTGGAAGAAATTTCATTGTTTGAGAATTAGAGAAGTCTTCTAATAAAGCTGGAGGCTTTGATTTCAAGGGGTTTTTTTGTGTTTGTGTTTTTTTTTTTTTTTTTTGAGACAAGATCTCACTCTGTCGCCCAGGCTAGAGTGCAGTGATGCGATCTCACCTCACTGAAGCCTGGACCTCCTGGACTCAAGTGATCCTCCCACCTTAGCCTTCTGAGTAGCTGGTACTACAGGTGCACACCACTATGCCTGGCTAATTTTTTTTTTTTGGTAGAGATGGAGTTTCACCATGTTGCCCAGGCTGGTCTTGAACTCCTGAGCTCAAGTGATCTGCCCACCTAGGCTTCTCAAAGTGCTGGGATTACAGGTGTGCGTCACCGCACCTGGCCTGATTTCAGGTTCTTTTACTTACTGGCAGTGATTATGCAACTTCAGGTATAAGGTTTCCATGCTGCACCATGGGCCAGGGGTCTAAAATTGGAGTGTCCACAGCATGTTCTACTGTTATGAGGTTAAAAAAAAAATGATTTTGCTTAAGCTATAAACTATGAGTCTTGGTTAACTCGATAAATTTTAGAAAAGCAAGACAGTATCTTGATTTTTAAAATTATTTCATTTGCTCTCGAATATTTAATGCCAACAGTGTGCTAGGCACTGCTTTAAAGCTGAGTATATAGCAGTGATCAAGGTGATGGGCTTGCTTTTATGGTTTTAAGTTTGTTGTTGTTGTTAATTTTTATTTATTTTTTAGAGACAGAATCTCACTCTGTTGCCCAGGCTGGCATGTAGTGGTGCGATCACAGCTCACTACAGCCTCAAATTCTTGGGCTTAAGCCATCCTCCTGCCTCAGCCTCCCGAGTAGTTGGGACCACAGGCATGCACCAACACAGCCAGCTGTTTTTAAATTTTTCGCAGAGGTAGGGTCTTGCTTTGTTGCCCACGCTGGTCTCGGACTCCTGGCTTTAAGCAGTTCTCCCGCCTCATCTCTCAGAGCACTAGGATTACAGGTTTGAGCCACCACACCTGGCTGGTCTTACATTTTAATGGGATAGTCAATACTAAATGTGAGATCAAGGACTGATAAGAGTGATGGAGAAAATAAAGCCGTGTTAGGGATAGATGATGACTGGTATGTGTTTGAGATTGTGTGTCAAGGGAGGCCAATTTGATACTTGAAAAAGATGTCTTGTTTTTAACTCTTTTGGATTTCTAATAAGGTTGAGTTTTTGAAATATGTTTATCTAGATGCCTTATTTTAAGATTAGAGGTTTTTTCTATTCTAGGGGATAATATTAACACTAGTATTTATTAACTGCTACTTATGTTTCATGTACTGGGCTGGAAGTTTTGTATGTATCATTTCATTTTACACTTTACAGTAGCCTCTGAAGTAGGCTTAGTAGGTCTAGTATACACATGAGAACACTAAGTATCAGGAAGGTTGAAAAATCTGCATGTCTCGTGGGCAGAAAGTGGCAGAACAGAGTTTAAATGCAGTTCGGTTGATGGCCAATGTTTGTACTCCTTGTACTAAGTGCTGCCTTTATACCATGTCCGTATATCTGGACTTTGAGTAAATATTCTCATATAACTTTAAATGATTTATTATTTGAGATTCTTTTGCTGTGGGATCTGAGAAAAATTGCACATGAGAATTTTTTTTCTTGCTTTGTTCATTGTAGAAAAAAGAAGAAAAGCACCCAGAGATATTTGTGAACTTTATGGAGCCCTGTTATGGCAGCTGCACGGAGAGACAGCATCATTACTACCTCAGTTACATTGAGGAATGGTGAGCAGAGAGTCTGGACAGGGCATTCCTGCTCTCACTGGAAGATCACACCTGAGTCACCTTGTCCCATGTTGAAATCTTTTCTGATTGATTGATTGATGGATTGGCAGGGTCTCACTCCATTACCCAGGCTGGAGTGCAGTGGCACGATTGTAGCTCACAGAAGCCTGGAACTCCCAGGCTCAAGTGATCCTTCCACCTCAGCCTCCCAGATGGGACTACAAGCACATGCCACCACACCTGGCTTATTTTTAAATAAGTTTTTTGGTTTTTGTTTTTTGTTTTTAGAGATGGGATCTTGCTATGTTGCTCAGACTGGCTTCCCAAAGTACTGAGATTACAGGTGTGAGCTACCGCACCCAGCCTGAAATCTTTTCCATTACAGAGGAAAATGGAGGCTGAGATGCCTTGAACATATTTTCAGCTGATTCTTGATAATGTCTTTCTATTATTTCTGTTTCCCCAATCTTGAATTATTTATCTTAAATACATACTAATTTCAAAAATCTAATTTTCTCAATAACCCCTAGTGATGACTTACGAAAATATTGATATTCAAGGAATATATTAAAAGTTTCCTGAGAGCAGAGTTGCCCTTTGGAATGGAGATTACTCAAAGCAAAGCTTCCATCCCTCTAGCTACATTATTCTGCCTTTGGATGGCATATTGATTGTGAACTGTGACTTGATTCTGTTGTGTCTTTCCTTTGTCTTCATGTAGGTAGGCACTGAGCTGATTCTACAGGGCTTTCTCACAGAAACTAAAAAGTTCAGCTTTACATCTAGAATCTTCCCACCTTTGTTCAACCAGATAAAAAACCTTACTCTCTCTTTGACATGTGGAGGCAGCCCTCACAGGTGTTACCTGCAGACCCAGGTTAGCTTAGAACTATTGCTGTATTTGAACGTAATGGTCTCTGGTTTTATTCTTTAAGGGATTTAGTGCTGGCAGCATCTGCGGCTTCAACAGAAGTTAGTATCCTTGCTCGACAAAGTGATCAGGTAAATCTCTTTTTTGTCACTTCTGTGGTGCTTTCTTTTTTAAATTATTATTTTGAGACAGTCTCGCTCTGTTGTCCAGGCTGGAGTGCAGTGGTGCAATTTCAGCTTACTGCAACCTCTGCCTTCCAAGTTCAAGCAATTTTGTGCCTCAGCCTCCCAAGTAGCTGGGACTGTAGGCGCGGGCCACCACACCTGGCTGATTTTTATATTTTTAGTAGTGACTGGGTTTCGCCATGTTGGCCAGGCTGGTCACAAACTCCTGATGGTACTTTTCTGAAAAAGATTTTGGAGGGAATTAACTATATGTGGTTAAGGTATACATGATCTCACATCTGTTTTATCAAGTTTCTGCGTGACAGCAAAGCTTCAGTGACAGAGTGCCTTGGCCAAATGGCTTGGCTATTGCATGGAGAAACACGGGTGTCAGACTTAGCACTTCCTTCGCTTCTGTTCTTTTAGGATCCAACCCCTGTCTGTGGAAACATACCATGCAGTTAACCTCCAACTGGAGTATGCCTGATGTGTAGGCGGCTTTTTCTGCCTTGTCCTGTTTTGTCATCTTTGTTTTATTCCTGTTGCTTGAAACAACTTCTATACAATTTAATGATAATCCATCCTCAGTTATGAAAGAAAAACATGCAGATGACACTAAATTGTGATTCACCAGAAGTACTTTCTGTTTGACTTTGAAAAACTGTCAGAAGGAGCAAAGCACCTTTGCATACAAGAACCTTCTTTCACGTTGTCTTTCTTGCAGGGACACAGTGGGCCCAGGTAGTGGTGGTGCGCTATCCACTTGTAGATTTTGCAGAATGACTGTAGAGAGGGCACAACGAAAGAAGGGAAACTTCTTTTTAAAACTGGCTTGAACTTAAAAATCTTTAGTGCACCCTTATAAATAAGAAGCAAGTGCTTCTCCTCCCCACATGGATACTTTGTGCTCCACCCATACATAGGTACTTTGTGCCTCTTCAACCATTGGCATTTATCTGTCACTCTCTGGGTGGCCAGGTGGCCCATTAGGAGGGCCATGGCTCTCATTGTCTAGGGGTGGCTGCTTTTGGATGAGGCTAGAGTTCAGCCATCTGATTTGCTGCTCTAGAACTATCTTAGATTGACCTCAGTAATAATTTCTTATTAGTACAAGTATTTCATATGTTCACACATTAAAAATGCAATTTTATTTTTACTTTCTATCAGAATAATTTATGTTCATGTTTTTGAAAAGTAAATAGTAGAGAAGGGCTTATAAGTGAAAAGAATCACCCCTGCCCTACCTGTTTGCTTTCTAGAGGGGACTGTTTTTAATTTGTAAACATTTTCTTATAATGCTGCCACCTTATCCCTAAAGAAAAATCTGCTTTATAACTAGTAATTGGTTATTAGTTTTAGACCTTACTGACTGTACGGCAAATGATGATCTAGCTCACACATGGCCCCCAGTCCCCTCCTTCCTCTCAAGAGTTACAGCGTTGTTTTAATTTCTTATCTTGGTGAACCTTTGTAATTTTAATTGGTGTTTTTTACCCTCATTTCTGGTGGTATCTTTTTTTTTTTTTTTTTTTTTTTGAGGCCAAGTCTCACTTTGTCACCCAGTGCATTGGCGCCATCTTGGCTCACTGCAACCTCCGCCTCCCTGGTTCAAGCGATTCTCATGCCTCAGCCTCCTAGTAGCTGGGACTGTAGGCATGCGCCAACACGCCTGGCTAATTTTTGTATTTTTTAGTAGAGACAGGTTTTTGCCTTGTTGGCCAGGCTGGTCTCAAACTCCTGACCTCAGGTGATCCGCCCGCCTCAGCCTCCCAAAGTGCTGGGATTACAGGCATGAGCCACAGCTCCCGGTCTGGTGATAACTCTTGATCTTCCACTTTGTGAGAGGAATGTCTTAGCACTCCCACCCTTTCCCTTGGTAGCCTTCCAGTTGTTATCTGCGTCTTCTCTTTTGTAAAATTGCATTCTGTCCTACAATGATAAGTCATCTTTATCTTGTCTGTAGACTGTTTTTAAAAGTTGAGATTGTTTTTGTTTAATATGAACGTGTCTGTTACCTGCTCCATAGCTAAGTCACATAGTGTGATTTCATTCCCTCTCCTGAACTGCCTGCCTGCTTGCTTTCTTGCTTGCTTTCTCTCTCTCTCTCTTTTTTCTTCTTCCTTCCTTCCTTCTCTTTCCTTCTCCTTCCTTTTCCTTCCTTTCCCTCCACTCCCCTCTCCTCCCCTCCGCTCTCCTCCCCTCCCCTCCCCTCCCCATAACCTAGGCCAGAGTGCAGTGGTATGATCTCGGCTCACTGCAACCTCTGCTTTCCGGGTTCAAGTGATTATCCTGCCTCAGCCTCCCAAGTAGCTGGGACCACAGTTGCACACCAACACGCCCAGCTAATTTTGTATTTCTGGTAGAGACGGGATTTCACCATGTTGACCAGGCTGGTTTCAAACTCCTGACCCCAGGTGATCCACCTGCCTCAGCCTCCCAAAGTGCTGGGATTACAGGCATGAACCACTACATCCAGCCTGTTTTTCTTTGTTGGTCTTTAAGCACTATTCCCCTGTGATTCATGCTTCCCAGTCTGGTCAACACTGAAAGTTAGGCAAAATGTTAGTGATTTTAAAAACCAAGAGTCATTTGTTGGAAGGAACAGAGCCTATCCAAGCACACTTAAGCAAAAAGGGAGTTTACTAGAAAGACTTAGTAGTTTCTCAAGGAATCTGGGGACAGGAAAGCTGACCAGCCTGAGGAACTGGTACCAAGAACTGGGAAGAAGAACTAAGGTTATCTCTGTCTCTATAGACGAGTGAGCGCAGGGCATCTGAGCACAGACCAGCCTTACATGCTTCTCTGTGAAAGACTGCAGTAGAGATCAGCTGGAGTTCCTGGCCCCAATCCAAAATGTCTAGGAGCAGGTATTGACTGGCTTAGTGCTGCTGTTGGATTTGTCCCTCATGGTCAGCAATCTCCCTAGTTGTCATGGAAGGTACCTCAGAAAATGTTCATGATAGTGGTTATTTATTTACAAGGCAGAGGCTTGATACACCAGGAACAGATAGAGAGGGGGTTGATTTGGAAAATTAACTTCCCATTTGCTGGGGTACTTCTGGCTTTTAGGCCATCTTCTCAGATTTCAGAGCCTCCTAGTCAACACCTGAGTCTAAACCAAGTGAGTCATCTCTGTTCTCCTATTTGAACAATGTTAGGAGGAACCAATGCAAAGCTCTAACCAACATGGCTTTTTCTTTTTTCTTCTTCTTCTTCTTTTTTTTTTTTTTTTTTTTTTTAGATTAATTGGGAATCTTGGCTACTGGAGGATTCTAGTCGAGCTGAATTGCCTGTGACAGACAAGAGTGATGACTCCTTGCCCATGGGAGTTGTCGTAGACTATACAAACCAAGTGGAAATCACCATCAGTAAGTGTAGCCTGGTAGTTAGTGCAGAAATAGTCTTCTTTCTAGTTAGGGTTAATATTGAAACACCAGTTACATGTTACTGACAGAGTCTACTCTGCTGGGCACTTGTAGCTTCTGGCAGCACATTTCTCCCTGAAGAGTGATAACAGGCTGCGTTGTGACAACACTAAACTGATTTGAATGGATGTTCGTTGATGAGACCAAGGCCAAACACTGTATGTATGTGTGGGTGCATGTTTGCACACTTGCACATGTCTGGGTGTACTTTAGAATCTGGTTGAAATATAGAACATCAGGATTTTATGGCTTGGTTTCTTTGTCCAATCCAATTCCCTGGTGACCTCCCAAAGAAGCAATACCCGAATCTGGTACTGCACACAAGTACTTGGTTTGAAGGCAAGGATTAGAAAATAGAGACCTCAGGCCCATGGTTTCCAAATAGGGCCTAGATATGTGTTTTGAATAGATCTTCCCTGCAGTAGCTTGGCTATACTGTAGTCATTGAAATGTAAAAGTGCCACAAAAGAAACAGTCTTTGCCATCTGGTACTTAAGTTTAGAGAGGTGTCCCCGTCAGGCACCATTAAGTTGCTTGCTCCTTCCCTGGTTAGGCAGGAGTATTTGTTCTGATAAGCTCATTTGCTCTGATTCTCTTGAAGCCTTAACTGATAAAATACATACTTGTCATTCAGCTGTGAATGAGGATAAAGTGGTTTGACTCATCTTTCTGTGTCCTACTGTCCATTCCAAAGAGTCTAGTCTCATTTTCCTACTAACCTAAGTACTTCTTAGATATTCTTCTCTTGGTCAGGGGAATGCCAAGCCTACCTCCACTGAGGTACACAAGCCACTGAGACACTCATAAAAACTGAGGGACCTTTGGGAGAGTCAGAGCTACTGCGGGACTGATGGAGCTTCTAGGCAGGGCCCAGCAGGGTGGTGGCGATCTGATAGCGGCAGGAACTCTCTTTAAATAGCTGGTGCACGAAAGGCTGTTCAGATATAAAATCAGAACAAACTAACTTGAGCTGCTATTCAGATGAGTCCCTTAAACCCTCTTCATGTTGAGGGCAGTCTTTGCCTTCTGGGCTCAGGCCCTTAAATTCACTTGGTTTTTTTATTTTTGTTTTCTTTTTTAACAGGTGATGAAAAGACTCTTCCTCCTGCTCCAGTTCTCATGTTACTTTCAACAGATGGTGTGCTTTGTCCATTTTATATGATTAATCAAAATCCTGGGGTTAAGTCTCTCATCAAAACACCAGAGCGACTTTCATTAGAAGGAGAGCGACAGCCCAAGTCACCAGGTATGTGCCTCTGCCTGCTTTATCAGTAAGGGAATACCATGGGCTTGCACAAGAGTATTTCCAAGAATGAACATGGTGTGAAGACACATAGTGATTATCTTTACCAGCCTGGTCTGTCTTAGGAAGGCACACACTAATCTTTTTTTTAAACATGCATGTACATATTTGCCTTCCCCTACCCTCAAGCTTTATTCTGCAGCCATTACTTTACTTCGGAGATGAAGGAAGGTCAACCAGATGATTTGCATCCAGTCGTTTACCAACAGTTTTCTAAGACCCTATATTATGTGATGTGCATCCAAAAGACATTGTGCTTAATCATGGGGGTTGGTTAAAGAAATGATTGTATAGTCTTACAGTGAAATGCCATGTACCAATTATAAATGTTATATTTATTGACAGGGAAGGAGTGAGTGGAATACATCACCAAAAAAAAAAAAACCACTATTCTTTGTGATCTTTTCTGTATGAGAAAAAACATATACATAGAAAAACAACTTGGAGATGGATTTAAAGTCTAAATGGTGGTTATTTCTGGGTGATGGGAACATGGAGATTTTTGTTTATATTTTCTTGACTTTTTTTCTCCTTTTTGAAACATTTCTTAAGTAATAGATGTTTATTGAAGGAAAATGAGAGCATGCAAAACAATGGCCACAGTCAACATTTTGGTACCTATCCTCCATGAAAATGAATGCACACATATAAATACTAGTCTGTATTTAAACAATTTTTACAGTGACATTTGTATCACTTGTGAAAAGAAACTTTTTTTTTTTTTTTTTTTTGTGGAGACAGGGTCTTACTCTGTTGCCTAGGTTGGAGTGCAGTGGCATGACCACAGCTCACTGTAGCCCTAATCTCCCAGGCTCAGGCAGTCACCTAAGCCTCCCAAGTAGCTGGAACTACAAGCATGCGCCACCATATGCAGCTATTTTTTAAATGTTTTGTAGAGATAGGGTCTTACTGTGTTGCTCAGGCTGGTCTCAAACACCTGGGCTCATGTGATTCTTCTGCTTCAGCCTCCCAAAGTGCTGGGATTATACGCATGATACACTGTGCATGACCAGAAAATATAAAACTTTTAAAAAGAGCATTGTTTCATATGTTGGAATTTGACTAATATTTCTCTTTTTGAATTCTGTGAGTATATAACTGATACAATTTTTTTCTTCTATTATGACCAGTTTCTTACCTAAGCAAAAATGTATGACCAGTTGGTTTGTATAAGGTTAGCAATAACTTAGGGGTATATTCTCTTCCTGCATCCCAGTGCACAGTGAGTTGTATATCACAAATAGAGCCACTCAGATACTTGGGCCCTAACAACTGGCAGCACTACCCCAAGTGATATACCAGATGGCTTGCAGAGTGTTGTATCAGGGTAGTCCATTATTCATAGTGTGTGTACTCTTTGTGTTGTTTTTTTTTCCTCCTTATTCAGCCATGAATAAGGGTACCATGAACTACCTATACCCAGCTGCCTGGTGTGTCTGTAATAAGCAGAGCAGCCTGTGAGATTAGGAGCCTCTGGGATGGGACGAGGTTTGTTTCTGAGCCTTTGCTACTAGCCCATTCAATGCTGGAGCACAATCAGAGGCCAGTTTTACTGTTAGCCTTTCCTAGAGAAACTCCCCTCTTCCTTCACAGTTGGTCCAGAGGTTATAGTTGTGTTCAGATGTGTAGAAGAGAGCCCCTGCGGGGAGAAAGTCCGTCCCATCAGCTAAGTCTAGCTAAAGCCTACTTCATGGGTTCAGAAGACATTAATGGTTCCACCTGTTTCTACACTGCAGTTCTAAGGATGCTGTATTGATCAGAAGTAGTAGTAGCATGATGGTTTTCCAATAATCAGTTCTGTTTTCAGTGGAAAAAATGCTTTTGATTTATTTAGGGTCTGGTATATATTTTTCATGTCAGTTTACCTAATATGCATGAAAGTGTTTTAACATCTATGTATGTCTTTACAGAAGTTAGTTGTAGCTGGTTCCATATCTATTGTATAAAGAAGTATTAACAGAATAGGTTTGCTTGCATTATTATACTTTCATCAATGTGACAGTTTACTTGGATTTTTGTTTTCAGAAAGTGGTATTTTCATACTTGTATCTAAGTATTACGTTGCATTAGACAAAGTGTCTTCCATGAAGATAAACTGCCATCTTAGCTAATTTGGAACAACCAAGTCCTATTAATATAAATAGAAAATATTGACACAAAGAATTCTTTTCTTATTTAGTTGGTTATTTAATTTAAAGATTAATATTTTTACCTTATGGAAAGTTTGGAAAATAGAAAAAAAAATTATTCATTTTTGAGACAGGGGTCTCACTCTGTTGTGCAGGCTGGAGTGTAGTGGCAGGATCTTGGCTCACTGCAGCCTCTGTCTCCCAAGTCCAAGCGATCCTCCCACCTCAGCCTCCCAAGTAGCTGGGACTACAGGCACAAGCCATCACACCTGGCTGATTTTTGTATTTTTTTTGTAGCAACAGGGTCTCACTTTGTTCCCCAGGCTGGTCTCAAACTCCTGGACTCAAAGGGTCCTCCTGCTTTGCCCTCCCAAAGCTCTGGGATTACAGGCATGAGCCACTGCGCCCAGCCTTCCATTGACTTTTTTTTTTCTTTTTAACCATTTGGATTGCATTAAATATCTTTTTCATTTTTTGCATTATGTTTGTAAGCTTTATTCTTAGAAGAGAAATTACTGGGTCTGTTTTTTACAGTTTTTTATACAATGCCAAAATGTTTTCTTAAAAAAAATACTAGTTACCTACCAGTGATAAAAAGTTTCAGGTTTGTTTTACCCATCCAAACATAAGGGGTTAGACATATTTAAATTCTTATAATTTAGAGGACAAATTAAAAATGTACCTTGTTTATATTTCTTTGATTAGAGAGATTGAATGTGTTTTCTTTATGTGAGTTAGTTTCCCTGTTTATTAGTCCTGAAATTTTAAAATCTCAATTTGTATGAGCTTTTTAAAAAATAGAAAACATCTTATTTGTCATTTGCTATGGATCTTTTTTTTTAGTTCATTACCATTTAGTTATTGTACCTGAGTAGCTATTTTTTACACAAATCTTAACCTTCTCCCTTTGCGATTGTTTTTTTTTTGGTCACTTCTAAATTTATCAAGGTGTTAGATTCTGAGACCTAACATATCTATCAATTTGCCTCCTTTGTTTTGAGATACCTGTATTTATGTGACTTTCTATGTGTATTTATCTGGAATTACTTTTAGTGAAATAAGGTGGAGGTCTGAATTAAAACTTTTTCCTGGTTGTTAATGAAATGTTGCAGTGACTGAACTGTTTTGTGTGCCATAGTAGCACTGAGAAGTCCATGAAGTCCAATTATTCTAATGTCTTTCCTTAGTTTTCCTTCAGTTTCATTTATCTCATGAGACCTGAAAACTCCAACATGAACTGTGTACCCATGTGTTCTTTTTGCTTCTTAAACTAGTAACATTTCTGGCTTTATTCTACCACAAATTCTTTTTCACTTGCTTTCTATTATGTGAACCTCCACTGTTACAGTGTTAACATTTTCCTTCCTTTTTTTGTCACTGCAGGAAGTACTCCCACTACCCCAACCTCCTCTCAAGCCCCACAGAAACTGGATGCTTCTGCAGCTGCAGCCCCTGCCTCTCTGCCACCTTCATCACCTGCTGCTCCCATTGCCACTTTTTCTTTGCTTCCTGCTGGTGGAGCCCCCACTGTGTTCTCCTTTGGTTCTTCATCTTTGAAGTCATCTGCTACGGTCACTGGGGAGCCCCCTTCATATTCCAGTGGCTCCGACAGCTCCAAAGCAGCCCCAGGCCCTGGCCCATCAACCTTCTCTTTTGTTCCCCCTTCTAAAGCCTCCCTAGCCCCCACCCCTGCAGCGTCTCCTGTGGCTCCATCAGCTGCTTCATTCTCCTTTGGATCATCTGGTTTTAAGCCTACCCTGGAAAGCACACCAGTGCCAAGTGTGTCTGCTCCAAATATAGCAATGAAGCCCTCCTTCCCACCCTCAACCTCTGCTGTCAAAGTCAACCTTAGTGAAAAGTAAGTCACTTCTAAAGTTTGATTCTTCTGTGAGTTGGGTAGAAATATTGGATGTTATTTACTAAAAGTAGAGTCACTCTGAGAGGAGTTAACTGAGTAGAATTTTTTTACCCAGAGTGATACTTGCAAATGGCAAAAATTCAACCAACATAAAATACTGGCATTTCATCAGTGAATAGAGTCCAGAAGGGTCTCTTAGCTAGCATTTTATTTTTTTGACTATGGGATTTATATTCAGGTATTTGTTTTGCTTTTTTACGTTACAAATGTAGGAAATATTCCTTATTTTAAAAAAAGAAGCAATCCAGAGTATGCATCCTGGAAGGGAAATGAATCCCTTGTAGTCTTTTTTCCTCCCTGTGTCTACCCTTAACTCTCTCTGAACTGCTGTCTACACAGCCACAAAGTCATCTTGTGACACTGTAAATTGTTAGGTGATTCTTCTGCTTGACAGTCCCTATGAAGCCCCGTGGCTGCTCACTGCTAATTCTTAGGTTGGTATCCAGTTTCCTCCAGATCTGGGTCGGGCAGCTCACTCATTTCTTATTTATTTACTTCTTTATCTTGTTCTTTTCTTCCCACTAGAATGTAAGCTTTTGGAGGGAAGCAATCCCTTATATCTTGTAACCCCTCCCAAGATAACCATGAGTTCCCAAGATAACCATCGAGTATAAGTACTACCAGCTTTTTCCCTACTTGCCTGTACTATCTGTTGTTGCTATGGTGGTGCTGCTGCCACCACAGTTACTGTTAATACTGAATTGGCACACATCCACTTCATGCTAAGGGTTGCATAGTGTTCCATTTTGTTGACTGCACCACAGTTTATCTGACCAGTCATCTAATGCTGGAGTTTAGATTGTCTACAGACTTTTGCTCTTTAGGTGGAACCGACTTTACATTTCCTTTAGGCCATAAGTATCCCAAAGACAGTTCCCTGCATTCCTCTTCCTTTTTCACTCCCCAGAGAAGGTGCTCACTCTCAAAACGAGTTCTCAGTAATTTCCTTGGTAAGAGAAAGTACTAACTCTCCTAAGCATAATTGTGTCCCACCTCCTGTTTAAAACTCAGCTGGAAACAATAGTATTTCATATCATGATAAACTTGGTATTTCATATTGTGATAAACTTAGTTTTGATATTTCCCCTGAATAATTAATTCCTAAATAAGCAGACGAAAAGATAAATGTTTCCTTGCAGCTTTCACCTTTTATAAGAAATAGCTAAACATTTTTGTTTCCTGAAGGCAAAAAGTATGTTATCTTTGTAAGTTAACATAAAAGATAATAAGTTATCTTTTGATGACATTGCTCATGCTAGTGTAAAAGAATCTTCTAGCAGGCTCTTCTGAGGCCTTCAGGCTGCCATTTTTCAGGTTTACTGCTGCAGCTACCTCTACTCCTGTTAGTAGCTCCCAGAGCGCACCCCCGATGTCGCCATTCTCTTCTGCCTCCAAGCCAGCTGCTTCTGGACCACTCAGCCACCCCACACCTCTCTCAGCACCACCTAGTTCCGTGCCATTGAAGTCCTCAGTCTTGCCCTCACCATCAGGTATGATTTTAAGCAGACAACTTTAGACCTCAGCCCTGCCTTCTCAGATTAACGGTTTTAAGTGTTAAGAGTCGTAGCTAACATAGTTGGACAAGGTTATTTTTTCTTGCTTCCTGTATCATACATTAATGATTAATGTGCTGTGATTTTCATACTCTGAATTGGGAGATTTGCTCTTGCTTAAATGCTGCCACTCTTCTCTCTGACACTTCTTATGGAGCTAAGTGTATTTAATGAGTCAAAAATGCCTTGCTCTTGGGCATTTATTTTCATATGGAGCCTGCCCTCCATGAAGAGCAGTTACATAACAGTTCTTTAAGAAGCACAGGCACAAGAGTTGTTTGGCGGGGTGCGGTGGCTCACGCCTATAAACCCAGCACTTTGGGAGGCCAAGGCAGGTGGATCACCGGAGGTTAGGAGTTCGAGACCAGCCTGGCCAACATGGCAAAACCCCATCTCTACTAAAAATACAAAAATTAGCCAGGTGTGGTGGTGGGTGCCTGTAATCCCAGCTACTCAGGAGGCTGAGGCGGGAGAATCACTTGAACCTAGGAGGCAGAGATTGCAGGGAGTCGAGATCACGCCACTGCTCTCCAGCCTGGCGACAGAGCGAGACTCTGTCTCAAAAAAAAAAAAAAGTACAGAGGAGAGAGTACCTGCAGTGATTATATTCATATTTTCACAGTCAGTCATACTGTAAACAGGAAGTTTTGTTTTGTTTTTTGAGACCCTCTCACTCTCTCACCCAAGCACATCACTGCAGCCTCTACCTCCTGGGCTCAAGCGATCTTCCCACCTTAGCCTCCTGAGTAGCTGGGACTACAGGCATGTACCACCACCGTCGGCTAATTTTTAAATTTTTTTGTAGAGACAAAGTCTTGCCATGTTGCTCAGGCTGGTCTCAAACTCCTGGGCTCAAGCAATCCTCCTGCCTCAGCCTCCCAAAAGGCTAGGATTACAGGTTTGAGCCACCATACCTGGCTCCTAAAATTTTAATATATTTTTTTCATTATCTTAGAACAGAGGCTAGCACAACTGGTGGTCATCACTCTTTAAAATAAATCATGAAAGTGGGCCAGGGGCAATGTGTAACTTAATTTCTTAGATTTGGAGAAAGGACATTTGTGATAGGAGAAATAAAGGTAATAAATGCCATCTATTTTAACTGACTTCTTTTTCAAGCAGGACGATCTGCTCAGGGCAGTTCAAGCCCAGTGCCCTCAATGGTACAGAAATCACCCAGGATAACCCCTCCAGCGGCAAAGCCAGGCTCTCCCCAGGTATGTTTAAATTCAGCTTGCAATGTTTGTGTTTATTAATTTACTGCCCCAAGCATACCTATGAATAAAATGAGTTTTCATGTTTTATAATTCAGACCTTGGACATAGTAATTGGGACTATGTGATAGTAAATACCAAAGTGCGAGGTTTGAATACTTGTATACTCGTAAAAGCCATTTAGCTATTTTAATTTTTTATTCATGTATAATACAAATAGAAAAAAGTACACATGATACATGTACAGCTCAGTGAATTGTCAACAACTGAACATACCTTGGTAACTAGCATCCAGATCAAGAAACAGAATTTTACGAGAACCTGGCTGGGCACAGTGGGTCATGCCTGTAATCCCAGCACTTTGGGAGGCCAAGGCGGGCGGATCACCTGAGGCCAGTAGTTCGAGACTAGCCTGGTCGACATGGTGAAACCCCGTCTCTACTAAAAACGCAAAAATTAGCCGGGCGTGGTGGCACGTACTTGTAGTCCCAGCTCCTGAGGAGGCTGAGGCATGAGAATCACTTGAACCCGGGAGGCGGAGGCCAGAACCCCAGAGTTCTTTTTCACCTGTCCCCTTCTAGTCACTACTCTTGCCAAAGAGTAGCTGATTTGATTTCCAACAGCATAGATGAGGTTAGCCTGCCTGTACCTCCTATCAAGTGGATTTGTACAGTATGTATTCTTGTATCTGGCTGCTTTGTTCAACATTATGTTTGTGAGATTTATCCATGTCGTTGTATGGAATTTATTGTGTGATTATATTACAACTATTTGTTCCACTCTGATGGGCGCTTGAGTAGTTTCCAGGTTTAAGCCATTGTATGTAGCACTGCTATGACCGTTCCAGTTGACATCTTCAATGAACACATATGCAAGTTTCTCTTGGGTGTATCCCTATGAGTGAGATTGCTGGGTCATAGAATCTGCATGTATTCCTCATTAGTAGATTCCCACCAAGAGTGTATGAGACTTCTGGCTGCTCCACATACTTGCCACTCTTGGTATTTTTCATCTTTTGTTGTATGGTTTTGTGGTTTTAATTTGTATTTCTCTAATGATTAGCAAAATTAAGCTTTTTAAAAGATGATTATTGGCCATTTGAATATTTTCTTTTATGTTGTGTCTGTTCATGTCTTTATTCTGTTTTTCTGTTGGATTGTCTGGCTTTTTCCTTCTGATTTTTAAGAGTGAGTTCCTTGAATACACACACACACGCACACACATACAGTGCAAATATGTTCTCACTGTGAATTGTCTATTCATTGTCTTTTTTGTTTCTTTGATGAATACACATTCTTCATTTTAATATAATTAAGTATATCAGTTTTTTCTTTTATGATTAATGCTTTTCATGTTTTAGAAATAATTTTCTATTTCAAGGTCAAAAAGATGTTTTTCTAAAAGCTTTATTATTTTATCTTTCATATTTAGATTTGTAGTCCATCATCTCAGTTTATTTTTATGGTATAATGTAAAGAGAATTGTATGTCAGTTTCCCACGTGATTACTTGAGTGCCCTGAGAATAAGCGTTATGTCTTTTCCTTTCTGTGTCCCTCTAACCAACCCTTGTACCCTAACACACACCTGTACTAGGTACATAGTAAGTGCCCAGGTCACAGTTCACGGTGTGGCATGATGCATGACATACAGTGTTTGTCAAATAAATGTTTGCTGTTAATGAATGCTGATGCAGTCTAAGACCTCTCTAGTGTTAATCGTTGTAAGTATCAAATAGTCTAAAGGGCATTTCAAATTATAGTATCTTTAAAGCAGAACTCTTGATTTCTGTCTCCCCTAGAGGCTAGTCCTTTTCCAATGGGTAAGTAGCACTAACAAACCAGATGTTTGCACAAGCCCCAAGCCCCGAAGCATCCTAGATCCCTCTCTTTAACAGTACCTGTCCCCAGTCCAGGCTGGCGGGAGGTCTTGTCAGCTCCACCCTCTGCTGTGTCACATGTCATAAGCCCACAGCTCTGTCCCCCTGCTAGCATCCTGTGTCAAGCTGTTGCACCTCTCACCTTGTTAACCTCTCGACTACTCTCTCTGCTATCCCTGCTCTACATAGCAGCAAGAGGGATCTTTTAAATCATAAAGGAGATTTAAACTCTTGTAAAACACCAGTAGTAGCTTTCCAACACGTTTAGAATAGAACCCAAACTCCTTGGTGTGACCTTATATGACCTACCCCGGCCTGCCTTCCTGACTCTACCCCTGCCCTCTACAACGCCTCCCCTGACTTCACAGAGCCCACATTTACTTTTTTTCTTTGCTAAGGTTTCTCCTGCCTTGAGACCTCTGCACTTGCCTTTCTTGGTGCCTGGCAGGTGCTTCCTGAAGATCTCATAGCTTGCTTTCTGCTTGCAGCCTCCGTTCAGATGGCAGCCCGCAGTGAGGGCTTTCTTGGCCATCTCATCTGAAGTAGTGCCCTTTTTTATTCTCTTTATGTTTCCCTGTTTGTTCTCCAACTGAAATTATCAGATGTGTTTATATTTTATTATTCAACATGTCCCAGTAGGAGGTAAGTTCCATAAGAGTTGGGCCCTCATCTACTTGTTCACCTCTACCTGCACTGTCTAGAACATGCCTTACACAAAGTAGAGACCCTATAAATAAGGATTCGTTACAATGAGTGAAGAAATAATGACTGTGTTACAGGAGCGCCACTCCCTGTAATAGGCTCTGATATAATTGCTTGTAGAAGCTATGACTTGCAGTTTTTAAACCTTTTCCTTCCATTTCAGGCAAAGTCACTTCAGCCTGCTGTTGCAGAAAAGCAGGGACATCAGTGGAAAGATTCAGATCCTGTAATGGCTGGAATTGGGGAGGAGGTAAATTTGTTTCCTGAGGGTGTTTTTCTGAAAGTAGCTGACAGACTTGGATGGGTCAGAGTGCCAACCCCTGTATGACTAGTTAGTTCATTCTAGCGCTGAAGCATGGCCCATCCCAGCAGTCTGAGCAGTTAGTAAGCACGATAGCAGTGACATTACTGTTTGTCCTTCAGACTGAGTAGTTCCTCACTTGTGGCTTCTACAGATTGCACACTTTCAGAAGGAGTTGGAAGAGTTAAAAGCCCGAACTTCCAAAGCCTGTTTCCAAGTGGGCACTTCTGAGGAGATGAAGATGCTGCGAACAGAATCAGATGACTTGCATACCTTTCTTTTGGAGATTAAAGAGACCACAGAGGTTTGTGTTTATGGATACTTTTCCTGAGTTGAATTGCATTTAACAATTTTTTTCTCCTAGTACTCCATGGGGTTATGTACTTTATTTCTTCAAGGACCACCAGTGTTGTTGTTTTTTTAACGTGGCTGAGTAGCTTGCCTAGAATCCCTGAGTTCAAATCCTACCTTCAGCACTTAATAAATTATGTGACTTTGGGCAAGTTAACCTCGTTACTCTATTTTTCAGTTTTCTCATCATAAGATGGACTAAGTTTCTATCCCTTTGATGCATACTGTGCACTCCATAAAATTTATTATAATTGTTAATTTAATTTAGGTTTATTTGAAATTTTACTATCTCAAATAGTGTTCGATTTTTAAAAAAGGATATTTTAGGACATATGCAGTATGAAAATATTAAATGCTGGGTGTTAATAGTGTTAATTATTGTAACCATTATTACTACTTACTGTGTGCCAGGCACTGTGCCAAACGCATCACTTGTATTATCTCACTGAATCCTCACAACTTTGCTGTGTCATACATACTGTTACCCTATTTTGCAAGTCAGGAAACTGAGGCTTAGGCAAATTTGTCAAAAGTCACCCACTTAGCAAGTGGTAGTGCCAGAATTCTGCTTCAGACTCTCTGATTCCAGAGTTCGGGTCTTAAATAGTGTGTTTGGAAAGAGGCAAGTTCTTTAGAGTGTTAGCAGTAATTATCTTCACATAGTAGTGTTAGAGCTACTGTCTTTGTATTTTCTGCATTTTCAATCATTAGAATGTATTTTTTCAATGGGGATGAAAAATAAATATAAAAAAAGAACATTAGTGTCGTTCTAAACAGTTAAATTCTTTTTTTACCTGAGTTAAATATGTTCAGATGTTCATTCTGTTCAGTGAGCGTTTGAGAAACACCACCTTCCTTGATCCAAACAGAAAGATTTGGACGTAACAACTTTTTGTACCAACACATTATTGTACTTTTTCTAGTCGCTTCATGGAGATATAAGTAGCCTGAAAACAACTTTACTTGAGGGCTTTGCTGGTGTTGAGGAAGCCAGAGAACAAAATGAAAGAAATCGTGACTCTGGTTATCTGCATTTGCTTTATAAAAGACCACTGGATCCCAAGAGTGAAGCTCAGCTTCAGGTAGGAGATCTATGTAAATCTGTTTAAAAGATTTAAAAACAAGCTCATGTAACAATTGCTACCTCTTTTTGCATATAGATTTGGATGATGGCTCTTTTTGAAGTTGTTGATTTTCTGCTTATAATTTACCACATTTCCCGTAAACTTCCTTAACTGTGGCAAACAGTACACTTCATGTAATTATGTAATTTTTTTCACTTAAAACATAGATTTTTTTTAAAATACTTTTTTTCTTGAGACAGGGTCTTCTCACTCTGTTGCCCAGGCTAGTGTGCAATGGTGTGATCCCAGCTCACTGCAGCCTTACTTCCTGGGCTTACGTGATCCTCCTGCCTCAGCCTCCTGAGTAGCCAGGACCACAGGCATGTGCCACCACACTTGGCTAATTTTTAATATTTTATTTGGAGAGATAAGGTGTTACTATGCTGCCCAGCCCAGCTGGTCTTGAACTCCTGGGGTCAAGCAGTCCTCCTGCCTTGGCCTCCCAAAGTGCTGGAATTACACGCGTGACTGGCCAAAATTTTTTATTAAACCTTAAGCTTAATAGAGAATACTCTGTTGAAACATGTAAGTTGAATTATAAATAAATAATAATTATAAATAAATAATAAAAATAAATAATAATTATTAAAGTGGCAACTATTTCTTGAGTGCCATTTAATCTGCTAGGTGTTTCTTATGCATTATTTCTAGCCTTCAAAGCCAGCTGCTCTGCAAGGTAAGAGTTACTGGTCCCTGTAGCCCATTATACAGGTAACTGGAAATTAAATTTCATAGGCTAAGTAGCTTGTCCAAAGTCATGTTGGCTAGGAAACGGGGAACCAGAATTGAAACCTCCATTTGCCTGAGCTCTTTTCTGTATGCTACACTTAACTTTTCTCTTGAAAAAAAATTTTTTTTTTTTTGAGACTGAGTCTCGCACTGTCGCCTGGGCTGAAGTGGCACCATCACAGCTCACTGCAGCCTCAACCTCTGGGCTCAAGTGATCCTCCCACCTCAGCCTCCCACATAGTTGGGAGTACAGGTGTGTGCCACCACACCCAGCTGATTTTTAAATTTTTTGTAGAGATGGGGTCTCACTACATTATCCAGGCTGGTCTCGAACTCCTGAGCTCAAGTCACCCTCCTGTCTTTGTAATCCCAAAATTCTGGGGTTACAGGTGTGAGCCACTATTCTTAATTATTCTTAATCTCTGCTTTTGCTAATCGGATTTTGCTTTCCATCTTTCAGTGTACACCGAATCATTGTGTCACTGGCCTTAGTGTGGGGGTCCTCTTCTGCTATCTCACATTTGTCTGGAATTCCAGCGGGAAGCGTTCACTGGCATCTCTGGTCTTCCTCATGACATCTGTGGGGTTTGCAGGTGTGATGAATCATTCTTGCCTCAGAGAATTTGAGGCCTCAAACTTTATTGTTCCCCAGTGTTTCTGTCCCACACCTGGTCAACTTACTGAAAATTAAAAAAAAAAAAGAAAAATGGTTCCTTCTTCAAGATAGATTGCAGAGCCCTTGCTGTGATCTGCAGCCCTCTGGTATTCCTGATGCGTCCTCTTTCCACTGTGGATATTACCTCTCAGCAAGAGAGTGCTGCCTGCCTACTGCTCATCAAATTACAGGCATCCGCTCTGCATCCGAGCTACATGTTGTTCCTATGTGCCTTTCCACCTCTTTCTCTATTGACAAACTAAGAGGAAAGCATACAGCTTTAGGGAGACACTTATTCAGGAGGGAATAATTTTCTTTTTTCATGGTGCTAAGTAGATAATACTAGTTAGCATGTATTGAGTGTTTACTATGGACAATGCACAGATGATGAAACCAAGATAACTGAAACTGCCCAGGTTTTACCACTAATAAACCTTGAAACCTTGAACCTGGGCAGTCTGACTCAAGAGCCTGTGCTCGTACTCAAGAGTCTGGTTTACAGTTCATGCAGGTTTACAATTCACTCGGGTTTGCAATTCCTGCAGTTGGGTAAGTGACAGAGAGAAAGACGAACATGTAAATGTAGTGTGGGATATGTTGCTATGGGACCACAGGTGAGGGAGCAGCCGAGCCAGAGAAAAGAAGTATTTGTGATAGGCTTTAAAAGAAGAATTGTTTTTGGCTGGTGGGCACAATTGGGAGGGCATTCCAAAGAAACAGCAGCAGCTAACGCAGAGGTGTGGTTGTATCTGAAGTGATCAAAGGAAAGAGCCTCGGTGAGTTGAAAGTTACATTTGCTACTAAGGTTACTTCTACTTCTCTTGAATCATCTTGGCTCTTTTAAAATTACATTTTCTCTTTTTCAGATAGGACATAGACCCTTATCCACAAAATAATTTTTTTTTAATTTTTAAAAATTTCAATAGTTTTTGGGGGACAAGTGGTGTTTGGTTACATGGTTAAGTTCTTTAGTGGTGATTTCTGAGATTTTGGTGCACCCATCATCCAAGCAGTGTACACTGTACCCCAATGTGTAGTATTTTAGCCCTTACCGCCCTCTCTCCTTTCCCCCCAAGTCTCCAGAGTCCATTGTATCATTCTGTCTATCTATCTGTCTGTCTGTCTGTCTATCTATCTATTTATTTATTCATTCAGAGACAGTCTCACTCTGTCACCCAGGCTGGAGTGCAGTGGCGTGATCTTGGCTCACTGCATCCTCTTTCACCGTGTTGGCCAGGCTGGTCTTGAACTCCTGACTTCAAGTGATCTGCCCGTCTTGGTCTCCCAAAGTGCTAGGATTACAGGCGTGAGCCACCGCGCCTGTTCCGTTGTATCATTCTTATCCCTTTGCATCCTCATAGTTTAGCTCCTGCTCATAAATGAGAACAAATGGTGTTTGGTTTTCAATTCCTGAGTTACTTCACTTAGAATAATGGTCTCCAGCTCCATCTAGGTTGCTGCAAATGCCATTATTTCATTCCTTTTTATGGCTGAGTAGTAGTAGTTGTGTGTGTGTGTGTGTGCGCACGCGCACGCTCGCGTGTGTGTCACATTTTCTTTATCCACTCGTTGATTGATGGGCATTTGGGCTCGTTCCATATTTTTGCAATTGTGAATTGTGCTGCTGTAAACATGCGTGTGCAAGTGTCTTTTTCATGTAATGACTTCTTTTCCTCTGGGTAGATACACAGTAGTAGGATTGCTGGATCAAATGGTAGGTACTTTTAGTTCTTTAAGAAATCTCCATATTGTTTTCTGTAGTGGTTGTACTAGTTTACATTCCCAACAGCAGTGTAAAAGTGTTCCCTTTTCACCACATCCACACCAACATCTATTATTTTTTGATTTTTAAATTACGGCCATTCTTGCAGAAGTAAGACGGTATTGCATTGTGGTTTTGATTTGCATTTGCCTGATAATTAGTGATGTTAAGCATTTTTTTGGATGTTTGTCAACCATTTGTATATCTTTTAAGAATTGTCTGTTCATGTCCTTAGCCCACTTTTTGATGGGATTGTTTGTTTTGTTCTTGCTGATATGTTTGAGTTCCTTATAGATTCTGGATATTAGTCCATTGTCGAATGCATAGTTTGTGAAAATTTTCTCCCACTCTGTGAGTTGTCTGTTTACTCTGCTGATTATTTCTTTTGCTGTGCAGAAGCTTAATTAAGTCCCATCTATTTACCTTTTTGTTGCATTCGCTTTTGGATTCTTGGTCATGAACTCCTTGCCTAAGTCAATGTCTGTAAGAGTTTTTCTGATGTTATCTTCTAGAATTTTTATGGTTTCAAGTCTTAGATTTAAGTCTTCGATCCATCTTGAGTTGATTTTTGTATAAGGTGAGAGATGAGGATCCAGTTTCATTCTTTTACATGTGGCTTGCCAATTATCCCAGCACTATTTGTTGAATAGGGTGTCCTTCCCCCACTTTATGTTTTTTGTTTGCTTTGTTGAAGATCAGTTGGCTCTAATAATTTGGCTTTATTTCTGGGTTCTCTATTCTTTTCCATTGGTCTGTCTGCCTATTTTTGTACCTGTACCATGGTGTTTTGGTGACTATAGGCTTGTAGTATAGTTTGAAGTCAGATAACGTGATACCTCCAGATTTGTTCTTTTTGCTTATTCTTGCTTTGACTATGTGGGCTCTTTTTAGTTTTATATGAATTTTAGGATTGTTTTTTCTAGTTCTGTGAAGAATGATGATGGTATTTTGATGAGAATTGCATTGAATTTGTAAATTGTTTTTGACAGCATGGTCATTTTCACAATATTGATTCTACCCATCCATGAGCATGGGATGTATTTCTGTCTTTTTTTTTTTTTTTTTTTTGAGACGGAGTCTTGCTCTGTCACCCAGGCTGGAGTACAGTGGCACGATCTCGGCTCACTGCAAGCTCCACCTCCCGGGTTCACGCCATCCTCCTGCCTCAGCCTCCTGAGTAGCTGGAACTACAGGCGCCTGCCACCACGCCCGGCTAATTTTTTGTATTTTCAGTAGAGACGGGGTTTCACTGTGTTAGCCAGGATGGTCTCGATCTCCTGACCTCATGATCCACCCGCCTAGGCCTCCCAAAGTGCTGGGATTACAAGCATGAGCCACTGCGCCCGGCTGAGCATGGGATGTATTTCTATTTGTTTGTGTCGTTTCCATTTGTGTCGTCTATGATTTCTTTCAGCAGTGTTTTGTAGTTTTCCTTGTAGAGGTCTTTTGCCTCCTTGGTTAGGTATATTCCTAAGTTTTTTTTTTTTTGTTCTTTTTTTTTTTGCAGCTATTATAAAAGGGGTTGTTGTTTATTTGATTCTCAGCTTGGTCGCTGTTGGTGTATAGCAGTGCTACTGATTTGTGTACATTGATTTTGTATCCTGAAAGTTTACTGAATTCGTTTATCAGATCTAGGACCTTTTTGGATGAGTCTTTAGGGTTTTTTAGGTACATGATCATAACATCGGCAAACAGCGACAGTTTGACTTTCTCTTTATCAGTTTGGACGCGCTTTATTTTTTCTCTTGTCTGTGCCAGCTACACAAATAATTTTGAAAATACATTTAAACATAATAAGATCTCTCTACAGATGTAAACTGCTTTTCCTAGTGTATAGCACATTATCTCCATTTGTAGACATACTTAATTGAATGCCTCAGTTTTATTTTATTTTTTTTTAGGAGACAGAGTTTTGCTATGTAGCCCAGGAGTGCAAAGGCTATTCACAGGCATGATTATGGTGCACAAAAGCCTCGAATTCCTGGGCCCAGGTGATCCTCCTAACTCATCCTCCTGAGTAGCTGGGTCTACAAGTGTACGCTACCACGTTTAGCTCTGTTTTTTTTTTTGTTTTGTTTTGTTTTTTAATTTTGGACACGGTCTTTCTCTGTTGCTTGGGCCAGAGTGTGTGGTGCGGTGGCACGATCCTAGCTCACTGCAGCCTCGAACTCGGGCTCAAGTGATCCTTCTGCTTCAGCCTCCTAAGTAGCTAGGACTACAGGCACACGCCACCATGTCTGGCTAATTTTTAAAATTTTTGTAGAGATGGGGCCTTGCTGTGTTGCCCAAGCAGGTCTCGAACACCTGGGCCCTAGCACTCCTACTGACTTGGCCTCCCAAAGTGTGAGATTACAGGTGTGAGCCACTGTGTCTGGCGTTTTTTTTTTTTTTTTTTTTTTTGAGAGAGAGTCTCACTCTGTTGCCCAGGCTGGAGTGCAGTGGTGCGATCTCAGCTCACTGCAACCTCAGCCTCCTGGGTTCATGTAGTTCTCCTGCCTCAGCCACCTGAGTAGCTGGAATTACAGGCGTGCACCACCACTCCCAGCTAATTTTTGTTTTTTGTTTTTTGTGTTTTGTTTTGGAGACAGGGTCTCACTCTTTCACCCAGGTTGGAGTGCAGTGGCATGATCTCAGCTCACTGCGACTTCCACCTCCCAGGTTCAAGAGATTCTCCTGCCTCAGCCTCTGGAGTAGCTGGGATTACAGGCGCGCGCCACCACACCCGGGTAATTCTTGTATTTTTAGTAGAGATGGGGTTTCACCGTGTTGACCAGGCTGGTTTCAAACTCCTGGCCTCAAGTGATCCACCTGCTTTGGCCTCCCAAAGTACTGGGATTACAGGCATGAGCCACTGCACCCAGCTCTAATTTTTGTATTTTTAGTAGAGATGGGGTTTCACCATGTTGGCCAGGCTGGTCTCGAGCTCCTGACCTCGAGTAATACACCCGTCCTGGCCTCCCAAAGTGCTGGGATTACATGCATGAGCCACCATGCCCGGCCTGATTTTTTGTTTAGAGACAGTGTCTTGCTCTGTTGCCCAGGCCGGAGTGCAGTGGCGTGATCTCAGCTCACTGCAGCCTCCGCCTCCTGTGTTCAAGTGATTCTTGTGCCTCAGCCTCCCAAGTACCTGGGATTATAGGCATGCATCACCCTGCCCAGCTAATTTTTGTATTTTTAGTCAAGGCGGGATTTCACCATGTTAGCCAGGCTGGTCTGGAAGTCCTGGCCTCAGGTGATCTGCCCACCTTGGCTTCCCAAAGTGCTGAGATTACAGGTGTGAGCCACAGCGCCCAGCCACCTGGCCTGTTTTTAATTTTTGAGAATCAAGTTGCATAGCCATGAAGGTTAACAGTCGCCCAAAATTTAAATAAAATTATTGCAGGCCTATAATAAGTTAAATAGCTAAAATTTTAAATAATGACAGATTCAGTTTTTAGTGCTGATAGTGTTCTTTGATTTTGCAAACAAATGAGTATTTCTCAAATGGGAAGATGACTTATATGTTCTATGCTGTGAATAGATAGGTTTAGAATTACTTTCAGCACCGTTTTGTCTCCATTACAGTTAATTTTATGGGTGGGAGAGCAAAATCTAAATGGATGCACTGTCTGAGTACCAGAATGGAATGGAAAATTCCCAGACCATGGAACTGAGAAATGAGAATTAAGCAAGAACATTTGTTCCCTGGGGGCCTAGGCAGCCATACCCATTCTGTTTCCCTTTTCATTGTACCACCTCTCTGCCACCTCTGCCTCCTGGGTTCAAGTGATTCCCCTGCCTCAGCCTCCTGAGTAGCTGGGATTACAGGCACCTGCCACCCTGCCTGGCTAATTTTTGTGTTTTTAGTAGAGACGGGGTTTTACCATGTTGGCCAGGCTGATCTTGAGCTCCTGACCTCAAGTGATCTGCTTGCCTCAGCCTCCCAAAGTGAGGAGCCACCACTCCTGGCCAATTTTGTTTTTCATTTTAATTATAAAGTTTTTTTATGTAACTTTTTTATTTGTATACATTATTAGAGACAGAGTCTTGCTGTGTTGCCCAGGCTGATCTTTAACTCCTGGCTTCAAGCAGTCCTCCTGCCTTGGCCTCCCAGGGTGTTGGGATTATAGGCCTGAGCCACTACACCCGGCCTCATTTTAATTATATAGTTTTAAAAATCGTATTAAAACCTATTCTGTTTTCCTTGTTCATTATGGTTCTTAATATAGAAGTATTTTAGAATTCTTTTGACTGTTTTGATACATCTTCCCCCAAACTATCAGAAAAACAAGTTATTTGCCTTTTAATTTTTTTCTTATAGGAAATTCGGCGCCTTCATCAGTATGTGAAATTTGCTGTCCAAGATGTGAATGATGTTCTAGACTTGGAGTGGGATCAGCATCTGGAACAAAAGAAAAAACAAAGGTGAATGAGATCTCTCATCTGCAATGTGTTGGAATAGATATTGCTATTGCCATTTTAAAAAGGTTATTTAGGAACATATGAAAATCCCAGGCCGGGTGCGGTGGCTCACGCCTGTAATCCCAGCACTTTGGCAGGCCGAGGCGAGTGGATCACCTGAGATCGGGAGTTCGAGACCAGCCTGACCAACATGGAGAAACCCTGTCTCTACCAAAAACACAAAATTAGCCGGGCATGGTGGCACATGCCTATAATCCCAGCTACTATGGAGGCTGAGGCAGGAGAATCGCTTGAACCCAGGAGGCGGAGGTTGCAGTGAGCTGAGATCGTGCCACTGCCCTCCAGCCTGGGCAACAAGAGCGAAATTCCCATCTCAAAAAAAAAAAAACAAGAAAGAGAAAATCTCTACAAAACGTTCATTCTTTTTAACAGTCATTCTACTTGAAATATTTTTCTATAGAAACAACAAATGATACTCAGTAATTTACATAAAATAATTTATATTGCAGTATAATTTATGATAGTGAAAAATTGGATTCAGCCTAATTATCTAAAGGTACAGGAGTGGCTAAATAAATATGGTCGCTTTTTTTCTTAACTACAGAATACCCTGTAACCATTGACTAGCATGTTCTCCAATAAATTATTTAATATATTGAATACATATTCTATGTTCTACAAAATGTATGAATATATAACTATTTCGCTATAATTATTAGATGTAATATAAAAATTTAATAAGTAAAAAGACAAAAGCATATTGGCTAATAAGAATGTGGAGGTACAAAAGTAAATAGATGTAACAAAATATTCGTAGTTATATCTGCAAAACGGGATTAAGGAGAATTTTCCGTAATACTCTTCTGTATATTTCAAATTTTCTTTTTTAGAAAACATTTGTAATTAGTGTGGATAATTAAAAAGATGAGAGAAATGATGGCAAAGTAATGGGAAAACCTTTTAGCATAGTTTTTTATCCCTAGATATTTGGTTTTAAGCCACATATTTTCCACAAGGAGTAGAATGTCATGCACCATGAGAGCATGAAGTGCCCATTAGAAATTTGAAAAATGAATCAGCCATGAAATGTTAGATTTCTGAAACACCTACACTTGATTAATGATTAGCTAGCCCTGTATGAAAACAAACCAAGAAATGGTCTATTTGATGTACTTTTCAGTGGGACAACCTGGGTGTGATATCAGGGACAGGACTATAATATGCTTATAATTTAGTAAGCACAATTCAATAAATTACATTGTGTTATGTGGAGAAAGGCTAAAAATCCCAACTGGAGGACCCTCAGCTTGCAGCATAGATAGGTATAGGGAGATAGAAGTGAGAAGCTCTCCTCCGCCACTATCTAAGGGGAGAATTCTGTGGCCTGTGGACTGGAGCACTTGTCTCCATGGGCAGTGGGGCCCCATTAGAGAACTAGCTCACACACCTGGTTCTGATTCATGTTTAACCATATGGTTTGCTTTCCCACAAGGGAAACAATGGTCTAACCTTACAGTGGGTACATTCTGCTCTGCTCAATGGTTGTATTTCTTTTTGGTAATTAACAAGTTAGCCTTGTAAGAAAGTGCATGATGCTTAAAGAGAAGCCAAGCTTTTTTTTCCTTTGTAACAATTCTGTGGATTTACTACTTATGCTTTTCTGAGTTCTCTTTCTGCAGAGTTCAAATTCTTAAATCTGTACAATTTTCTATTTTGATAGCACTTCTCTGTTTCAGGGCCATCCCTGAATATTACCTTGAACCCTATTGAAATGCCTTTTTTTTTTTTTTTTGAGACTAAGTCTCGCTGTGTCACCCATATTGGAGTGCAGTGGCGCGATCTCGGCTCACTGCAACCTCCGCCTCCGGGGTTCAGGCGATTCTCCTGCCTCAGCCTCCTTGAGTAGCTGGGATTACAGGTGCGTGCCACCACACCTGGCTAATTTTTGTATTTTTAGTAGAGATGGGGTTTCACCATGTTGGTTAGGCTGGTCTCCAACTCCTGACCTCGTGATCCACCCACCTCGCCCTCCCAGAGTGCTGGGATTACAGGCGTGAGCCACCGCGCCTGGCCTGAAATGCCTTTTAAAAATTATATGTTGAACTACCTTGTTACCAGAGGCAGTCATTCAAGTCAGCCCTGAACTCAAAGAGGTAATGGGAAAAAGGGAAATAAATCCAGAGGTTTCTGTTTAGCAAGCATTTTTCATTCCATGATTTGTGTTGAGGCAAAATATACATAGAGTCACTTGTTGCTTAACGTGCGTTCTGAGAATTTCATTGTTAGGCGATTTTGTCATTATATGATCATCACAGAATGTGCTTACACTATGTGTACTTATTACCTAGATGACATCACCTATTACACACCTAGGCGCTTATGGTGTATAGCCTGTTGCTCCTAGACCACAGTACCATACAGCAAGCTTGTCCAACCCACGGCCTGCAGGCTTCATGTGGCCCAGGACAGCTTTGAATGCAATCCAACACAAATTCGTAAACTTTCTTAAAACATTCTGAGATTTTTTTGATTTTTTTTTTAAGCTTATCAGCCAGCATTAGTATATTTTATGTGTGGCCCAAGACAATTCTTCCTCCAGTGTGGCCCAGGGAAGCAAAAGATTAGACACCCCTGCTGTACAGCATGGTTTTGTACTGACTACTATAGACAATTGTAACACAAATCACTAGGCAATAGGAATTCAGCTCTACTGTAATCTTATAGGATCATCGTTGTATATGCAGTCCATCATTGACCAAAATGTCGTTATGTGGCACATGACTGTATTGACATACCATAGCAAAGAAAATTTGGTTTATAACTGATGTGGGATTATTCCTTATGTTTTTATATGTATGATTTTTCCTATCCCCTCTGCAAATTAATGCAGTCAGAAAAAAATTTCAAAGCTACTTAAAGATTTCTACTGAAAAGCGGAAGCAAATAGACCTGTCGCCCTCTACAGTCAGACCTACTTCCCAGAGGCAGCTACTGTTGTCTCTGTCTTGTTTTAGTTCTTTTGGGCAGGTTACCTTCCTGATGCTAAATCTTATGCTGTCCCCCTATTTCTTGACAATAGTCTGAAGAATTAACTGACTCCCATAGACTTCCAGTGAACCTTTTTTTTTTAATTGAATATAATTTACATTCAGAAAAACAGATAAATTCTAAGTAGAAAGCTGACTGGCTTTTTCCTGGTTCCTGACTCACACCTCACTCCTGCCCTTTTCTTCCCAGGGCCTCTCTCAGGTTTCACCTAATGTATGCTGTCCTTTGCTACAGGACTGGCCTGCCTGTTTCCAGCTGTTTTCTCCACATTCCATTTTATCTTCATTAGGCTTTCATCTCCTTTTTATTTTCTAGTAATTTCTTAATGGTTCTTGTCCAGTGCTGGTTCTCCATTTTATCATTTTCACTGTTACCATTGTAGTCTTGTTTGTTTTTTTACTGGGAGATTCCTTTACTTGAACCATTCATGTTTAATTCTTTTCTCATTGTTGTCAACAGGCACCTGCTTGTGCCAGAGCGAGAGACACTGTTTAACACCCTAGCCAACAATCGGGAAATCATCAACCAACAGAGGAAGAGGCTGAATCACCTGGTGGATAGTCTTCAGCAGCTCCGCCTTTACAAACAGACTTCCCTGTGGAGCCTGTCCTCGGCTGTTCCTTCCCAGAGCAGCATTCACAGGTGTGGAGAGGACTTGCACTCAATAAATATGGGTGAATGAATGCATGAACATTTAGGGAGTCTTAGAGTGGTTCAGATATGGGTTTGCAAGTGACTCTGTGTCTCTCACCTGTGTAATCCTGGTCAGGGTCCCACCCTCTCTGATCCTTTGTTTCTTTGCCTAAAAAATGAGGATGACAATACCTGCTTCGTGGGATTGTTGGAGAGTTAAATTAAGTCTGTAAAATATTACACTGATGAAATGGGTGCTGAATATATCATAGCAAGTGATACACCATAGTAACAGTGTCATGGTTTGATTGAAAATCAGCTGATAGGATTAAGTTGACTGACTTGTTTCTGAAGCCCAGATTTGCCATTCTGCTTGAATGGGGGGACTTTCAGACCCTGGCAGATTGACAGTTTGCCTTGAGTTTACCAAAATGGTTTTGTGTTTATGCTTTTAGGCCAAATGTATAAATTTTAATTACTTTTTCTACTGAGGCACCATCATGTTGTGTTTGAGGTGGAGATGGTATATAATATGATTGTGATCTCACTTCTTTTAGATTAATTCCATCAGTTGGTCAGATGGCATGTTTATATATTGGGGATATTCTCATGTCTTGCATTTATATTTAAGAGGATAGTGTACCCCCGACAGCCTCCGATCTTTCAGCTCCTAGTTGGTCTGTATCTAACACTGTTCTGTTTCAGTTTTGACAGTGACCTGGAAAGCCTGTGCAATGCTTTGTTGAAAACCACCATAGAATCTCACACCAAATCCTTGCCCAAAGTACCAGGTAATTGCATCCTTCCCAGTCTTTTAACTCCCTTTATTCTCTTCCAAGTACTGATATCTTAAAAACTGAGTCTTAATCATTTATGGGTTTATGGATTTCTTGCAGCCAAACTGTCCCCCATGAAACAGGCACAACTGAGAAACTTCTTGGCCAAGAGGAAGACCCCACCAGTGAGATCCACTGCTCCAGGTAAAGAGAACCAGTAACTGGGCCTGTACATAGTGATAGGGTGTGGTGGGGTGTGTGTGTGTGCGCGCGCACATGCACGTGTGCATGTGTGAGCTAGGGTGCTGTGTATGTGTGTGTAAGTGTGTGTGTGTTGGTTCTTAATAGGGGATAGAGAAAATGTCTCCAGAATCTGTTGTTAATCTGAATAGTGGAATAAGAACCAGCTTATATATACTTGATGAAGCAGCAAAGTAGTCGTTTTGGCTTTTACACTGTTTTCTGCAGTCCTCAAGTTTTATGGCACTGATTCACAAGGGTTTGAGATAGGCTGAGCTGGATCCTAGCCTCTGCTTTAGCCAGAGAAGGTTTACTTTTCTGATTTGTGTTGGGTTTTGAGTAAGTTTGCATCTGGGAAAAAGGCATTTTAAAAAATAAATAAATAATAGAAAAAAATAAAAGACGAGGTCTCCCCATGTTGCCCAGGCTGTTCTCAAACTCCTGGGTTCAAGTTATCCTCCTGCCTCAGCCTCCCAGAGTGCTGGGATTACAGGTATGAGCCACTGTGCCTTGCCGAAAAAGGCTTCTTTTATGAAAAAAGAAGAAAAAAATAAGATTAAGCAATGTTGATTAAAAATACTTACTTAAAAATACTTGCTTAAAGAAGCCATAAATTTTTTTCCCATTACATTACCTAGATAATAACTTCAATTTAAAGAAAAATTTGTGACAATTTTAGGCATAACTGCTTTGTTTTAGTATCCATATCCAAATTTTTCTTTGAGATTCTGTTTTCAGTTAAAATTTTTTTATGCCAATAACAAATGCTTTTGGTAATCAGAATAACTGAAAGAAATTTAATCTTACTGATTTATTTTTCTGTACTCACATAGAGCTAAATTAGATAAATAATAGTCACAGACAAGTTAATTTTCAAATAATTTTTCTTTACCTAAAGAATACATTCTCTTGGTAGGTAATTGGGAAAAATATGGAAAGTATAAAGGAGAATAAAAAATATTAGCTGAGTGCGGTGGCATGCACCTGTAATCTTAGCTCTTCAGGTGGCTGAGGCAGGAGGGTTGCTTGAGCCTGCAGCTGCAGTGAGCTATGGTCATGCCACTGCACTCCAGCCTGAGCAACAGAATCTCTAAAAAAAATTAAAAAGTTAAAAAATTACTCTCTCTCAACCCAGATATGGCCTCACTTAGTTATTTTGGTTTAGTTCCAAACTTTTTTCTTTGCATATGTAAATCTGATTTATTTTAAAATGAAATTGAGATTATAACAGTTTTGTGTCTTGATTTTTTTCTAATTTAAAATTCATGAGCCCTTACTATTAAACAAAATAAATGCTGGTGGTGAAGATATGGAAAAAATGGAAGCTTTGTGCACTATTGGTGGGAATGTGAAATGGTAAAGCCACTGTAGAAAACAGTTTGGTGGTTCCTCAAAAAATTAAAAATGTGATTACTGGATGATCCAGCAATTTCACTTCTGGGTATATACCCCAAATAATTGAAAATAAGGTTTCAAAGAGATACTTTTGTATCCATGCTCATGACAGCATTATTGGTAATAGCCAAGAGGTGGAAACAGTGTGTCTGTTAATGAATGAATGGATAAACAAAATGTCTGTCTATACAATGGAATATTATTCAGTCTTTAAAAAGGAATTTTTGACACATGTTACAATATAAGTGAACCTTGAGGACATTGTGCTAAGTGTCCTCAAATAGACAAATACTGTATGATTCCACTTATATGAAGTATCTAGAGACATCAAATTCATAGAGATGGAAACAAGAATAGGGGTTGCCTGAAGGACTGAGGTGGGGGGTCATGGGGAGTTATTATTTAATGGGTATAGAGTTTCAGTTTTGCACAGGGAAAATAGTTCTGGAGATGGATGGTGGTGATGATTACACAACAATGTGAATGTACTTAATACCAATGAACTGTGTACTTTAAAACACTTAAGATGGTAAATTTTATGTTACATTTTACCAAATTTTAAAAATTGGAAAAAAGATTTAAACTTAAAATCTTAACCTTTTCCTCTGCCTTCTGTGTTTAAATATTCTTTGAACACATGCCTTATAAAGACAGCACAATATTTCCTTGTATTAGAAGGCCATAATGCCTGTTGCTAATCTTGTTGCCAAAATTTTCTCAGAACGTCTTTGTTCACAAATCTTTAGCCCACATCAGATTATATATTTAGATAGAGTCCTTACAAGTGAGATTTATGTAATTTACTTATTCATTCATTCAATAAATATGATTGCCTAGTTTGTTCCAATCAGTGGTAAATAAGAGAAACATGGTCTCTGCCCACATGAAGCTTTTCATTTAAGAGGAGGAATTCAGACATTAAGCAGATAACTGCACATGATACTCATTTAATGTTAGTGGGCATGCTGGGAAGAATAACTCAGCATGTAAACACTTTGAATTTTTAAAATTGTGAAAAACAACACACATTAAGTGCACAAAACAAAAACGTATATCCCTGTAGCCTCTACCCAGGTCAAGAAACAGAATATTGCCGTTTTTTAGAAGCCCTCTTGCATACCCCAGTTTTCCTTCTTCCCCTAAGGCACGATTATATGGGCTTATGTGAGAGTTTTGCCTTTGCCTTTTTTTTTTAATTTGACATTTTTTGTTATTTTTAATTTATTATTTTGAAAAAATTGAAACTTCCAATTGCGAGTACAGTAAGCACCCACTTACCCCTCACCCATATGTTTACTACTGTTTGCCACAATTGTTGCTGAACTATCTGAGAATAAGCTGAAGACAACGCCCCTTATTCCTAAATATTTCAGCATGTGTCCTCCCAAGAACAAAGGTGCTCTCTTACACACCATAATACAGTTTGCAGGTTCAGGAAATTTAACGTATACAGTTATCTCATATACAGTTGATACTCAAATTTTGCCGGCTGTCCCACTTACCCCTACACGTTGATTGGATCTAGGATCCAATCCAGGATTCTGCATTGTGTAAGTTGTCATTCTCTTTAGTCGCCTTTTCTTTGTTTTCCTTCAGAGCTTTACTATGTAAGCATACCTCCCAAAACACTATGATTTGGTTTTGCCTGTTTTTGCATACCACATAAATCCATTCACTTAGTCTCTGGACAGGCTTCTCTTGTTCCACATCAGGCTTGTAAGATCCATCCGTGTTGTTGCCTCTAGCTGTTATTTTAGTTGCTCTGTATAGGATTCTATTGTATGAATATGCTGTATTTGTTTATTCATTTTCCTGTTGGACATGTGCTGCTTTCAGTTTATAGCTATTACAGAAAAGGTTCTGAATATTCCCGTGTGTGTCTCTCGGAGCACATGTGTACTTTTCATTTGGTTACATAGCTAGGAGTGGCATTGTTGGCTCATAGTCTGTCCATATGCTCAGCTTTCATAGACTCTGCCAGGCGGTTTTACTAAGTGGTTGTACTTTATCATCAGTAAATGAGTGTTACAGTTGTTCCACATCTTTGCCAAACTTGATATTGTCGGTCTTTTTTCTTTTAACTATTCTGGTAGGACTCTTTTGTAAAATGTTTTAACCATTTGGATATGTTCTTTTGTGGAGTACCGAATTAAATCTTTTGCTCATTCATTTATTATTGAATACTCTGTCTTATTGATTTGTACATGTTTTTATCAATTCTGGAGACCAGCCTTTGTTGGTTTTGTGAGTTGCAGATACTCACTTTGCCTTTTTGTCCTCTTAATTATGTCTTGGTGAACAGAAGTTCGTTTTTGTTTTTGTTTTTAGAAACAGACTCTTGCTCTGTTGCCCAGGCTGGAGTGTAGTGGTGCAGTCATAGCTCACTGCAGCCCCAACCTCCGTGGCTGAAGCGATCCTCCTGCCTCAGCCTCCTGAGTAGCTGGGACTATAGGCACAGGCCAGGCCACCATGCCCAGATAATTTTTTTAGTTTTTGTAGGAACATGGTCTTGCTGTATTGCTCAGGCTGATCTTGAACTCCTGGCCTTACGTGATCTTCCTGCCTCAGCTTCCCAAAGCGCTGGGATTACAGATGTGAGCAACTGTGCCCAGCCTGGTGAGCAGAAGTTCTTAATTGTAAAATAGTGAGATTTATCAGCCTTTTCTTTTATAGTTAGTACTTTTTGTGTTCTGTTTAAGAAATCCTCTATCTCTAGGTAATGAAAGTAGGTATGCACCTTTATTATCTTCCAGAAACATTTAAGTTTGTCTTTCACAATTGGATCAACTTTATTGAGGTATAATTTACATATAAAACTCACCTGCTGGTAGCTGGGTGCTTTTTACTAAGTTTACAGAATTGTATACCCATCACCACATTTCAGTTCTAGAACATTTCCATCACTTAAAAAGTTTCCCCAAGCTTGTTTGCAGTCAATTCTTGTTCTACCCAAGCAACCACTGATCTGCTTTCTTTCTTCTTGGATCTGCCTTTTTAAAGAAATTGCATATATTATGGAGTCTGATAGTGTTTGGGTTTAGGTTCTTTCACTTAGCATGTTTTTGTTGTTCACCCATGATATGTACCATGTATCATTAGTTCATTCCATTTTGTCATTGAACAGTATTCCACTGTATAGATATATTTAGTTCACCCTATCAATAATTGATTTTTGTGTGTGATATAAGGTATGGCTCATGTGTCATTTTTTTGTGTTTGGATATCTGCTTGTCCTAACACTATTTATTGAAAAGACTCTCCTCCCTGCTTAGCAGGGCCACTTTTATTATAAATCGTTTATCCCTATACATGTATGTTTGTTGGTCTCATACACTGATTAGAAAGCACTACTGCCACACTGCCTTAATTAGTGCTCAAATAAGTCTCAATACTGTTCTCTTGCTAGATTCTAGAGGTGTTCTGTCCAATATGGTATTCTGCTTACTTTGTTTTTTTTTGTTTTTTTTTTTTTTTTGGAGACAGAATCTCGCTCTGTTGCCAGGCTGGAGTGCAGTGGCATGATCTCAGCTCACTGCAACCTCTGCCTCCTGGGTTCAAGCAATTCTCCTGCCTCAGCTTCTTAAGTAGCTGGGACTACAGCTGCGTGCCACCAAGCCCAGCTAATTTTTTTGTATTTTTAGTAGAGATGGGGGTTTCACCGTGTTGGCCAGGATGGTCTCGATCTCCTGACCTTGTGATCCGCCTGCCTCAGACTCCCAAAGTGCTCGGATTACAGGTGTGAGCCACCACGCCCAGCCTCTGCTTACATTTAAATTAAATAAAATTGCAAGGCAAGGTGGTGCATGCCTGTAATCCCAGCTGTTTTGAGGAGGCTGAGGCAGGAGGATCACTTGAGCCCAAGAGTTCGAGGCCAGCCTGGGAAAGGAGTGGTGAGACCCTGTCTCAGATAAATATATAAATTTTAAAAAGAAAAATAAGTAACATTTAAAATTTAGTTTTGCAATCCCAGTAGCCACATTTCAAGTGCTCAGTAGGCACATGTGACTAATGGCTACTGTAATGGCAAACACGTATAAAGAACATTTCATCATTGCAGAAAGTTCTACAATTCAGAGTAGGGGTTGGCAGATTTTTCTGTAAGGGGCCAGCTGGAGAATAGTTGAGGTTTGCAGGTGCTGTGGTTTCCATTGCACCTACCTAACTCTGCTGTTGTAATGGGAAAGCAGCCACAGACCATGTGATGAGAGGGGCATGTCTGTGTTTCAGCAAAACTTTATATTTCTGCAAAGAGACAGCTGGTCTATGGTTGTAGTTTTCTGACTCCTGCTCTAGAATGTTTTGCCTTTCTTGGTGTTTTACATTTTCATATTAACCTTAAAATTGTCTTGTTAAATTCTACCTCCCTGTACCTAGAGTAGTCAAAACTATAGAGACAGAACTAGAATGGTGGCTGCCGGAAGCTGGAGGAGGGAAAATGGGGAGTTAGTGTTTCATGGGGATGAAGTTTCAGTTCGGGAAGATGAAAACGTTCTGGAGATAGATGGTAGTCACGGTTATACAACATTAGGAATGTATTTATGCCATGGAACTGTACACTTTAAAATGTGACTATGGTGCATTTTATGTCATGTATATTTTACCACAATAAAAAAATAAATAAATAAAAAAGAAGGGAGGCAGGAGAATCGCTTGAACCCGGGAGGCAGAGGTCGCAGTGAGCCGAGATCATGCCGTTGCACTCCAGCTTGGGCAACAAGAGCGAAACTCCGTCTTTAAAAAAAGAAAGTTTTGGGGGAGGAATTTTGCCTTCCTCAGCCTTCAAAGGAAAGTTGAGATTTTGATTGGAATTGTATTGAGTCTCTAGATCAACTTGAGAATTGACATTTGTGCAGTAGTGAACTCTCAGTTCCTGAACTGGGTACATATTTGTATATTTGGGTGTTCTTTAATTTCTCTTAATGTTTTCTGCGTGGGAGACATGCACATCTTTTGTTAGATTAATTGCTAAAAATTTAATTGCAAAAATTTGTTGCTCTTATAATGGTAGATTTTTTTTCCTTAAATTTTATGGTTTATGTTGGATGTAGTATCGAGAAATACCATTGATTTATGTGTATTTACTTACAGCCAACAACCTGGCAGAATTCATTTATTCTAACACGTCTGTAGCTGTTTCTTGGCCTTGTAACTATGGAAACAATGAAATCCTCCATGGATACTAATGGTGACGTTTCTGCCTTTCCAGTCCTTTTGTTATTATTATTATCATTATTATTATTATTATTATTTTACCTTACTTCACTGGCTAGAACCTCCAGTGCAGCGTAAAAGTGTCGTGTAGCTCTCCTTGATCTCAAAAGGAGCACTTTCTATAGTTCATCCTAAGATGTGAGGTTTGCTGCATCTACTGAGATGATCATATGACTTTCTATCCTTTTGTCTCCCCACCCTCCCTGCCCTCAGTCATGTAGCTTTCTACCTTTCCTTATCTGACGTAGAGTGTAAACAGAATAAGATTCTTTAAATTTCAGTGGGACGCTCTTTCTAATGCCAGGCAGTTAGCTGCATCCTTGATCACAGCAGAGAGCAGCACCCATTAATGGTGGAGGCAGCACCATTGGCATAGTGAGCAGTCCATGCCCCATGCTTCTGTGAGTGAGCATGCCCATTGCATCTTTCAGTTGATGGGGTTCCTCCACCGAAGGCAGGTAAATTGCCTCAGAAAGGTGAAGGAAGGAACTAAGAGTACCTTCATGTTACATAGGACCTTGGAGGTTACATAGTTATTCCAGTGTCTCTTTCTGTCTAGTTCTTGAAGGTGATGTGATTATTTGAGTCATCTTTTATTGTTACTATCAGGAACTACAATAGGATTTTGGAGAAATTATGGAGAGAAATTTGGCCCCAAGAAAACATGGGTTTGTATTAGTTTCCTATGGATGCCGTAACAAATTATCACAAACCTAGCGGCTTAAAACAGTACCTAGTTGTTATCTCACAGGAAGATTTTCTTTTTTTTTTTTTTTTTTGTTATACTTTAAGTTTTAGGGTACATGTGCACAATGTGCAGGTTAGTTACATATGTATACATGTGCCATGCTGGTGTGCTGCACCCATTAACTTTTCATTTAGCCTTAGGTATATCTCCTAATGCTATCCCTCCCTCCTCCCCGCACCCCACAACAGTCCCCAGAGTGTGATATTCCCCTTCCTGTGTCCATGTGTTCTCATTGTTCAATTCCCACCTGTGAGTGAGAACATGCGGTGTTTGGTTTTTTGTCCTTGCAATATTTTACTGAGAATGATGATTTCCAATTTCATCCATGTCCCTACAAAGGACATGAACTCATCATTTTTTATGGCTGCATAGTATTCCATGATGTATATGTGCCACATTTTCTTAAACCAGTCTATCATTGTTGGACATTTGGGTTGGTTCCAAGTCTTTGCTATTGTGAATAGTGCCGCAATAAACATACGTATGCATGTGTCTTTATAGCAGCATGATTTATAGTCCTTTGGGTATATACCCAGTAATGGGATGGCTGGGTCAAATGGTATTTCTAGTTCTAGATCCCTGAGGAATCGCCACACTGACTTCCACAATGGTTGAACTAGTTTACAGTCCCACCAACAGTGTAAAAGTGTTCCTATTTCTCCACATCCTCTCCAGCACCTGTTGTTTCCTGACTTTTTAATGATTGCCATTCTAACTGGCGTGAGATGGTATCTCATTGTGGTTTTGATTTGCATTTCTCTGATGGCCAGTGATGGTGAGCATTTTGTCATGTGTTTTTTGGCTGCATAAATGTCTTCTTTTGAGAAGTGTCTGTTCATGTCCTTCACCCACTTTTGGATGGGGTTGTTTGTTTTTTCCTTGTAAATTTGTTTGAGTTCATTGTAGATTCTGGATATTAGCCCTTTGTCAGATGAGTAGGTTGTGAAAATTTTCTCCCATTTTGTAGGTTGCCTGTTCACTCTGATGGTAGTTTCTTTTGCTGTCTCACAGGAAGATTTTCTGTGATGATGGAAATGTTCTGTATCTTTGTTGTCCAACAGGGTAGCTACTAGCCACATGTGGCTGTAGAGGACATGAAATGTGGATAGTGCAATCGAGGAATTGATTTTTCATTAATTTGCTTTTGATTACTTTAAATTTAAATAACCACATATGGCTACTGGCTACCAAATTGGCTAAGACAGCCGTAGCACATAGCATTGGTTTTTAGTGGCATTTGTTTATGTTATACTTACATTATGACAATAAAATCTTGCAGAGCCATGTGCACATGGGACACAAAAGTCAATAAATATTTGCAGAGCCATTTTAAATAACTTGGGGAGGGAAGAAAAAGGGCTAGATTATTTTGTTTGGTTTTTGTTTTTTCCAATATACAGGAAGTATTCACTTGCATTCTGAAATTTATGATAGAAAGTTAACATGACATAAAGCCTTACTCTTCGTAGTCTAAACAGAAGGCCGGGATTCAGTTCAATTCAATTCTATTTTCTCTTTTGGGTTTTTCTTGTTGTTATTTGAGAAGGAGTCTCACTCTGTTGCCCAGGCTGCAGTGCAATGGTGCAATCTGGGCTCACTGCAACCTCCACCTGCCGGGTTCAAGCGATTCTCCTGCCTCAGCCTCCTGAGTAGCTGGGAGTACAGGTGTGCACCACCACGACTGGCTAATTTTTGTATTTTTTAGTAGAGATGGGGTTTCACCATATTTGCCAGGCTGGTCTTGAACTCCTGTCCTGGTGATCTGCCCGCCTCAGCCTCCCAAAGTGCTGGGATTACAGGCTTGAGCCACTGCACCCAGCCTTTTTTTTTTTTTTTTTTTTTTTTGAGACAGAGTTTCACTCTGTTACCCTATTTTTTGTAGAGACAGGGTCTCACTATGTTGCCTAAGCTGGTCTTGAACTCCTGGCTTCAAGCAGTCCTCCTGCCTCAATCTCCCAAAGTGCTGGGATTATAGGCCTGACCCACTGCACCCAGTCTCTTGTATTTTTTTTTTTTAAACCTAATTGTCTGAATCAGAAGAATCATTAGATTTATCTGGAAATGTTCGAGACACTCAGGACCGAGGACATTCTTTCTAATCCATTTTGCGTTGGACCTGTTCTTAGAAGCTTATCATTGGAAGGTGACAGTAATGGTGTGATTGTTCACCCCACCATGGAAACTTGCCTGTTACATTTCTAGTATATTATTATTATACTAGTGAGGGCTCCAGGCTTCTACTTTGACACCAGCATTAATTCTGTCTCTTACTTTTTCACATTCTTTTAACAGCCCCAAGATGTTCTCGTTCACACACCTCAGTTTCTCAAATCCCCATCTGAGCAAAGACCCAAAACCATTTTTGTTCACATTTGACAATACCTGCTCCCACTTAAAATAAGTAATAATTAAATCATTTTACAAGTTGAGTATTTTTTTTTTTTATCAACAGTGAAAATTACTTAGCTTTTGGGCTTGCTTTGAGTTGTCTAAATTGTGTTTTGTTTGGGGCTTTTGTAGCCAGCCTGTCTCGATCAGCCTTTCTGTCTCAGAGATATTATGAAGACTTGGATGAAGTCAGCTCAACGTCATCTGTCTCCCAGTCTCTGGAGAGTGAAGATGCACGGACGTCCTGTAAAGATGACGAGGCAGTGGTTCAGGCCCCTCGGCACGCCCCCGTGGTTCGCACTCCTTCCATCCAGCCCAGTCTCTTGCCCCATGCAGCACCTTTTGCTAAATCTCACCTGGTTCATGGTTCTTCACCTGGTGTGATGGGAACTTCAGGTAAGTAAACAGTGGGAAAGGAAACTGTTTTTCCCTATGATGTTTCTAACTAATGACGGAATTGTAACTGGGTCTTATACTGTCACACCAATATGGTGGTTGGCTCCAGCCCACTTTTTTTTTTTTTTCTTTTTTTCTTTTTTTTTTTGAGGTGGAGTCTCACTCTGTTGCCCAGGCTGGAGTGTAATGGCGCGATCTAGGCTCACTGCAACATCCACCTCCTGGGTTCAAATGATTCTCCTGCCTCACCCTCCCAAGTAGCTGGGATTACAGGCGTGCACCACCACGCCTGGCTAATTTTTGTATTTTTAGTGGAGACGGGGTTTCACCATGTTGTGTTGGCCAGGCTGGTCTCAAACTCCTGACCTCAGGTGATCCACCTGCCTTGGCCTCCCAGAGTGGTAGGATTACAGGCATGAGCCACTGCACCTGGCTGCTCAACTCACTTCTGCTTATATTCTAGAAATTAGAAGACTGATTGAAAAGATGTGTGTTCCCCTTGAAAGCAGTTGCTAGGCCATTGTGAGGAAGGAGATGGCTCTCCAAGTTTATGCGCTATAACAGTTTTTCTGCTGAGCCAGCTTGTTTTTTAAAACAGATCTTTTTCAGAAGTAAAAGGGGGCTGTTTGCTTCAGTTATAAAGCAACATCCACACTCATATCTTTTAAATCCTGGCTCATTTCAGCCTGACTTGTGGCATATTCTGCCTCAGAACTCACCAGCTCTGATGCTTGTGGTCAGTATTGGCTCACTGTACTGACAGGTGTTGTGCCCCCACACTTTCAGTACAGTGTCAGGGCTTTGCATCAAAGTGACTTCCAGCAGAGAAAAATACCAGTGTTAGGTACTAGAATGAAGAGAATTTGTGAGAGGGGATCAGGGAATTGGTCTATGTTGGTATAAAAGTTGTATCTCAATCAGTATCAGGAAATGATGATGTATCTTAGTAGAGGTGGGTAGGCAAATTTCATGCGATAACTGAAAGATATAGATGCCAGCCTGTTAGTTTACTGGTACTTTTCTATGTTAACGCTAATTTTAGCATTTTCCCTGCAGTCGAACATAAAGAATTTACCAATTTAACCTTTTGTATTTTCCTGTTCTCTCACCCACTCACACTTAATTTTTCTTTTCCTCTTAGTGGCTACATCTGCTAGCAAAATTATTCCTCAAGGGGCCGATAGCACAATGCTTGCCACGAAAACCGTGAAACATGGTGCACCTAGTCCTTCCCACCCCATCTCAGCCCCGCAGGCAGCTGCCGCAGCAGCACTCAGGCGGCAGATGGCCAGTCAGGCACCAGGTAAAAGCTGTAGCCCCATACCTGTACAGAGGCTGATTATGAGCTGTCTGAGTCACAGGCCAGGACAGCAGGTGGCAAGAAACAGTGGGCGCTCTTTGGTGCCCTTCAGAAGAGAAGATTGATGTGACAGCCCTCTCCCCTTTGTGGAGAGAGTTCTAAGAAAGCAGAGACTAGGTCTGAAAATCTTTGCTTTTAAGGGGAGGGATTAGAACTGCCACATTTAGTTAAGGTGGAAATCAGTGGGGTTTGTTTTTTTTTTTAAACAAAATTGCTAATCCTACTTTTGAATAATGTCTGCTTAGAGCCCTAAAATTATAACCTTTGAAATTCGATCATCGAATAACACTAGCGTCATCTCTTAGTATCTTACAGATTGCAGCTACCCCAAGAGGTAGGTATTTGAATGGCTATTTTGGCTGGGCATAGTGACTCATGCCTGTAATCCCAGCACTTTGGGAGGCTGAGGTGGGAGGATCACTTGAGGCCAGGAGTTTGAGACCACCCTAGGCAACATAGTGAGACCTCATCTCTAAAACAAAACAAACACAAACAAACAAAAAGAATGACCATTTTGTGTTTGAGTAATCTGAAGTTCAGAGAGGTGAAGGTTATCCCACCAATAAGTAGCAGAACCCAGACTCTAACCCTCTGCTCTTTTTCAGTTGAGCATTTTTTCTTCTCCAACTATATCTTGCATGAAGCTTTTTTTTTTTTTCTTTTGAGACAGGGTCTCACTGTGTTGCCTAGGCTGAAGGACACTGGTGCGATCACGGCTCGCTGCAGCCTCCGTGATCTCCCGAACCCAGGTGACCTTCCCACCTCAGCCTCCTGGATAGCTAGGACTACAGGCATGCACCACTACACCAGGCAAATATTTAAAAAATTTTTGTAGAGACAGGATTTCACCATGTTATCCAAGCTGGTCTCAAACTCCTGGGCTCAAGTGATCCACCCGCCTCTACCTCCCAAAGTGCTGGGATTATAGGCATGAGCCACTGCTCCTGACCAAAGCTTTTTTTTTAACATTGTAAAATTTAACTTTTACAGAAGGAAGCGCTAATAAGTCAGTTAGCACTTAACATTTCGTCAGTGGCTTGTCATTATCCCAAACTTTCTACTACTTTCTACGTTAATGTACATTGTACATTAGGATTTTACAGTCTGCGTAGTTGGTCTCAAGGACTTCAGTTATCACTAGTTATCAGTTTTATAAGCTAGTAGTTCTCAACTAGAGGCTGCCCCCACTTCCCTGTCCTCCACCCCTGAAACAGTTGGCAGTGTTGCTGGCATTTAGTGGGTAGAGGCCAGGAATGCTGCAAAAAAAAAATCTTTAAAATGCATAAGACACCCCCACAACAAAGGGTTATCTAGCCCCAAAATGTCAGTAGTGCCAGGGTCAAGAAACAGATATAAGCCAAATATTTTCATTTTAGCTGAGTAAAATTATTTTTTAGATGTATCACTGCTTACAACACTTATCAATTTAGAGTTTTTTTTAAAGACTAAAAAGACATAATAGTTTGATTTAGGAAAAAAGAACTAACATTAAACAGTGATAAGTCAAAAGATTGTAAAGAAAAATTCAAATATTAAAACCTTTATTAAGACATCTAACATATATATTGAAGAACAAAACAAAGATAACTTTTGAGGTACCTTTGGGCTTTCTAAAAATAGAATTCTTTGATCTCTTTAAATATTACTTGGACCAGGTAGAATCTTGCCATTGTGCTGAACAGGCCTGAAATCAAGTTGATCAAGTCAATGATCTGTAAAACGTTAAAATCTATTAGGATTGAGGATTGTTCCACTCAGCAGAAGGTGGTGTGATCTGTATTATCATGTTGGATGCAAAAATTTCTAAGGTATAGGCACCTTTGAATATGAAATATGAAAGATGTGCAGTCGTGGGCAAGATGTTCTGGTCACTTCTTTGAAAGAGGGAATAAAAGAGAATTAACTACAGGTCTGTCATTCTGCTTGTGATAACCACTTTCACCTTGGCCAGTGATGCAGTTAGTAATGAGCCACAAGCTTTGCTCAGGCTTCCTTAATTGCTAATTATAGAATGTCATTAAGTCTTTTGGGATACAATTTACAATTATAAGACGAAAGCTGATGAGGAGGTGTCAGATATATGCCTCTTAGTCTCTTCTCCCATTATTGTCCAAGCTCCATTTTCCACATTTTATTCATTATGCCTTTCTGTCTCACTAGGCCATGAGTTTCTTTAGAGAAGAAACTATAGATACATTTTGTATTCGCAGCCCCTAACACAGAGCCTGGCACATAATAAGCCCATGTTAAAGAAAGACAGTGAATGAGTGGCAGAAATCCTGAGTCTAGATGCTGTTAATCCTCTAGCTCAAGCTGCCCTTTTCCAGGACAGACCAGCAGTGTGGCAGGTGTCTCAGCTCTGTGTAGAAAAGCTGGCCAGAGAATTCTTTTCCCCTACTCTAGTACATTCGATTCAGTTACAGGAAGCCTTGTTCCATCACCTGTGTTAATGGAGTAGGCCAGGTGTTCCTTTGAACACAATGCTGCAAGAACTACCTAGAGTAGATTTCCTTCACATGATAAGGCTCTAATCTGCTTGGGCTCATGTCTTGGTTTTTCATTTATATGTGGCTAGAACTTTTTATCCTTTGCTGGAATTAATATGGTGTTCTCTCTTCTCTGTTTAAATTAGCTGTAAACACTTTGACTGAATCAACGTTGAAGAATGTCCCTCAAGTGGTAAATGTGCAGGAATTGAAGAATAACCCTGCAACCCCTTCTACAGCCATGGGGTATGTTCTGACTGCAGTGTGTTTCAGCCCCTGGCTGCTTCTGTAGTAGCGGTGGACTGCCTGCAGGGAGCAGCAGTGCCACTGTCACAGTCTGGTTTTCCTGCACCGCCTTAGGTTATAAGGGGGGTGGCGGCTAAGCCTGCCTACACAATGCATTTTCAGGAGACTGTCCTTTTTAACTGGCCGGTGACAGTTGCCTCACAAACTTTTAAAGTTTGTCTTGATGCTGTATGCTCAGTTTCTGTTTGCCATGTGTAAGTCTCTGTGTGGTACACATTAGGTGTGCAGGTTGATTTTTTTTTTTTTTTTAATGCCCTAGGGGTTCCAGAGTTGATGCTTTGGGTCTCATGCAGACTTGATTCTGGAAACTGTAATCTCAAGGGTGACACTCTCCTCCCTCACTTCCCTTCTCCAGGCATTTCTGTTCTTCCCATTTCTTTTGCTTTTGTATAAAAGACAGCACCTCTGTTTGGAGACTTTAGCTTCTCTGCCATGCCATGTTTGAGGGCTGGATTGTTGCTGGTGGAGCTCACTTGTTTTTTTGGTGGTGGTGGTGGTTTTGTTGTTGTTGTTGTTGTTGTTTTTTGTTTTTTGTTTTTTCTTAGACAAGGTCTCACTCTTGCCCAGACTGGAGTGCAGAGTGCAGTACGATCATGGCACACTGTAGCCTTAACCTTCTGGGCCCAAGCCATGCTCCCATATCTGCCTCCCAAGTAGCTGCTGGGACTACAGGCACATGACACCACACCCAGCTAATTTTTTAATTTTTTGTAGAGATGGAGTTTTTGCCATGTCACCCCAGGCTGGTCTCAAATTTCTGGGCTCAAGTGATCCTCTCACCTCATCCTCACAAAGTGCTGTGATTATAGGCAGGAGCCACTGTGCCCAGCCTAGCTCATTTGTCTTTAGTCCTCATCTGTGTTCGGAATTCAGGGTGCTGACTCCCTCCCGCTGCCCTGGGCAGGTTCGCAGAACATGCCTGTGCCCTGCTTTGCCCTGCATATTTTGTGACTGTGATCCCTTTAGACCAACCACCATCCCCTGTGGCAAAGGGAAGAGTTGAGGGACATTTCCTCACTTGGAACATGGGGATCTTGAGGACTAGTATCAGATTTCAGGGAGTTAGTGTCTGGTACCCATGATTAGTCTAGCAGCAAGAAGGGCAGCCATAGACCTTGTGGTTCTCCACAGCGTGCCCACCCTCTGCCATTGCACAGAGCAGATCTGCCCACGGTTCTGTTTTCCCTCTCTCAAGTGGCCCTGCCTCACTGGTCCGCTGGCCTCTTTTTTTCCATGTTGTTCTGTTTATCAACACTGCTTGTTTGAGGAATTTTTAGTTATCTCAGGGCCATACTAACAGCCAAAAAACAAGCCTTCTCTATTACTATTTTGTAGTGACCTCGGAGCCTTGGTATGCTGTTTAGACCAAGATGGTATTTGTGGTTGTTGCAAGCTTTTCAAGGGAAAGAACTATGCATTAGAGTTTGGGAATTGTAGCCAGATTCCCAGCATAGGGAAGGCAAGGCAGAATGTTACATAAGATGGGAAAACTCAGCATATGGTACAGGAAGTATTGTCTAGTGTTTCTGAGATATATTAGGTGCTAACCATGTATGAGAAGCACCTTTTGGAGATTCCACTTCTCCTTTTCTCAAGCTTCATTTCCCTAAATGGTTCATCTGAGCTGATCTTTGATGAAGGGTTTGTTCAAGGAGTAATTTTGAGTCTACTCTTTCTGACAAAAAATCTCAGACAACTTAAGAAATCTTGAAGAAACTTTCTGTTCCATTCTCCACAGAATTAGACTCTGGTATAATTATTTCATGTGTATGCCCAGCATGGTGCCTGAAATGTAGAAGCATTCCTTTCAATAATCATTTATTGAATAATAGGTAAACTCTACTCCAAACATAAATTGAAAAGTGAAAATTGGTGTTTACTGCCACCCCTCCCCAGGAAAGATCGAGAGAATATGTTCATTGTAAAATGACTTGCTTTCAGATTCTTTTATGTTTTATTTTTAAAATTATTTTCAGCCAGCTCTCGTGGAACAGATTCTTTTAAACAGTAGTTTCCTAAGTGTATTTTAAGTATTTAATTTTGCAGTTAGCTTTTTCTCAGTGGTATCTACAGAAGATTCATCATAGGATGAGCTTACATATTTCTGCCATTGGTGTACTTTATGTTCATTGGCCTCATCCATTCAGTTCGTTGGAAGAGTGTTTATCTGGCGCCAACCCACAGCTATTCAAATTCCTTTGCAGTGCTCCATCGCTTGATTCAGCAGATTCTTACACAGCGTCTGCTGTGAGCATGATACTGCCCTGGGTACTAGAGATAGGGTAGTTGAATAAGACAAACCAAACAAGAAGACAGCCGGGAAACTGCCAATTACACAAACACTTATTTTGGTGTGCATTCATTCATTTATTCATTCTTTCAACAAATACTTAATGAGCATTTGTTGTATGCCACACAGTATTCTTAGGAGCTGGAGATAAACTACCTGTTTTGTTGTTAACAAAATAGACCAAAAAAACTAACAGACTGATTGTTTGGAGAGACAAACAATAATCAAAATAAATAAGTAAAATATGTAATATATTAGATGGTGATATGGTGTGATGGAGAAAATTAAAGCGGGGGAAAGGTTAGAGAGTATTGTCTGAACATGGGTTATAATTTTAAATAGGGTGGCCAGGGAAGGCCTTCTCAGGAAGGTGACCTTTGAATGAAGAGAGAAAGGCCACACAGCAGGTCTCATTAATATCTCGGAAGAAAGCTCCAAGCACAGGGCCTGTAGCAGGAGCGTGTCTACAAGTTGAAGAGCGAGTCAGGGGGGACCTCTGGTGACGAGAGTAGAGGGAACAAGAGGAAGAATGCTGGGGGAGTAGGTCAGGAAAGACTGTTGGTGGACAGTGTCTGTTTGAGTCCCTGCTTTCAGTTCTTTTGGGTATGTATGTAGGAGTGGAATCGCTGGATTACATAGCTCAAACTGGTTTACAGAGGTGCTGCACCATTTTTCATTCCCAACAGCAATGTATGGGGGTTCCAGCTTCTCCACATCCTCACCAACACTCATTATTGACTATCTTTTTGGTTATAGTCATCCTAGTGGTATAAAATGGTATCTCACACTATCAGTGGTTTTGATTTGCATTTCCCTAATGGCTGGTGATATTGAGCATCTTTTCACGTGCTTATTGGCCAGTTGTATCTTTGGAGAAATATCTATTTAGTTCCTTTGCTCCATTTTAAAATTAGGTTGTCTTTTTATTTTTGAGCTCTAAGTTTCTTTATATAATCTGTATTCAAGTCTCTCATCAAGCATATGATTTGCAAATATTTTCTCCCATTCTTTGAGTTGTTTTTCACTTTCTTGTTGTGTCCTTTGACACGAAAATTTAGTCCAGTTTATCTATTTTTTCTTTTGTTGCTTGTGCTTTAGGTGTCACATGTAAGAAACCATTGCCTAATCCAAGGTCATAAAGATTTACACCGATGTTTTCTTTGAAGAGTTATGTGGTTTTAGCTCTTATATCTAGGTCTCTGATCCATTTGGAGTTAATTTTTGTAAATGGTGTGAAGTAGAGATCCAACTTCATTGTTTTGAATGTGGATATCCAGTTGTCCCAGCACCACAACATATCTTTTCCATCCTTTTATTTCAACTTATTTTGTCTTTATATTTAAAATGGGTTTCTTGTAGCACAGCAATGTGAATGTACTTAGTATCACTGAACTACATGTGCACTTAAAAATGGTTACTTTTAAGATGGCAGATTTTGTTAAGTGTATTTTACCACAATAAACAAAAATAATTTAAAAAAATAAAATGGATTTCTTATAGATTAGGGGTCCCCAGCCCTGGGCTGCAGACCAGTACCGGTCTGTGGCCTCTTAGGAACTGGGCCACACAGCAGGTGAGCGGCAGGCAAGTGAGCATTACCACCTGAGCTCCACCTCCTGTCAGATCAGCGGCAGCTTTGGATTCTCATAGGAGCATGAACCCTATTGTGAATTGCACATGCAAAGGATCTAGGTTGCATGCTCCTTATGATAATCTAACTGAATAAAATATAAAATTATAGCCTGATGATCTGAGGTGAAACAGTTTCATCCTGAAACCATCCCCCTCCGCTGTCCGTCTGTGGAAAAAATTGTCTTTCACAAAACCAGTCCCTGGTGCCAAAAAGGTTGGGGACCACAGTTGTAGACAGTATATAGTGGGCCTTAGCTTGCTTTTTTTTAATCTTGACCATCTGTGACTTTTAATTGGGGTGATTAGATCGTTTACCTTAAGTGTAATTATTGACATGTTTTGGTTTAAATCTGTTATATAGCTATTTGTTTCTATTTATCCCATCTGTTTGTTGTTCAGTTTTTGTTTTTCTGCCTTTTTTTGGGTTAAATGTCTCTATGACTCTATTTTAACTTTTTTGTTGACTTATTGGCTATAACTTGGTGTTATTTAAGTGCTTACATTAGGGTTTATAGTATACATCTTCAACTTATCACAGACTGTCTTCAAGTGATACTATATTACTAAAGAATAGTGTAAGAATCTAACAGCAGTATTCTATTTTCTCCCTTCACCACCTTTATGCTATTGTGCATTTTACTTCCACTGTATTGTAAACCTCATGATACATTGTTATAAACAGTTGACTATCTTTCCTCCCCACTACCCCCCAGATGGATTCTTCTTCTGTCGCCAAGGCTGGAGTGCAGTGGTGCGATTTCAGCTCACTGCAACCTCTGCCTCCCAGGTTCAAGTGATTTTCCTGCCTCAGCCTCCCTAGTAGCTGGGATTACAGGTGCCCACCATCACACCTGGCTAATTTTTATATTTTTGGTAGAGACGGGGTTTCGCCATGTTGGCCAGGCTGGTCTCGAACTCCTGACCTCAGGTGATCCGCCTGCCTCGGCCTCCCAAAGTGCTGGGATTACAGGCTTGAGCCACCGCGCCCGGCTGACTATCTTTTAAATACATTTAAATAAGAAGAAAAAAGTTTACATGTTTATACATATAGTTACCATTTCCAGGGTTCTTCATTCCTGTGTCTGGTCCCAGCTTGCCATCTGGTATAATTTTTCTTCTGCTCAAAGGACTTCCTTTAATGTTTCTTGAGGTTCATATCTGAATTCTTTTAGCTTTTGTATGTCTGCAGAAGTCTTTATTTCACCTTTGATTTTGAAAGATATTTTCACAGGGTAAAGAATTCTAGATTGGCAGTTTTTTTCTTTCACTGATTTAAAGATGTTCCTCTACTTTAAAAATAATAACTCTAGTAATGACCAGAAACTTAAAAGGAACTTTAATCCTTTTGTTTTTCTAATTACAAATGTTTGTTGTAGATATAAAAAAGATAGTTAAAAAGAACAAACTTAAAATCACCTTTATTCCCACCACAAATGTATGATTGTTATTTACACATTTTTTCATCCTTATTTTATGAAAATGTTTCTTGTTAGAGAAAAATTTGGATGCATGCTGCTTTGTAAATTTGTAACCTTTTCAGCTTAATCATGAAATGTAATCGTTTACATTTTCCATGTCATTAAAAATTCTTACACTATTCGTATTTTTTCTTTTCTTTTTCTTTTTTCTTTTTCTTTTTTTTTTTTTTTTTTTTTTGAGATGGAGTCTCGCTTTGTCACCCAGGCAGGAGTGCAGTGGCGCAATCTCAGCTCATTCCAACCTCCGCCTCTCAGGTTCAAGCGATTCTCCTGCCTCAGCCTCCTGAGTAGCTGGGATTACAGGTGTGCACCAGCACAGCCGGCTAATTTTTGTATTTTTAGTAGAGACGGGGTTTAACCATGTTGGCCCGGCTGATTTCAAATTCCTGACCTCAGATGATCCACCCACCTTGGCCTCCCAAATGCTGGGACTACACGCGTGAGACACTGCAGCCGGCCTCTCTCTTTTTTTTTTTTTTTTGAGATGGAGTCTCGCTCTGTCACTCAGGCTGGAGTGCAGTGGCACAATCTTGGCTCACTGCAACCTCTGTCTCCCGGGTTCAAGCGATTCTCATGCTTCAGCCTCCCAAGTAGCTGGGACTACAGGCACCTGCCACCACACCTGGCTAATTTTTTTGTATTTTTAGTAGAGACGGAGTTTCACCATGTTGGCCAGGCTGGTCTCGAACTCCTGACCTCAAGTGATACACCCACCTCGGCCTCCCAAAGTGCTGGGATTACAGGCGTGAGACACCGTGCCTGGCCTATTTTTTCATATTTAATGTGGATTTTTTCAAAGCTCTAATGCAATTCCGTCTTAATTATTTAAGTTACTTAGCATCTAAACATTCATGCAGGAAATACAATTTGCTTTAACAGACTTTTGGATACTATTTTAAAGAATGTGTCTTTGAAGACATTAAATTTACCAATGGAGAAAATAGTTGGCAGTTATATTTCCATCGACAGATGTCAAAAACGCCCAAGAATTGAATATAGAGTGTTTGTTTTCAGTATCTTCTATCATTTTCATTCTTTTTCCCTGTTGATTTCTTTGTTTCTTCAGTTACTCTTGATAAGTTCCACTCTCTCATATATGAGTATGTATGAAAAGATACATGTGATAGTGATTAAGATTTACCAAAATAAAACATAACCAGGTCTCTTGTTTTTTATGCTTTTTAAAATCCTGAAATAAGTTACAAGAAGTTGAGGCTTTTTACAACAATGGGATGAGTATTTACCTTGTTGAAGTTCATTAAAGTTGGAGGGATCAATAGCAAAGGGCCTAGGTGACATTTTAATGCTTCACAACCCAATTTTATAATTGTGTGTAGAGTACACATCCATGGAACATGTGTGCATTTGTCTGCCTCTGTTGGCATGTAGTGCTGGTAATGTGTGGCCAAAAACAGAAAAAAATGACTCTTCTGTGTTTTATTTTTCTCCAAGAACCCGAGTTTCCAGACTCTTAGTGATCTGTGCCTCTGTCGCTCATTTCTGAAGCAGGAACTTTAGTGTTGCTGGCAATGTCAGTGTCATTTGTAGACTCACTCAGTAAAGAGATGTCTCTTTGGGGCTCTGTTATAGCACCATTTTCTTCTTAGAACAAATATCAAGATGAATTTCTGATATTTTTCAACTCCATATTGCTAAAAAGTGGAATAAAGTCACCTAAGATATGGATACTTCTGAATTTGGCTTTTCTATCTCTTGATCATTTCTAGCTATTGATTTCCATTGTTTTGGTTCATGCTCATGCAAAAACGTTTGAACATATTTGTTTGAGAGTATACTGTTTTTTTCTGTGTGCTGTCTTGGATCTTGATAAGAGATTTATTGGATCTGGTTTGTTAATTGGTTTACTGGCTGATTGCACTGAACAGCATTTCTTTGCAGGGGTGTCACGTGGTGTGTAGGTACTGTGAATCCTAATTTTGTGTATTTGGGGATTTAGGATACTCAGGAGATACATAGAATTATCACAAATAAATAGAATAATAATTACACTCAGTCTTATTCATGCATAATTTACTATCATGTCACAATTGAATTCTGGCTGTAAAAAATTTTCTAAAATTTGGATAAATTGCTGCTTTTATTTTTATTTCTGATTTCTGTTTGTCTTTGAGAAAGCATGAAAGAGTTTCCTTTCCTTTGTAATCCTTGTGAGCTCCAACCTCTTCTCTAAGCAAGTCTGCTGTGTCTGTCCAGGTACTGCTCAGGGCCCAGCAGTCTCACTCACACATTCTTTTCCTCTGGTACAGATTCAGCGGAGGTGACGGGGGAACACTGTATCTGTATTGCCTGCTTGGTAAACTATCTCAGGGGAACAGAGATGTGTTTCTCCAGAGAGATGCATATTTATAGCTGCTTCTGGCTTCAGTAGAAGCATGAAACGGGTTTTGTTTCATTGAACATAAGTTCACTTTTTCTTCTCTCTCAATCTAATAAAGTCTGTTTAGGAAGGTCCCCTTGTTATTCCAGCAGAGAATCTCAATATGCTTGTAAGGTTTGTTAAGCTGTTTGATAATTTTCTTCCGTGAGGCACAGGCCTATCTTTTATCTTCTAAGTTCATTTTTGATGGAAAATATGAATCCTCCCTAAATCTAGGGGAGTTCTGAAAAATAACCAGGTCCTACAACTACTACTGCTATATATACCAGTCAGAGTAGCGCTGGGCTGACAACAGATAAATTGAAAAAATTGCCGCTAGGAGCCAAGAACTTTTGTGTGTGATTACACTAACAGGTAGTTTTCCCATATGTGAACACTAGTTATTGAAATAACAGTTCCTCACATACAGTATTCACCTACTTCAGAGTTAACAAAAGATGATGAGAGCTCTTTCTGCGAATAGGGGTATACTTTTCATGCTGTAGCAAAGATGCAGGTTGGGAATGGAACAGTGGTACATTTGAATCCCTTGGATGCTGACCTGGTGAGCCCTGGAGATAGCTGCTGTGAGAAGCTAAGATCTCTTTGGATAGCACCTTTGCGGTAGCAGCGAATTGGATGCATAGGTGGCAGTGAGAATGCTTCCCATAGAGCCTGCTTGGGTAAGAGAATCAGGAATTTCTCGTGGTCTACAACAGGGGGAAGGGCCAGGGAGGAGGAGGGCTTATACTCTGGATAGCAAAAAGATCTAGTTCTGAATGGTTACTAATTTTTTTCTTTGGATTGCAGAAAGGAAATAAGTTATAAGGCCACTGCTTTGACTTTCATGCTAAAAACCCAAAGTTCATTTTTAAAATTTATCCTTCAAAAAAAATGTCAAATCAGTTGTATTGGGGTCCCATGCATCTGTATCCTACCCAAAACTGGTATTGTATATTGGACAGAAGGTTGGCTTGAGAATGAATGTGATTTTTACCTAGTCATGCCTTTCTCTGAGTGTATGCTTTGTGTGTTTTTCAGTTCTTCAGTGCCCTACTCCACAGCCAAAACACCTCACCCAGTGTTGACCCCAGTGGCTGCTAACCAAGCCAAGCAGGTAACTTACTGATTTTTACTTTTTTTTTTTTTTTTTTTTTGAGACAGAGTCTTACTCTGTCGCCCAGGCTCAAGTGCAGTGGTGCGATCTTGGCTCACCGCAACCTCTGCCTCCTGGGTTCAAGTGATTCTCGTGGCTCAGCCTCCTGAGTAGTTGGGATTACAGGCACCCACCACCATGCCCAGTCAATTTTTGTAGTTTTAGTAGAGACGCGGTTTCACCGCGTTGGCCAGGCTAGTCTCGAGCTCCTGACCTCAGATGATCCATCTGCCTCGGCCTCCCAAAGTGCTGGGATTACAGGTGTGAGCCACCGTACCCGGCCTGAGTTTTACTTTTAACATTCATGCCGTGTCTGTCTTTGTAAGTGAAGACCATACTGTTTTTAAGTCTTGACTTTGTTTAAATGAACCATAAGTCTGATAAAGGCCCATAATCCCTTCCCCACAATTTATGCCAGTCTTGACATGGCTGTTAATCAGGGTAGGTCAGTCAGGACCTGATACTGTCTTCATAGGCCATTTAAACATTCTGCACCTAGTAATTTGGGGTCATAATTCTAATACCATACATTTTTATATGAAGTATTTTGCTTTGCAGTTTACTTTCACATTATCTCAGTTAACCCATACAACAGCCGTGTACAGTGGGAGGATAGGTGTTTAGATATGTCTCACTGGTGAGGCAGCCTAGGCTTGAGTGACCAACGCAAACTCTCACGATTAGTAAATGGTGGAACCAGAGCTGGGACCCAAGGCTTCTGACTTCCTCCTGTCCATTGCTCGTTTCACTACACAGTTGAGTATCAATGTCTGGGGTATAGGTTATCTGGTTTTCTCCTGCAATCCCTGTTTGTCAGAGTTTGCATATTTTTAGTGATGTTATGTCTAGCTTGTCTAGCTTCAGGCTTTTGCCTGATAAACATTGTCCCTTAGAAAAATAGGTGATATTGCAAACAGTTAAACAATCCAGAAAAAAGTGATAGGGGATGGTTGGAAGGTCAGTCAGGCTAGTGCTGAAACTCTTCCTAAGAAGTTCTGGTTTCTCTCACTACTCTTACATCTGTCTCTGAGATGAGTAGTTTGTGTTAGAGATCAGAATTTGAGACTGGATATCAGGACTTGCCTATTTAAGTTCTCAAACTTGCCTCTGTTCCTTAGTTTACCATAACTTAAAATGGCATTTAAGCATTTAGCATTCGATCTTTCTTCTGGAGGTATTTGTGTTCACCATGGAAAACACATGATAAGGCATAAGTCATGGCGAGTGAAGGAACATTGACTGGAGATGGATAAGTCAGTTTTGCTTTTAACCTTATTGTACATGCTTTGAGAGCTAGAACCATTTTATTAATTTACTCCTTCATTAATTCATCTACCTAATAGTCAAGTGCTTTTGATGTGCTAAGCACTGTGCTAGGCACTGGGAAGATAGCCATGAACTAGGCCAGTGTGACTGCCTTCTTGGAGCTTGCAGAGTATTTCTATTTTCATCCTTTAATATGATCTTACATATGGTTAACTTAAATTGAGACCTTTTTTTTGTTTCCTTTTTCTTTTTGGTAATTTATCTAAAAGTATTTGTCCTTGCTTATTTTAAATTATATTTTTGTGTTTACATTTTACATATTTCTTTGTTACAAAGAATGGTTAGTGGTTTAACATAAACATTTTGCTTGCATTCTGTTATAGGGGTCTCTAATAAATTCCCTTAAGCCATCTGGGCCTACACCAGCATCCGGTCAGTTATCATCTGGTGACAAAGCTTCAGGTCAGTTTGCATTTTTGTTTTCTTGAAAAGTGAAAGAAGCACTCCACAATAGGGGTTATTGTTCTGGATCACTGAGACAGTTGCCATAGGAAACAGGAGTCACATTTGATGAGATCGGGAGCATTCAGGGTAGTATGACCATAGACAAGAGATCATATTTGAAAGCCGTCAGCTAATGAAGAATTTCTAGAAAATTAGTATGCCCTTCAATGGCTATGTAGACTTCTGAAATTTTTAGGTTAGTTTGAAAATGATAGAGCAATAGGAGAAAAACCTCCCTTTAAATTCTTTTCCTAAAATGGAGCAATAGTATTATCTTTTTCTTCCTTGCTGGATGATCACAGTTGAGAGGAATGGATCAGAATGCTAAACGCTATTTCTTCCACTAAAAGGAATTAAAAATTCTGTTGGTCCACAGTGACAGTTCAAAAGCCTATAAGGTAGAGAAAGTGAAACAGATTTGTAAGATCTCAGAGTATATAATGAGTCGATATTATGAGATTTTATGGCTTCACGTAACTTCTCCTACACTCACTCAAGCATAATTATTCTTAATTTAGTTTTCACAGTAACCATGAGTGTTTTGACCAGACACTTTGTCCAAGTGTCATTGCCCAAACCAACTTTATGCAGAATGTGGGTCTTCCTCAGTGTCCCCTTTTGTTGGCTCCTTTATTATAGCCTACCTAATTTGGCGTGTATTACTTCCTGCTGCAAGGGTCTTGTGCTGTCTGCAATACTGAATTTTTACAACACTGTTGATTCTGGCATTTGTTTCAATCATGCTCTTAAGTGGGCCTTCAAGCAAATTCTGTTAGAAATTGAACTTCATACATTAGCAGCCTGCGTCTCATAATCTTAATCATACAGTCATTCTGACTTTCTCTGTAATCCCAAACTTTCTGATTGGATACTGGATTTATCTTTAGTAGCTATTCCTTGCAGAAGGAAGCCATTATTGCATAAGCCAGAGTTGTATTCTAGAATTCGGAGTGATATGGAACCACAGTTGGTATCATGTACGCCTCACATGAGAAGGAGGTATCTAGCACTTCTCGACCGGGGCCTAAAGCTTTATGTTAAAAGGAAAATTATATAGTAGAACTGTCAAAGACTTGAGTATTTTACAAAAAGGTTTTGAAAGATCATATACTCTTTTTTCAAGGACTTCATTGGAGAGGTTTTTGTCACTCTTGGAGTTAGAATCAAAGAAACCTAAGGAACTTTGCTTTATGCATGTCTGGGCAAGTAGTGTGACTTGCAAGAAATTTCCGAGATTCACCATTCATTGCTGATCATGAAATCCTCTCTTTTGTTACGAGGTGTTCACTTCTGTTTTCACTTGCCAGGTAATCAAGGTTTAGAAAAGAACTTTTTTCTTTTGGTAGGAAAACTTCCCTGAAAGGTGCTGCTTAAGAGTTTGCAAAAAGTTTCTTTTTGAAAAAGAGCATTTCTAAAACCTCTAGAGAATAGTTCTCTTATTAGTAATGGAAATACCTTCATTGTTTTTCTGATTGTAAAACTATTACATGCCCAGAAAAAGCCTATGGTGTAGAGATATATAATGTAGAATGTGAAAGCTGCCCTATAGATTCTGTATTCCAGAGATCATGATTTCATGTATATCTCTTGAGGTTACTTCATTGTTTTTTAAAGAAAAATATCCTATATACTGTATATCCTATATATATTGATTTTGTAACTTATTTCCCCTTCTCTGCCCCCTCTTACAATAAATGTCTTGGTCTCTGCAGGTCTGATACAGATCCACCTTACTCATTTTAAGAGCTGTCTACAACCTCATTGTGTAGTTATACCCTGTTAAATTTAACTAGTACTCTGCTGATGATTTAGATTGTGACTTTTCATCCTGTACATTTTACATTGTATATCAGTAGTTTTAAAAATATTTGTACTGCCATCTACCCTGTGTTTGTTTATTTTAGAAGGTTGGTGTTTTTTTTTTCTTGTTGTTGTTTGGTTTAGTTTCGTTTGATTTGGGCTTTTAAATAGTTTTCCTCTTTCCTTTCCCCCTTTTGAAGTGGAGCAAGGCCAGGCCTGGTGGCTCATGTCTGTAATCCTAGCACTTTGGGAGGCCAAGGCAGGCGGATCACCTGAAGTCAGGAATTCGAGACCAGCCTGGCCAACGTGATGAAACCCTGTCTCTACTAAAAAAAAATACAAAAATTAGCCGGGCATGGTGGTGCATGCCTATAGTTCCAGCTGCTTGGGAGGCTGAGGCAGGAGAATTGCTTGAACCTGGGAGGCAGAGATTGCAGTGAGTCAAGATTGCGCCACTGCACTCCAGCCTGGGCGACAGAGCGAGACTCTGTCTCTAAATAAATAAATAAATAAAGTAGAGCAGTAGGGAAAAGATTGAAGATTGTACCCAAACTATAAGTAAGTAGTTAGAGTGAAATCGAACATGGGGAGAATGATGGATTGCACTTTTAACCTTTTTGCATGTCTCCATATTATAGCAATCATGTTTTACATCTGTAATTTTAAAAAAAGAACACGATTATTTGTTAAATGCCAACAAAATCTGTGGAAAATGCAGAAATGTATATAGAAGTAAACAGCCTTAAAGTCACTACTCAGAAATATTTAGCTTATGAACCTATTTCTCTTTTGGATTTTTGTCCTTCAGCATAGATTAATTTCAAATAATTATAAAGCTACATTATATATAGTTTTATTTACTTTTGTGGGGAGGGGGCTTAGCCTCACATTATAAGCATTTTCCCATACCATTGAAATATATAAGAGTGTACTTTTAAAACTGTACATTTAAACTATACTAGAATTATTTTGATATATTTTCTGTAAAGGAGAAGATGGCACACCTTAGACTGGAATTAACATTGACAGAGCCACGGAGCAATTTCAGAGACCTCAAACACAAGTGAGGCAACGTGCTCACTCCCCATGGCCACTGACGTGTCACAGAAGGCACATGTGGTGCTAAGCAGCACCTCACAGGCTGAGCTACAGGGAATTATACACTGGAACAGTGTTTCTGTCTTTTTGTAATATTCTTTTTTTTTTTTTTTTTTTTTTTTTTCCATAATTTCAGGGACAGCCAAGATAGAAACAGCTGTGACTTCAACCCCATCTGCTTCTGGGCAGTTCAGCAAGCCTTTCTCATTTTCTCCATCAGGGTCAGTAATGAACTTAAGTTTTATGGCAAATTACTAGCAATTAGCTTCCCCAAATCTTACAATTATAGATATATTTATTTACTTATTAAATGTGTATGAACCCAGAGTTCTTACCGTGGCAGTAATACATGTGATGATAGTGGCAATAGTTTAATGTTCTCATGTAAATCGATTTTCCCTTTGCAATTCAAGTTAATACTTGTTTGTTACATATTTGTGTATCTGTTTTGTTTTTTAGCCTAAGCCTCATTTTCTTTGAGTAATGAGTCTGCTAAATTCTGTAGTTCATCTAGTTTGTCACACTGAGATGTTTCCATTCTGACACCATTTTGGGGGCTAGATGTGACATTCAAATTGACTTTGCTGGACAAACATGGTGGCTCATGCCTATAATCCTAGTGCTTTGGGAGGCCAAGGTGGGAGGGATTGCTTGAGGCCAGGAGTTGGAGACTGACCTGGGCAACATAGTGAGACCTCATCTCTACAAAAAATTGAAAAATTAACCAGGTACGTTGGTTCACTTCTATAGTCCCAGCCACTTGGGAGGCTGAGGTGGGAGGATCCCTTGAGCCCGGGAGTTCGAGGTTACAGTGAGCTATGATCACACCATTGTACTCCAGCCTGGGCAACAGAGTGAAACCCCGTCTCCAAAAAAAAAAAAAAAAAAAAAAAAAAAGGCTTACTGCATCGAGAGTACAGTATACTAAACTTAGAGAATGTAATGAAAGATAATAGGCATTTGAAATTTGAGGTTTTATATAGATGTGGAGGAATCTGTTTCCGTTTCTTTAAAAAATAATAATAATAATGATGGCTGTACTTGTAAAGTTGAGTTGTTTTTAAAAATGAAAGAATCTTCTATACCTTATCTCAAGATGAGCCTTTGTTAAGGTGCCTGTTCTCTGTGCCCTGAGCGCTCATGTTGAAACCTGTGTGAGCTGCTGAAGCATTGGGTTAGACTCTGTGGAACTGAGATCAAAATGTGTCAAAAGGATTTTTTGCCATTGAAGCATTGTGCATTCAGTTCCTTAGAAAAGCCTCTTAAGTTCTTCAGTTTATGCTTTTGTAACTAGGAGCATATTAACCAGTCTCTTTTTCCTGATTTTAATATATTTTTTGAGTGTCCTTCAGCCTAAGGAGAAAAGAGGGTATTAGAATATTATTTGAGGGGGAAAGTAATACATATATTTTTTCTTTATTATAAATCATTATGTTTTATGCTTCCCAAAGGTAATTTGCAGCAAATTTTAAAGAGTAGGTCAATGCCAAGAATTATTGCATCCTTTACAGATGGCTAATAATCAGTCTTCTGTGAAATGATATTCTTCTTCCTTTTCTTTTTTTTTTTTTTTTTTTTTTTTTTTTTTTTTGGATTTTCAGGCAGAGTATCACTCCGTCACCCTGGTTGGAGCGCAGTGGTGAGATCTCAGCTCACTGCAATCTTCACCTCCCGGGTTCAAGTGATTCTCTTGCCCTAGCCTCCCAAGTAGCTGGGATCACAGGTGTGCACCACCACACCCAGCTAATTTTTGTATTTTAGTAGAGATGGGGTTTTTTCATGTTGCCCAGGCTGGTCTTGAACTCCTGGCCTCAAGTGATCCACCCGCCTTAGCCTCCCAAAGTGCTGGGATTGTAGGCACGAGCCACTGCACCTGGCCCTCTTCCCATTTTTAAAATAACCCAGAAAAGGTGGGGTCATTGAATCAATGGCTTGACACTATTAGATAAAATTTTTTCACTAAGAAAGGTTGTGTTTTTTTTTTTATTTTTAATATGATGGGCAAAGGTGTCTAAGTTATTACATTATTTAGTATATTTGATGTGCTTGGTTCGTTATATTTTAAAGCTAGTTTGAAATCTGCAATTTGAACTTTGCGTGTGTGTGTGTGTGAGATAGAGCAAGATTCTGTCTCAAAAAAAAAAAAAGGTGCAGTGGTACAGTCATGGCTCACTACAACCTCCACCCCCAGGACTGAAGTGATCCTCCTGCCTTAGCCCCCCGAATAACTGGGACTACAGGTGCGCGCCACCACACCTGGCTGATTTTTGTTTTTTAATTTTTCGGTTTTGGTTTTTGGGGGTTTTTGTTTTTGTTTGTTTGGTTTTTGGGTTTTTGTTTTTGTTTTGTAGAAACAGGGTTCCACCATGTTGCCTAGGCTGGTCTCAAACTCCTGGGCTCAAAGGATTAACCTGCCTCAGCCTCTCAAAATGCTGGGATGTGAGCCACCATGCCTGGCCTGAGTTTTTATCACAGTGAATAATCTGTTCTGATTCACACTCGCGTGGGATTTTCTTCCTTAGCTATGGTGTCTTCACTTACAGTGTAAAGAAAACGTACAAAAGGAGAGAGGAGATGGTGAAAGGAGTCACAAAGTTTTTGAACTAGATTTTCCTAGCCGTAAAACTCAGTTCTGTCAAAATGACTGAGTTAGGGCTTCTATTTCATTGTATCCATTGTTTTCCCTAGCAGTGTGGGGCTCTCTGACATGCTTGTTGGTCTTGGAGGGGTTCTGAGAGGCTCTCCCTAGTCTTAAGTGCTTCTGTCTTACCAGACCTTCCTTCTGTCCCCTCACTTAACAGACCATCTGCTCCGGCCACCATTCCCACATGCACATTTGTCATGTGTCTCTACTGCTGCAGCTTTGCTCATCTTGCAAGAAGTCCCCACTCAAACTTCTGCTACAGAAAGCCCAGCCATCCCCCAATGGGCTCTCAACTGCTATCCCTGTCGTATCTCACACACAAACTGCTTCTCTGCTTAGAGATCATAGAGTGGCCTTACTGCTTCTGAGATAGGTGCTTTGACTCTGTTGTCATTTATCTTCTAGATTGTAAATTCCTGAGGGCGGTTTGTATGAATGAATGATAAAATGGAATATTAAGAGGGCAATATTGTGCCTTGGTTTGTTCCTTTTTAATTTCTCTTTTTCCACTTGTTAGGACTGGCTTTAATTTTGGGATAATCACACCAACACCGTCTTCTAATTTCACTGCTGCACAAGGTACAGACTCTGTGTTGAGTAGCATTACTCATGTGTTTTCTCTAAATAAGTACAGGTTATTTTTGCCCACATGTTAGTATTTGACTTGTTCCTGAATCTTACTTACAGTATCTGCAATAAGCTCAGTGTTGATAATGTGCATTAGAAATATGCTTAATTTAAGAAACTGATGTGAAGGATTTCTATTTTTATAATTAAGGACAAGGAAAGGATTTGCTTCTAGAAAATCAGGGCTGTGCTTTAACATTTAAATGTTAACATGTGAATTAAAATTTCTCCATTTTTTGTCTGTAATTTAAAATTTCTTCAATTTATAGGGTGATTCTGTAGGGCAAGATAGACATGGTAATAGATAGACTGTAGAAATGAAAGACCAAACTCGTTTTTTTCCTTGATAACATACCAGCAAACACACTCATCCCATGCATGTTGTTAAAAATCCATCAATAGACTGGGCGCGGTGGCTCACGCCTATAATCCCAGCACTTTGGGAGGCCGAGGCAGGCGGATCACCTGAGGTCAGGAGTTCAAGACCAGCCTGACCAACATGGAGAAACCCCGTGTCTACTAAAAATACAAAATTAGCCAGCCGTGGTGGCGCATACCTATAATCCCAGCTACTCAGGAGGCTGAGGCAGGAGAATTGCTTGAACCTGGGAGGCAAGGTTGCAGTGAGCCAAGATTGTGCCATTGCACTCCAGCCTGGGCAACAAGAGTGAAACTCTGTGTGTCCCCCCCCCCCCCCGCGCCAAAAAATCCATCAATAGCATGTTTTTAACATTTAAAAGAATTTGAAGCCCTATAAAGAAACCAGATCTATTTGTTAAGTGCCTTTCAGTTATCCGTTTATGATTAAGTCTTTTATTTTATTTATTTATTTTGAGATGGAGTCTCACTGTTGTCATCCAGGCTGGAGTGTAATGGCGCAATTGCAGTTCACTGCAACCCCCACCTGCTGGGTTCCAGCGATTCTCCTGCCTCAGCCTCCCTAGTAGCTGGGATTACAGGCGCCCACCACCACATCCAGCTAATTTTTGTATTTTTAGTAGAGACAGGGTTTCACCATGTTGATTGATCAGGCTGGTCTCGAACTCCTGACCTCGTGATCCACGTGCCTTGGCCTCCCAAAGTGCTGGGATTACAGGTGTGAGCCACCACGCCCGGCCTCGTTACTCTTGTATTTATTAACCACTGTTGTTTGACCAGGCCTTATGGGTGCTTTACCCATATTTCCTGCGATCTTTGTAACAGCACAATGAAGGTAGGTATTGTAATGATCTAGATTTTCCAAATGGGGGAATTGAGGCTCAGAGAGGTAAAGCAACCTTTCCAGATTCACACAACCAGCGAGTGGCAGAGTGCATAGCTCCAGAGCCCATGTCCTTGACCACCAGACCGTACTGCCTCTGTCAAATAGCTGACTTAGTAGAGCACTAATAAGTAGCCATTAATTGTACATAAAAATGATTTTCTGTGGACTGACACTTTATTTGCTCATAAAAATGAAGGAAGAACTTCCATTTTGAATCAAGTCCTGGTCTATCAGGAGGTCCACAGGCCATTGCTGTGCTGAGGATGTTATTAAGGAAAGCACACAGCTAGGGTAAATTAAGGGAAGAGGCTTTTTTATTTCTCTTTGGGATAATATGTTAATTTCACATATTCTAGATATTTTGTATTTGTTGTGATTTAATGGTCATAAAAAAAGTATTTTTTCCTTTTCACCTCAGACGACTCAGAGCTGATGTTTGTGTGGAGAAGCACTCATTCCACCTCCTTAGAGAAAGCTGCTGTGAGAACAAGGCACCCTGACTCTGTAGAGGGAGGAGAGAAACTTTGGCTTAGAAACACAATCAGTGGAAATGTAATGGGTCATCTTTTGCTAAATCCAACCCATTTTCTGATTTCTTTTTCTTGCTAGGGGCAACACCCTCCACTAAAGAGTCAAGCCAGCCGGACGCATTCTCATCTGGTGGGGGAAGCAAACCTTCTTATGAGGCCATTCCTGAAAGCTCACCTCCCTCAGGAATCACATCCGCATCAAACACCACCCCAGGAGAACCTGCCGCATCTAGCAGCAGACCTGTGGCACCTTCTGGAACTGCTCTTTCCACCACCTCTAGTAAGCTGGAAACCCCACCGTCCAAGCTGGGAGAGCTTCTGTTTCCAAGTTCTTTGGCTGGAGAGACTCTGGGAAGTTTTTCAGGACTGCGGGTTGGCCAAGCAGATGATTCTACAAAACCAACCAATAAGGCTTCATCCACAAGCCTAACTAGTACCCAGCCAACCAAGACGTCAGGCGTGCCCTCAGGGTTTAATTTTACTGCCCCCCCGGTGTTAGGGAAGCACACGGAGCCCCCTGTGACATCCTCTGCAACCACCACCTCAGTAGCACCACCAGCAGCCACCAGCACTTCCTCAACTGCCGTTTTTGGCAGTCTGCCAGTCACCAGTGCAGGATCCTCTGGGGTCATCAGTTTTGGTGGGACATCTCTAAGTGCTGGCAAGACTAGTTTTTCATTTGGAAGCCAACAGACCAATAGCACAGTGCCCCCATCTGCCCCACCACCAACTACAGCTGCCACTCCCCTTCCAACATCATTCCCCACATTGTCATTTGGTAGCCTCCTGAGTTCAGCAACTACCCCCTCCCTGCCTATGTCCGCTGGCAGAAGCACAGAAGAGGCCACTTCATCAGCTTTGCCTGAGAAGCCAGGTGACAGTGAGGTCTCAGCATCAGCAGCCTCACTTCTAGAGGAGCAACAGTCAGCCCAGCTTCCCCAGGCTCCTCCGCAAACTTCTGACTCTGTTAAAAAAGAACCTGTTCTTGCCCAGCCTGCAGTCAGCAACTCTGGCACTGCAGCATCTAGTACTAGTCTTGTAGCACTTTCTGCAGAGGCTACCCCAGCCACCACGGGGGTCCCTGATGCCAGGACGGAGGCAGTACCACCTGCTTCCTCCTTTTCTGTGCCTGGGCAGACTGCTGTCACAGCAGCTGCTATCTCAAGTGCAGGCCCTGTGGCCGTCGAAACATCAAGTACCCCCATAGCCTCCAGCACCACGTCCATTGTTGCTCCCGGCCCATCTGCAGAGGCAGCAGCATTTGGTACCGTCACTTCTGGCTCATCCGTCTTTGCTCAGCCTCCTGCTGCCAGTTCTAGCTCAGCTTTCAACCAGCTCACCAACAACACAGCCACTGCCCCCTCTGCCACGCCCGTGTTTGGGCAAGTGGCAGCCAGCACCGCACCAAGTCTGTTTGGGCAGCAGACTGGTAGCACAGCCAGCACAGCAGCTGCCACACCACAGGTCAGCAGCTCAGGGTTTAGCAGCCCAGCTTTTGGTACCACAGCCCCAGGGGTCTTTGGACAGACAACCTTCGGGCAGGCCTCAGTCTTTGGGCAGTCGGCGAGCAGTGCTGCAAGTGTCTTTTCCTTCAGTCAGCCTGGGTTCAGTTCCGTGCCTGCCTTCGGTCAGCCTGCTTCCTCCACTCCCACATCCACCAGTGGAAGTGTCTTTGGTGCCGCCTCAAGTACCAGTAGCTCCAGTTCCTTCTCATTTGGACAGTCTTCTCCCAACACAGGAGGGGGGCTGTTTGGCCAAAGCAACGCTCCTGCTTTTGGGCAGAGTCCTGGCTTTGGACAGGGAGGCTCTGTCTTTGGTGGTACCTCAGCTGCCACCACAACAGCAGCAACCTCTGGGTTCAGCTTTTGCCAAGCTTCAGGTAAGAATTTGTGGAAGCTTTTTACTTGTTTCCCTCTCTGCTATTTGAAACATTAGCAACAGACCCCTATTACTTTTGTAATTAAAGGGGAGACTCAAAACCCAAAAATAATCTGTAGGTTAAAGAAGACAGCTTGGAGCACATGTGGTCTCAGGAACTTGTTTGGCCTAATTGGCTGGATCTGTTACAGCTTAATGCAGCTCCAGTTTTGCTTCTTAGCAAATTGTCCACTCTGCAAGCCACCAGAGTGTGTTTCATGGGGAAAAATCAAGCATCTTTAGTTGAGGTCCTGCCAAGTAATTTAATGAACAATAAATAGGAAATTTCAAATTTGGAAGGCACTGTAGAGATCATTATACCCAAAGCTGTCAAGCCTCAAGGAGACTGCTCTAATGTCAGGATAGTGCCAGTGGAACCAGCAGGAGAGTCCAAGTGTCATCATAGTCCACCGCCCTGCCAGTGTTTTCTGTCTCCTCTGACACCATCTTTCTTACTGTAATGGCAGTCACTGACATTTGATTTGGGTTCTTTTCTATTTTCAGTGTTATGACTTTTTGTAAAAACTACAGTTTACTGTTTTTGACAGTGAAACCTAATTCTTCTCTATTGCATTTTCCATTTTAGCAGCTACTTTTACTTCTAAAAGTTATCAATAAGCAAGGCAATTTGAAAATCTGTCCTGAGATTTGCTTTCTGAAAGTTATCTTATGAAAGGTAATTCTTCAGCAATAGACTCTAGGAGAAAAGCAAGGATCAATGATTTCATGGTGGGCAAGATTACTAGTAACTGCTAATTCATTATTCGATGATAACTTGAAAATGGTTCATAATTTATTAGAAAGGAAACATTTTCCTTTCTTCAACAAATGTTTGTTACACTCCTCCTAAATTCAGCTATAAGGACACGGTGTTGAAAAGACAGATATGGTTTTGAGACCTACCCAATGCCCTGTGAAGAGGCCAGAGGGCTGCTGAATGATGGGAAATGTGCTGACTTGGTCCAGAAAATGGGCAAGGAGAAGGCCCTATGAGTCTTAGAGGAGAACGTGTAACACAGTCCGTATCACTACCACACCATTTGCTCTGCAGTCAGAACCTGAGAAGACCTCATGCACAGGCATGGTCATACTATTTCAACAAATTCAGAACCCAGGAAGGAATCTTCTTTCATTTAGTATCTGTGCGGAAAGGTATCTGAGCTGTCTACTTCAGCCCTAGTTGAGGAATTGAGTCTTGTCTAAGCTCACCTACCCAATCAGTGACAGAAATGAGAATAGAGGCTGGGCATGGCGACTGACGCCTGTAATCCCAGCAATTCGGGAGGCCGAGGCAGGGGAATCACTTGAGGTCAGGAGTTTGAGACCAGCCTGGCCAACATGGTAAAACCCCATCTCTACTAAAAACACAAACATTGCCGGGCGCGGTGGCTCACGCCTGTAATCCTAACACTTTGGGAGGCTGAGGCAGGTGGATCACCTGAGGTCAGGAGTTTGAGACCAGCCTGACCAACATGGAGAAACCCCATCTCTACTAAAAACACAAAATTAGCTGGGCGTCGTGGCAGGCGCATGTAGTCCCAGCTACTTGGGAGGCTGAGGCAGGAGAATCGCTTGAACCTGGGAGGCGGAGGTTGCAGTGAGCCAAGATCGTGCCACTGCACTCCAGCCTGGGCAATAGAGCGAGACTCCATCTCCATTAAAAAAAGAAAAGAAACGAGAGTAGAACTCCTGCCTTCTCACTCCTTGTCTGGAGCTCTTTTGTTGTATAGTTCTGCCTCATGTTCCCAGGCCCTGTTCAGCTCAGCACTTCAACCATGTTATGCCATCTGGAAGAAAGATAAACTACCCTGAAAAGAATGTGGTATCTGAGATTCAGAAGAAACCGAGGAGTAGAAATATTCATAATATTAAGTCATTAGAAAGAATTTCTGGTCACTGAAAGTGAGGATAAACTATTCTTAGCCCCCATCCACGTGGGGTTTGGTAGGAGAGGATTCATTCCCCAGGGCTTTAGAACTTACACTATTTTAAAATGTTAGCAATGAAAAATGGTCTTTAAAGTATTTGCTCAGACTTTTCTCCATACTAGATGAGGAAACATTTTATTCATAAGTTGATTTATTATGGGCTATCTTAGCACACCTGAATGTCATTTAAAAAGAAATAAACTTAGGCTGGGTGCGGTGGCCCACACCTGTAATCCCAGCACTTTGGGAGGCCAAGGTGGGTGGATCATGAGGTCAAGAGATCAAGACCATCCTGGCCAACATGGAGAAACCCCGTCTGTACTGAAAATACAAAAATTAGCTGGGCGTTGGGAGGCGGAGCTTGCAGTAAGCCGAGATCGCGCCACTGCACTCCAGCCTGGGCGACAGAGCAAGACTCCATCTCAAAAAAAAAAATTAGCTGGGCATGGTGGCACACACTTGAGTCCCAGCTACTCAGGAGGCTGAGGCAGGAGAATCGCTTGAACCTGGGAGGCAGAGGTTGCAGTGAGCCAAGATCCCACCATTGCACTCCAGCCTGGTGACAGAGCGAGACTCTGCCTCAAAAAAAAAAAACAACAAAACTTTAATGTTGTAAAAGACTCATCCAATCCAAATTGAATTTTTGTTTTCTTTGTATTTTACAGGTTTTGGGTCTAGTAATACTGGTTCTGTGTTTGGTCAAGCAGCCAGTACTGGTGGAATAGTCTTTGGCCAGGTAAATATGCATTTGTCTTCATTCACGTCAACATGTATCAAACCCATTCAGTTTTCTTCACTGTAATGTAGTCAGTTCGTGTTGTATATCTAAATCCAGCAAATATAGCCCTGTGTGGTTCTTAAGCTGTACTCCCTTCAGCTGCCTTGGAGGTGCAGAAGTCTCAGCCTCTGATTAAAGAGGATCACTAGAATTTTGATCCTCCTTCCACAGTCTTCTGAGAAAGTATTTTGAAAGCACATTGCCTGATTCCTTTTTTCTTTAGACACAGGATCTTGCTGTGTTGCCCAGGCTGTAGTACAGTGGCACAATCACAGCTGACTCTAGCCATAAACTCCTGGGCTCAAGCAATCCTCCTGCCTCAGCCTCCCCAGTAGTTTGGATTGTAGGCATGCACCATAACACTCAACTAATTTTTTATTTTTGTAGAGACACAGTCTCGCTATGTTGTCCAGGCTGGTCTCAAACTGCTGGCCTCAAACGATCCTCCACGCCTGACCACATTGCATGATTTCTATCAGTCCCCTGCCTGTTAGGCCAAGGGTTGACAAACTTCAGTCTGTGGGCTAAATACACTGTTTGGCTTTTGGGGGGTTTGTTGTTGTTTAACTTCTTAATCTAAGAATGGTGTTTGTGTGTGTGTGTCTATATGTATACATATATGTGTGTACACACACACACACACATATATATATTTTTGTTTGTTTGTTTGTTTTTGTTTTTGGAGGCAGAGTCTAACTCTGTTGCCCAGGCTGGAGGACAATGGCACAATCTTGGCTCACTGCAACCTCCGCCTCCCAGGCTCAAGTCATCCTCCCACCTCAGTTTCCCAAGTAGCTGGGACTATAGGTTTGTGCCACCACACCCAGCTATTTTTTTTTTTCTTTTTGTGTTTTTGGTTGAGACGGGGTTTTGCCACGTTGCCCAGGCTGGTCTGGTCTCTTAACTCCTGAGCTCAGGGTGATCTGCCCGCCTTGGCCTCTCAAAGTGCTGGGATTACAGGCGTGAGCCACTGTGCCTGGCCAGTTTTTATATTTTTAAGTGGTTGTTTAAAAAGAAAAAAGAGGAAGAAGATTTGGCAACATATATATCCCCTCTGCTACGCTATATGTAGCCCAGAGACTCCTTTTGGTGAACTGAGCTGTTTGATTTTATGTAGCTAGCAGTTATCTATGTGCCAGGCATAATTTTAAGTCTTTTATTTATTTATTTATTTATATTTATTTATTTACTTATTTTTTTTTTTGAGACCGAGTGTCGCTCTTTTGCCCAGGCCGGACTGCAGTGGTGCTATCTCGGCTCACTGCAAGCTCTGCCTCCCAGGTTCACGCCATTCTCCTGCCTCAGCCTCCCGAGTAGCTGGGACTACAGGTGCCCACCACCGCACCCAGCTAATTTTTTGTATTTTTAGTAGAGACGGGGTTTCGCTGTGTTAGCCAGGATGGTCTCGATCTCCTGATCTCGTGATCCGCCCACCTCAGCCTCCCAAAGTGCTGGGATTACAGGCGTGAGCCACTGTACCCAGCCAATTTTAAGTCTTTTATACAAATTAACTCATGTAAGCATCACAGCACCTCCATAAGATAGGTGCGATTATTATCGCCATTTAAGAGATGAGGACACCGAAGGCCCAGAGAGGTTAAATTGACTGTTACATCAGACACCGGCTGCATTTAGATCATTTAGATCATAGTAACCTCCTAAGGAGCCCTTATGAAGAAAGATACCCTAATTTATCAGAAAGGATTGTGACTTTCTGAAGGTAGAATTTGTATTAGTCCGGCAGTTAATAAAGTGGTAGGCATAATATATGTTTCTTATACATCTTCAGGAAGAAATTTTCTTTATCATCTCTGTTTTCCTTTGAAGATAGGCTCTGTCCTAGTCAGTGATCTTTCTTAAGAGAGAAGTGAAACTTCTGATTTCCAGTTTCTGGTAGTAGAGGACTAAGTCATTCAAGGGAACCAAGTTCCCTACTGAAAACTACTAAAAAATGCTAGATAAAACATAAAAACCTTGTCTTTAAAAGCACCAATAAACTAACAAGGTATTTTACCAAGCCAAAAGGAAAATGGGGACCTAGAGAAGTGGAGCCCAGAAGCCAGTTGTGCCCTGACAGCATTTACTAATCTGAGAAAATGTGAATTTTCTATTTAATAACCCCAAAGGTAAAGGGACAAAAATCACCAACTAAGATATGCACAAAGTGGGGAGTCTAAAAGAGACCCTTCAGCTGGGACTCCATGTTGACAGGTCTCAGCCCCTGACTAGACTGATATGGTTCCAGAGTGATGCTGCCTCCAGGTGTCTGGCAGAGGCAGCGCAGGCCCACCCTGAAGGAAAGGAACTTTACTTAGCCTTCGAATTACTCTTACAAGTAATTTCTGTCCCTCAATGAGACACACAAGGAAACCAGGAACTATGAGCAAGAGCCAGAATAAGCGTCAGAAATCACCTTTGCACAGACTACCTAAACTGTAAATCAGCTGGGGCTTACAGAGTTTAGAAGAAATCAAAGACAAACTTGAAAATACCAGTAAGGAATATAAAATCTTAAGAAGTGTCATAGCAAATTTGAAGAAGAACCAAATAGAATTTCTAGGAAAATGTAATGATTAAACTCAGGTGTAAACTCAGTGGCTGTATTTGGAGCAGATTAGACCCACTGAAAGGAGCAGTGGTGCTCTAGAACAGAATGTGGTAGTCAGCGTTTCCAGCTTTGAGGGCTATCGATAGCCTCTGTCAGAAGCACTTAACGCTGCCATTGTAGTGCAGAAGCAGCCGTAGACAATATGTAAACGAATGCGCATGATTGTGTTCAGTAAAGCTTTGTTTACAAAAACAGGCAGTGAGCTGGATTTGGCCCCTGCGCTGTAGTTTGCTGACCTAACTAGAAGGTAGGTTAAGGTGAGTTACCTGGAATGCATCACAGAGAGCGAAATGAAAGATACAAAAGAGAAAAAATCCTGTAGGAGAAAATCCAACACACATTTAATCAGAGTCCCAGAAGGAGAAGAGAGAAAGACAGAACCTTCCAAAACTAATCGATAATAGTAATCCACAGATTCAGAAGCCCAACAAGTGCCAAACGAGAATGCATAAAAGGAAACTGATTCTAAGACCTGTCCTAGTGATACTGAAGAACACCAAAGATGAAATATTAAAAGCAACTAGAGAAAAAAGACAGATTATCTTCTAGGGTGCCATAGGCAGACTGACAGCAGACTTTTCAGCAATGACCATGAAAGCCAGAACTGGCCACCTAGCATTTCTAAATCCAGCAAAAAAATATCTATAAAGAATGAAGAGAAATCAAGACTTTTTTTCAGATAAGCAAATACTGAAATAATTTATGTCTAGCAGACCTGACTCCAGTCTGGGCGACAGAGCAAGACTCCATCTCAAAAAACAAAAGAAATTCTAAGAGATACTGTTTGGAAAGAAGGAAAATTTGACCTCACTAAAATTATGGCCCTCTTAATTTTAGGGTAAAACAAGCCATTAAATAGGAAAATTGTAGCCTATGTAACCAACAGTGTAATTGTATTCAGAATATGTAAAGCTTTCCTATAGTTCAAAAAGAAAGACAGCTATACCCAAATTAAATTAAAAGGCTGACAGTACCAAGTATTGGTGAGGAAGAAGAGCAACTGGGAACTCATATTGCTAGTGAGAGTGTAAATTCATATTAACCACTTTGGAAAACCATTTGGCAGTATCAAAACTAATATACAAAATCCCTCTTGGCCCAGCAAATCTACCCTGAATATGTAACCAACAGAAATGAGTGCCTTTGTTCACCAAAAGATATTGATAAGAATGTTCACAGCAGAATATTCTTAATAGCTAAACACAGGAAACAGCCCAAATGCTTATGAGCTAAAGAATGCATAAATAAATTGTGGTATATTCATACAGCCCAATACTACAGAGAAATAAAATGTACTGCTCCTATAGCTGGCCTAGGTTTGTTTTTTTGTTGTTGTTTTGTTTTTGAGACGGAGCCTTACTCTGTTGCCCAGGCTGGAGTGTGGTGGCATGGTCTTGGCTCACTGCAACCTCTGCCTGCTGGATTCAACCTCAGCCTCCCGAGCAGCTGGGATTATAGGTGCCCACCACCACGCCCAGCTAATTTTTGTATTTTTAGTAGAGACAGGGTTTCGCCATGTTGGCCAGGCTGGCCTTGAACTCCTGAACTCAGGTGATCTGCCCACCTCGACTTCCCAAAGTGCTGGGATTACAGTCATGAGCCACCATGCCCAGCCTAAATTTGTTTTTTAAAGAAATTCGTGCACGTATGTATCAGGATACAAGTGTATTCATAGCAACATTGTTATAATAGCTTACAACTAGAAGCAGCCCAAATGTTTGTCAGCATTCATATGGGTAGGTAAATTTACATTATTCCACATAGAATTTTTTTCTTTTTTCTTTTTTTTTTTTTTGAGACAGGGTTTTACTCCTGTCGTCAAGGCTGGAGTGCAGTGATGCGATCTCCACTCACTGCAACCTTTGCCTCCCAGGCTCAAGTGATTCTCCTGCCTTAGCTACCCAAGTAGCTGAGACTACAGGTGCACACACTGTGCCTGGCTAATTTTTTGTATTTTTTTGTAGAGACGGGGTTTCACATGTTGCCCAGGCTGGTCTTGAACTCCTGGGCTTAAGCAATCTGCCTGCCTCGGCCTCCCAAAGTGCTGAGATTAGAGACATGAGCCACTGTGCCCAACCCTCTTTTCTTTTTTTTTGAGACAGGATCTCACTCTGTCACCCAGGGTGGAGTGCAGTGGCACAGTCACAGGTAACTGCAGCCTTGATCTCCTGGGCTCAAGCAGTCCTCCTATCAGTTCTCCAGAATAGCTAGGTCCACAGGTGCACCACCACGCCCAACTAATTTTTTCAGTTTTTTGTAGAGATGGGGTCTCACCGTATTGTCTAGGCTGGTCTGTAACTCCTGGCCCAAGTGATCCTCCCACCTGGACCTCCCAAAGTGCTGATGAGATTACAGGCATGAGACACCATACCTGGTCTCATAGTAGAATATTATCCAGCTATGAAAAGGAGCAGATTTCAGCTCCATGTATAACTAACAAGCACAATGTTGAGCCAAAGAAATAGAAAACATCACTGTGATAAACTCCATATTGTTACTTCCCCTTCCACTCCGTATTCTTCCACCACGGAAATTATGTATGCAATTGGAAGGGCCAAAGATTGAAATCAAGGTTTTTTCTATGATGGCAGGGGCCTTATTGTTTTTATTGATTGCTGTATCTCCAATGCTTAGGACTATGTCTGGCACATGATAGGCATTGTGGAAATGAATGAACTTTCAGGTAGCAGAAGTATCCTCAGAAAACTCTAAAGATGCTAGGCAGATTCTGGCTAGGATGTAAAAGAATATAGAAAACCTTCACTGCCATAATAACACCAAGAAAAATCCAGATGATGTAGAAGTCACACTTACTCTGGCAGTATTGGAATTATTTACTGCTGTATAACAAATTGCCTCAAAACCTAGTAGCCTGCAACAGCTACTTATTTATTATAGTCTTGGATTCTGTAGGTCATAACTTCAGATGGACTTAGTAGGGATGGCTTGTCTTCACAGTATCTGTGATCTCAGCTGGAAGAAGGGAAGACTGGAGGCAGGAGTCATCTGAAGGCTCACTCTGATGTCAGTGGTTGGCTTGGCTGTTGGCTCAGACCTTAGCTGGAGCTGTTAGCTGAACACCTACATTTGGCCTATGTAGCCTGGGCTTCCTCACAACGTGGTGGCTAGGTTCCAAGGAGGAACATTCCAAGAAAGAGGAAGAGCCATGCTGAAGCTGTATAACCTTTTATGACCTATCCTCAGAAGTCACAGAACATCACTTAGGCTGCATCCTCTTCATCAAGGCACTCACAAAGTCCCATCCAGGTTCAAGAGGAGATACAGAGGCCGCCTCTTGCTCTAGAAGAGCATATGTGACTAGAAGTATTGCTGTGATCATCTTTGGAAAATATCTGTCATAATGGGACCATTGAAGAGTGGCAGAAAGCCTTGTTGAACTGGTTTCCAGAGAGTGGAGCCCATCATAGGTGTGAGCACTGTGGCACAGCAGCTGCTGGGGGCAGATGCCAGGTCTGGGTTTGAGCAGGTAGTAGAGAGGACTTGCCAAAGACTGAGAAAATGTACTGGCTGGAGAAGGAGCTGTTGGCAGTGATGGGGGCAAGCAAAATAAATGACCAGTAATTACATGAAAAGGTGATCAAGTAGCATTAAACTAATGAGGGAAATGAAAATCAAAACCACAATTAGATAAGATACCACTTCACACCCCCTAGGATGGCTATCATTTAAAAAGTAAAAAATAAAAATAACCAGTGTTAGCAATGATACAAAGAAATTAGAACCCTCATACATTGCTGATGGGAATGCAAAATTGTGCAGCTACTATAGTTTGGTGGTTTCTCAAAAAGCTAAATATAGTACTTCTACCATATGACCCAGCAATTCTGCTCTGGGGTAGAATACCCAAAGGAATTGAAAAAAAGGGATTCGAACAAATACTTGTACATCAATGTTCATTGCAGCATTATTCACAGTAGCCAAAAGGTGGAAACAACCCAAGTGTCAAACAGCAGATGAATGGATAAACAAAATGTGGTATATACATTCCATGGGATATTTTTCAGCCATAAAAAGGAGTGAAGTTCTTGGCCGGGTGCAGTGGCTCACGCCTGTAATCCCAGCACTTTGGGAGGCTGAGGCGGGCGGATCACGAGGTCAGGAGATCGAGACCATCCTGGCTAACACAGTGAAACCCTGTCTCTATTAAAAATACAAAAAATTATCCAGGCGTGGTGGCGGGTGCCTGTAGTCCCAGCTACTCGGGAGGCTGAGGCAGGAGAATGGCATGAACCCAGGAGGCAGAGCTTGCAGTGAGCCGAGATCGCGCCACTGCACTCCAGCCTGGGCGACAGAGCGAGACTCCGTCTCAGAACAAAACAAAACAAAAACAAAAGGAATGAAGTTCTCGGCTGGGCATGGTGGCTCACACCTTTAATCCCAGCACTTTGGGAGGCTGAGGCAGGCATATCATGAGTCAAGAGATGGAGACCATCCTGGCCAACATGGTGACACACCGTCTCTACTAAAAACAAAAATTAGCTGGGCATGGTGAAGCTCGCCGGTAGTCCCAGCTACTTGGGAGGCTGAGGCAGGAGAATCGCTTGAACCCAGGAGGCGGAGGTTGCAGTGAGCCGAGATCACGCCACTGCACTCCAGCCTGGGCGACAGAGTGAGACTCCATCTCAAAAAAATAAATAATAAAAAGGAATGAAGTTCTCATTCATGCTACATATAGATAAACTTTGAAAACCATATGCTAAGGCTGGGCGCAGTGGCACACACACCTGTGATCCCAGCACTTTGGGAGGCTGGGATGGGCAGATTGCTTGAGCTCAGGAGTTTGAGACTAGCCTGGGCAACATGGCAAAATTCCATCTCTACAAAAAAAAAGACCCACAAGTTGGCTGGGCGTGGCAGTGCATGCCTGTAGTCCCAACTACTAAGGAGGCTGAGGTGGGAGGATCACTTGAGCTCGGGAGGTCAAGGCTGCTGCAGTGAGCTATGTTCCTATCACTGCACTCTGGCCTGGGTGACAAAGTGAGAACCCTGTCTCAGTCAGTCAAATTTATTTATTTATTTAGAGACGGAGTCTTGCTCTGTCGCCCATGCTGGAGTGCAGTGGCACAGTCTCAGCTCACTGCAACCTCCGACTCCCAGGTTCAATCAATTCTCCCACCTCAGCCTCTCAAGTAGTAGCTGGGACTACAGGTGTTCACTGTCACACCTGGCTACTTTTTGTATTTTTAGTAGAGTTGGAGTTTCACCATGTTGGCCAGGCTGGTCTCGAACTCCTCACCTTAGGTGATCTGCCTGCCTCGGCCTCCCAAAGTGCTGGGATTACAGGCGTGAGCCACTACACCTGGCCTCAGTCAGATATAAAAATTAAAAACTCAGATTGGGATCTGAAAGACTTGTAAGTGCAACAATAATTTATTCAGCATACATATCCTCCAGCTCTCCCCCGCTAATCCTCCCCAACTTTGCAAAGAAAAAGGAACTAAAGCAGCACTAAAAAGTAGAAAGAACTCACAGGGTCTTACATTCTCCTGTTTTCTGGAACTCTTGTTTGAAAGGTGATACTTCCTCTTGCCTCCCACCTCAGATACTTACAGACCAATAACCTAAAACCTAAGTGGAGACTGTTGGGCTAACCAGAGGTGAGCTCAGTCTTCTTAAATCTGTGACTCTGTTCCAGATCAACCCTTAGTGAAATCTGAATAATTATTTCCTCACTTTAATCAGACGAAATGGGAGCTCTCACTCTCTAGGAAAAGCATTAATGTTCTTCAGTCACCACTGTTCTTCCATAATACAAACATACAGAGCAACCAAAAAAGAGAGTGACACCCACAATTAAATTTTTAAAATCAGCAAAAACCAACCTATAGATGATTCAGATATTGGAACTGGAGACAGACTTTAACTGTCATGTTCATAGGGCTTATGGGAAAATAGTTGAAACAGTGGTTGAATAAGGAATCTCAGCAGAGAAATGGAAGCTTAAAAAAACCAATGGAAAGGCCGGGCACAGTGGCTCACGCCTGTAATGCCAGCACTTTGGGAGGCCAAGGCGGGCGGATCACGAGGTCAGGAGTTCAAGACCAGCCTGGCCAACATAGTGAAACCCCATCTCTACTAAAAATACTAAAATTAGCCGGCATGGTGGCGCGCCCCTGTAGTCCCAGCTACTCGGGAGGTTGAGGCAGGAGAACCACTTGAACCCAGGAGGCAGAGGTTGTGGTGAGCCGAGATCACACCACTGCACTCCAGCCTGGGAAACAGAGCGAGACTCCATCTCAAAAAAAAAAACAAAAACGCAAGTCGTTATCTGTATTTGAAGTTTAAATCTAGTACGTGAAATAAAAAACAAAATAGGCTTAACAGCAGAGTGAATACTACAAAAGAACAGTGAACTCGAAGACGTATCAATAGAAATTATCTAAAATGAAGGTCAGAGAGATGGAAAAAAAATGGATAGAGCATTTCTACGATCTATGCAACAATATCAGGCAGTCCAATATATGTGTAATCAGAGTCCTAGAAGGGTAGGAGACAGAATGGGTAGGATAAATTCACAAAAGAAGTGCAAAACTTATACAATGAATACTATAAAACATTGTTGAAATTAATGACAACCTAAATAAATGAAAATACATCCCATATTCATGGATCAGAAGACTCAACATTTTGTTAAAATGGAATACTCTTAGCTAGTAAATTGTAGAACCAGTACTGAAACCAAGGTCTGTTCAAATTAATTTAATCATTCATATAGGAATTCATGGTGAGTAGGACAGGCAAAGGTGGCTGTGTTCATGGAGCCTCCATTAGATGGAGGGAGTCATTCTTTAATAAAACGGTATAATTTCAGATAGTGTTAAGTACTGTGAAATAAAGCATGATGTGATAATAATTGGGGAAGATGGTTTAGGTTAGATGGTCAGGAAATGCCTCTCTGAAAAAGTCTCATAAATGTCTCTTTTTCTTTTTACATTTTGTTTTCTTGAATTAGGACCAAATAAAGGCCACACATTGAGATTGCTTGCTATGTCTCTTAAGTCTCTTTATGTATAGGTTCCTCTTTCATATCTCGCTTTTGAATTTTTCCTGGTAATTCAGTTGTTGAACAAAGCTGGTCATTTGTCCTGTGGCGTTTCCCATGATCTGGTTTCTGACTGCACAGCTTCCAAGTGAATGCCATCTGTTGCGGGAAGTCAGGGACCCCAAATGGAGGGACCTGCTGAAGCCGTGACAGAAGAACATAAATTGTGAAGATTTCATGGACATTTATTAGTTCCCCAAATTAATACTTTTGTAATTTCTTACGCCTGTCTTTACTACAATCTCTGAACATAAATCGTGAAAATGTCATGGACGTTTATCACTTCCCTGATCAGTACTCTTGTGATTTCCTATGCCTGTCTTTACTTTAATCTCTTAATCCCGTCATCTTCATAAGCTGAGGATGTATGTTGCCTCAGGACCCTGTGATGATTGCATTATCTGCACAAATTGTGGAGCATGTGTGTTTGAACAATATGAAATCTGGGCATCCAAAAGGAACAGGATGGCTGCGATTTTCATGGAACAAGGGAGATAACCATTGGGCCTGACTGCCTGAGGGGCTGGACAGAACAGAGTCATATTTCTCTTCTTACAAAACCGAATAGGAGAAATAACACTGAGTTCTTTTTCTCAGCAAGGAACAGCCCTGAGAAAGAGAATGCATTCCTAGGGAGAGGTCTCTAAAATGGCCACTCTAGGAGTGTCTGTCTTACACGGTTGTAGATGAGGGATGAAACAAGCCCCAGTCTCCTGTGGCACCCCAGGCCTCTTAGGATTGGGAAATTCCTGCCTAGTAAATTTTAGTCAGACCGATTGTCTGCTCTCAAACCCTGTCTCCTGATAAGATGTTATCACTGATAATGCATGCCCAGTGGGACATGAAACTTCATCAGCAATTCTAATTTCACCCTGGTCCTGTGATCTCGCTCTGCCCCATTTGCCTTGTGATATTTTATTGCCCTTGAAGCATGTGATCTCTGTGACCCACACCCTATTCATACAACCCTCCCCTTTTGAAATCCATAATAACTTACTGGTTTTGTGGCTCAGGGGGCATCACGGAACCTGCCAACATGTGATGTCTCCCCTGGACACCCAGCTTTAAAATTTCTCTCTTTTGTGTTCTTTCCCTTTATTTCTCAGACTGGCCGACACTTAGGGAAAATAGAACGTATGTTGAAATATCGGGGGCTGGTTCCCCGATAGCCATCCTCAGCCCTCTGTTACTTCCTCTGCAGTGGTGGTTGGGTCTAGAGGCTTGAGGAGAGTCAAGTTAATTGTTTTTGGCAATATTGTAAGTCTGGATCTTAAACACTTACTCCTTACTCCTTACACTATATTAAGGCATTATTGTTAAAATTTTCGGATATAATGGTCATGTAGTGATGGTTTTTTTTATAGATTTATACAGGAAAATTAGTGGATGAAATGATATGTCTGAGATTTGCTCCACTGTAATAAAGGATGAGAAGTACTTGGGGGTAAAGACAAAATCTGACAGGCCATGAGTTGAGCATTGTTGAATCTGGCTGATGGGTGTCTGGAGGGTTCATTATACTCTTCTGTCTGCTTTTTGTAGTTTTTAGATTTTCCATAATTTTGTAGTTTTTAGATTTTCCATAATTTTATGTTTTAAAGCCTGTTGTTATTTATCTCAATTAAAATGAATGGAATTCTCTCTCACCCATTTATGAGGATGCAATAACTATCAATTCATGTTGACTTCAGTAAAATATGTTAGTGATCTACTTCATTTTCATGGGAAGCCATTATTTATCAAATCACTTTTTTTTTTTTTTTTGACGGTGTTTCGCTCTTGTTGCCCAGACTGAAGTTCAATGGCACTATACTGGCTCACTGCAACCTCTGCCTCCCGGGTTCAAGCGATTCTCCTGCCTCAGCCTCCCAGGTAGCTGGGATTATAGGAATGCACCACCACGCCCAGCTAATTTTGTATTTTTAGTAGAGACAGGGTTTCTCCATGTTGGTCAGGCTGGTCTTGAGCTCCCGACCTCAGGTGATCCACCTGCCTCGGCCTCCCAAAGTGCTGGCATTATGGGCATGAGCCGCTGCACCCAGCCTGTCAAATCACATTTTAAAAATTAAGCTGAACCATTTGAGGTTTCTGAGCTTTTTCAGGCAAAATGCTCATATACTGGCAATTTTCTGTGTTTCAGCCTGATGCATGGACGTCAGCTAAGCAGTCAAATACCTTCCACATGCATGCATTCATTGTTAGGTTTTCTAACTTTCCATGGCAGTTTACTAGTTATCAGGGCCAATGCTGTTAGGACTGAATTGGATTCCTAGTTTTTAAAAGCTGTGACTCACCATTAAATGGTTGTAGTGAATTGGTACTGTTGTTGTTGTTGTTGTTGTTGTTGTTGTTGTTGTTAAGAAATTTAAAGGGGGAAAAAAAAGAGACTAGGAAGTACATTAAGTATGTTACCCTAAGACAGAAATTAGCTTGTTGTATTTGAGGCACAGAAGATATGTGTGACTGCCCTGAGTGAGGGGGAGGATGATAAAAGATGATGTCAGAGCAGTGGAAAAGGGACAGATCATGTTGGGCCTTCTAGAATTGGTAGACAGGAGTGAAATGATGTGACTGCCATTGCAAGTAGTGCTCCAGCTGCTGTGTGGACGTAGACTGTAGTGGGAGCAAAAGACCAGCTAAGTTGTTGCATAGTCTGGGCAAAAGGTTGGGGTTAGGTGGCTCAGACCAGAGTAGAAAGGAGGGGATACCCTAGGGGGTGGGGGGCATTTCAGAAGTGGCCCACTGGAGGTTTGATGAGTAGAGATTAAGTGATTACTTAGAAAATACTTAGGAATGTGCCTAGCACATACAGAGTGCTTGATTTTTGGTTCATTGTGGTTAAAACACTGAACAGCAACCATTTTTTGAGCATATAAGTCTGTTTCAGGCTCTGTTCTAAAGTGTGTTACATTTCTTGGCTCACGTAATTCACTCTCCGCTGTGTTGAGATGGGTAGTTTATTACCACCATTTTACAGGAGAGGATCCATAGCACCGCTCTGCTCTTGCAAGTTTCTATGCACAGTGGCCCCTTTCCAAAGTCCATCTTATTCTGCATTCTCAGCCACGGAGAGATGACACTTAACTAAGGTGAATGGCCCCTCAAATGTAGCCCAGTTGTTCTTTAAGAACCAGCTTCCAGAGAAGTTAAGTGTCTGGGACCTGACACAGCCTCGAGTCAGCATTTGCCCCTGTGCTAGCAGCATCCTCTGAGCATGAGATTTGCAAACTTGGACAGAATTCAGCTTTGGTCATCATTTCAACAATGAAGCTAATTTAAGCTTACTTCTGCAGCACTGGGAAAGTCATTATGAAATAAAAGTGCACAAATGGAGAGAAAGACAGTGAAAATCACTTATCATCCATTGCTAATGAGTTCAGCCAAACGCTGGAGGAATCAGAATAAGTGGTGTCCGTAATAGCTTGTAAATGTTTTCGAACTTTTTATTTGGTGGATCTCTTGTGGGGTTGGTTTTCCTGACCCTGGCATTGTGTCAAACAGACACTGCGGGCAGTGTAGCAGATAAACATTAAAAGTTCCCACCTACCATAAATCATGTTTTCAGAGAACTGTGAACATGGAATAGCTTGAGAACTTCTCATAGATAGGAAGTCCCTGTCCAGAGTCTAGCTTCTTTTGTGGTGGTTAGAGCATTTGTACCAGAACTAATCTTGCTTTTTCCATTTGTGCCAGCTGTGAGCACCTCCTGCCCACGGATGCAGCCTGCCATTTCACGATGACCTCTCATCCTATCTTGCTTCCTGACCCTTTTGTTTTTTAGCAATCATCCTCTTCCAGTGGTAGCGTGTTTGGGTCTGGAAACACTGGAAGAGGGGGAGGTTTCTTCAGTGGCCTTGGAGGAAAACCCAGTCAGGATGCAGCCAACAAAAACCCATTCAGCTCGGCCAGTGGGGGCTTTGGATCCACAGCTACCTCAAGTAAGTTGAGAAGACTTTTCCCAGTCCCTTGGTCCCCTAATGCCATTGTCATTCTTAGGGTGTTATCAAAGCTTCAGTGACAAATATAAAAAGAAAAAAAAATCTAGAAGGCTCATTTAAAATATCTTCCCCAAAGCAGTGTGATCTGTTTTGCTTTTTTATTTTTGGTTTTTTAATGAGATGTCCTATATAATCATGAAAAGATATCAGAGCTGCAGGGAGAGGATCTGTGTATTGAGCTGCTCCCCTCTTCTCTCCCAAGGCCCAAATCGCTCTGTTTCTTAGTATTGGAGTGACTTGAAGTGAATGCAAGCAGACAAGCATAAATGAGCAGCAGCAGAGCAAGCCGAGGATGCTGGGAGGAGAGCATGCAGACTTTCATTTGGATAGTACTCTCCAAATTTTCCTTAAAATTCAGCTCCTGTAGGGAGATGTCACCCAAAAGTTGAAGCCTTTAATATTTCTCACCTCTTACATTTTTGTTTTATTTTCATCTGAAGCTGTATCTGCCAGTACTTTCTTTAGCTAATTTTTTTTTTTTTTTTTTTTTTGAGACAGAGTTTCACTCTTGTTGCCCAGGCTGGTGTGCAATGGCGTGATCTCAGCTCACTACAACCTCCGCCTCCCAGGTTCAAATGATTCTCCTGCCTTAGCCTCCCAGGTAGCTGGGATTACAGGCACGTGCTATCACGCCTGGCTGATTTTTATATTTTTAGTAGAGACAGGGTTTCACCATGTTGACCAGGCTGGTCTCAAACTTCTCCGCCCGCCTCGGCCTCCCAAAGTGCTGGGATTACAGGTATGAGCCACCATGCCCAGCCTTCTTTAGCTAATTTTAAAAATTCTTTTTTTTTTTTTTTTCTTTTTTCTTTTTGAGACAGAGTCTTGCTCTGTCACCAAGGCTGGAGTGCAGTGGCGTGATCTTGGCTCACTGCAAGCTCCACTTCCCGGGTTCATGCCATTGTCCTGCCTCAGCGTCCTGAATAGCTGGGATTACAGGTGCCCGCCACCAAGCCCGGCTAATTTTTTATATTTTTTTTAGTAGAGACGGGGTTTCACCATGTTAGCCAGGAGGTCTCGATCTCCTGACCTCATGATCCGCCTGCCTTGGCCTCCCAAAGTGCTGGGATTACAGGCGTGAACCACCACGCCCAGGCTTTTTTTTTTTTTTTCCTTTTTTTTGAAACGGAGTGTTGCTCTGTCACCCAGGCTGGAGTGCAGTGGTGCAATCTCGGCTCACTGCAACCTCCCAGGTTCAAGCAATTCTCCCAGCTCAGCTTCCCGAGTAGCTGGGATTACAGGCACCTGCCACCAAGCCTGGCTAGTTTTTGTATTTTTAGTAGAGACGGGGTTTTACCATGTTGGCCAGGCTGGTCTCGAACCCCTGACCTCAGGTGATCCGCCCACCTCAGCCTCCCAAAGTGCTGGGATTACAGGCGTGAGCCACCGTGCTCGGCCTTAAAAGTTATTTGTTGACCTGTGTATTCATGGTTGGAAATGAAAGAAATCTGTTTGTGTAGATCTTTATCCTGCTGCTCAGGCGGAAGCTGAGATTAGAAGTTGGGAGCCTGTCCTGTTTGTCTCAGCTTCTCTCATTTAATGTGCCCTACATGAAGTTTCTCTCATCTGTTGTGCTGTGTGAGATCTCCATGAATCATGAGCTAGTGTTCTGCAGTCATGACAGATGTTTCCTTAATATTAAGGCCTGTGCAGTTAGCAAAACTTTCTATCCTGATTTGCCCTTCTAAACTCCTAAATCAAAAACTAGTCAGTTTTTTAGTTCAGCCTGGGCAACACAGCAAGTCCCCATCTCAAAAACCAAACAAACAAAAACCTAGTTATTTTGATGTCACTGTCCACTCCACTAATACATAAGGAAAGATTATTGTCAAGAGACACATACCTTTTACCTTGTGAAATTATGTAATCAGAAGTTTTTGTTCTTTAGGTTTCAGTCTGCCAGGAGGGATTTAGAATCCTGGATCTTAGAAATCAAGTCTAGTAGTTTTCAAAAACTGTTTTTGCCAATGAACTCTTAAGTAGCATCCTGATAAGGAAAACAAAAGTAGGTTCATGCTGAAGCAGGGGTCAGGAACTCCAAAACACACAGCTGGCTGGCACCACAGGACCGTGAGGCTCCATAGCACATACTTTGAAAACATCGTCCTTTTATGGCTCTTCATTTTCCATTGAGGAAACAAGCCCAGAATTCTGAGGTCACAGAGCCAGAAAGTCACAGATATAGAACTCAGCTAGACTATATGTCACATGCCAGACACAGAATCTGGCACAGAATAGACACTTAATAACATGCTCCACTGCAGTTAGAAATTTGGGTTTATCCCAGAGCTAAGGTATCATCTGCGAGGTTGTGTTACTGGCCAATTTTGTTAAAAGTTAAATGTGTCATATCCCTATAAACATTCGTTTACTCATCTCTAATGCCATGGCTCTTGACTGTCAAGGAGTTGCCTTCTGTCAGTGGCTGGCTGCAGCTGGTTTGCACGGACACATGAGAGCCAGCCAAGCACATCTTCCCAGTTGTTCATTTGGTGACATCGTTTGGGGTAACCTGAAATGAGCCATTGTGGAGTATTTATATCATGGAAATCAGAAAACCCTACAAACCAGGACTCCCCAGCCTGTCAAACATTACTGGCTGATTCTTCTAATTCTGGTTTAAAGTAAACACATAACTATTCTTGATACCAGATAACCTGTTAGTCTTCATCTTCTAAATGTTGGCTGTTAACTATAAACCAACAATTTACATGTGTGCCTAAGGGAAGTTTAAGTGATTTTGAAGGAGTAGAGGAAACACTTAACATTGTATTATTTTAAAAACTATATGATTTTATTTCAATAGTTTTTGGGGTACTAGGTGTATGATTCAATAGTGAAAGGGACAGGAATTGTTTTAACTCTGAGGGCCACCAAGTACAGAATAAAAGGAAGGAACAGTGGAGAAGGAAGAGCTGGGAGTCGTCTGGGGAAAGGCATTGTCCTCACCACAGTACTCAGGATCGTTTCTGCAGAATCATCAGTGACAGCTTCTTTCTCCTTAATTGACTCTGCATCATTTGATGCTTTGAGCACCACTTCTTTCCTGGACTGTATGAACTGATTCTCCTGGTTCCTTCTGCCTTTCAAACAATTCCTCCTCTGCTTCTCTTCTTATCTCTACCTTCTCTCCCTCCCCTCACCAACCCCCGCACTCCCCGCCCCATTTTGCTATGGGGCATTCCCCGTGGTCATCTGTTCATCACAATCTTCTTCTCCCTTCCCCCTGGCTCTTCCATTGTGGTCTGAAAATCCATGCCAAACCCGAGTCTTAAGACTGCATTTATTTTGCCCCTTTTCCTACTCAAACCCTTGGGCAACTTCCCACTGACTATAGGATAAAGATGAAATAAACTTGAAACTGGAATTCAGGGCCCTCCTTGAGCTGGCCCCAAAGTACCTTTCTGACTGTACTCAGTTCCCCAGCACATTCCTTCTGGTTTGGTCAGTTTGTCTGCTTGCATCCCTCCCTCACTTCCTCCAGGTTCACTTGGCACCCTGCACCCACCTTCTGAGCCTGTCCTTCTTTAAAAGATGAATGCAAGGCTGTTTCTGTGTGCACTGCACCTTTGCCTGAGGGTCATTCAGGCCCACCATGATCGCTCCCTCTCTGGAAATCCTGCAGCCCTTGGATTTCATCACTACACAAACCATCAAGCAGAAGGAAACCAGCCTTTATTAATCACCTGCTGTGTGCCAGAAGCTCAATGCACGTGAGCTAACCACTTCTTACAACAGTGCTTTTAGATGTGGCTGTCCCCATTTCACTGATAGGAAAATCAGGTCCAAGAGGAGATGTATACTGCAGAAGTTGCACAGCTACTAAGTGGCGTAGCCAGGATTTAGTCCAGCTGCGTTTCCCGAGCTCTGATTGGCCTTGTTTACAGAACGTCTCCCAGGTACGCCTTTTTGGGCAACATTTATGCATGGAAAAGACCCCATTATAGAGAGTTATTTGAGCAGTCCCCTTTGTGACATTTATGCCCCGGGCTGCTTTGCCCTGAAACTGCCCACTTTACCCCTGAGAAGTCGTGAGAACTATAACAATGACCGCAAAAGACAAGCTGAGAACACCAGTACTTGGAGTTGGCATGTTCTGTATCCAGAAGCTCAAAGCTTGCAAGAAGGGCTTCTTCTCTCTGTCATCCCCATAGAATCTACTAAAGAAAACCTGGGAACCCATGGAGACATCTAAAATTCACCACCACTGTGGATTGTTACCCATAAGGACCTGTTGCCTCCTTTAGTATTGTCCTGAGGACACTGTGTAGGGCCATTCCCAGCACATTCTTTCTGTTTAGGGTCCTGAAAGACATATTTGTCTCATCAGAAGATGAAGAAGCCGTTTGATGATGATCTTGTGGGTTTACAGGGTCCCTCTACAACTGTTCTTTAAGAAAATATCTTGGAAAGTATCCTGGGCAAGAGCTTCCTGAGAGACCCTTTCGGAGTATGCATTGAATTCTTGTTCAATGACTTTAGACCTGCAGGATGATATGGGGCCTGGTCTGATACTCTGTATCGGATTTAATTGCTATCCAGTTTATATTAAGTATAATTTAATTCAGATTGGGTCAGGCCCTGATGTTGGATGATGCTAGTGTTTTTGCCAAATAAAAGACCAAAGAAGATCCATGTTTTGCCAGCAGGGTGGAAGCCCAGAGCAGATGCCAGTTTTACCTGTACTTGGCACCCCTAAAGTGTCAGTCACAGATGGCTATGCAAAGACAAACTTGTTTTTTTTACTGGATAGTTTATTTACAAGTCAAGAAGAATCTTCTACAGTGAAATATTGTTCGGTCCGCCAAGATATTCTCTTATGGTAATATGAGAATATGGTAACATATTTTCAAAAACTAGAGACTATGTTATTTTGGAACCATTAGGAGAAAACCAAGAAACACATTGTTGACATTAGAAACAGAGACTCAGTCATTGTTTTATGCTACTTTGTTTCAGAGCAGTTTAAATCAATGGTAAAATGTCTCAACATGCAGAGCTCCTTGAGAGACTGTAAATGAGAGTGATTACAGCTTTAATGGTGTCATTCTTGGGATCTTTTAAAAATGAAAAGGATTTGATTATCTCCTGCTGACCTGCTCAGTGTCTTACTAGCTGAAGTGTGATTGAGATGTGGAAGGAAGAGGTTGAAGGAACAGAGAAGGGCAGCAGCCTTTTCCGAGAGTCTACAACATACCACACTAGTGCCCTGTGTGCATCATGTTATCTTCCCAGCATCCCTGCAGAGTCACAATTGCTGTCCTGTTCTGTGTGTGGGGAAACTGGGACTTAGGATAGTTAAGTCCTTGCCCAGGGTGACACAGCTATTAGGTAATCTCACCCGGGTCTGACTGCAAACTTCACTGCTTGTTCCACTATGATATGCCATAAAGATTTTAAAGTCAAAGAGTTCTTAAAGAGAGAAAAAGATTAAAAAGCCCAAAGACTTCTAAATGATCTCTGACTTCCCACCACTGTCCCAATAACATCATTTCACCTCACATTTCATATGGTTGCACCAAGTTTCTCCAAGAGGAGATTCAACCCCAGTCTTGCCCTTGAATTTGTTTGCTATTTGAATTTTGCATTGCTAGCACTAACAAAGTGCAAAAATCTGTTCTTGAAATACCAAGTAAACGGAATGGCTGAGAAGCCTGTTTTCATCTCCATTGTCAAATGTACTGCCATTGAAGGAATCAGACGTAACTTTGGGCTAGCTCGATAAGGGGAAGGTCAAACTGCTCAGAAGGCCATTTTGTGGGACTCCGTCAAGGGATACATTATCCTGTGGTACCGAGTTATGAGGGTGATACAAAGGGATTTCTTAACCACCCAGCTGCCAGTACCTGACATACCTGACATGTGGGTCCTTAGCCAGGCTCTCAAATTGTCAGCAGTGGTTTTATAGGGCAGTGACCATGATGTGATGGGCCAAGTCATATTGTATTACTGGTGCCTGGAAATTTGAGGTGACTGGGTCCCAAAGTGAGGCCACTCACTTCCTGGATTGTGGATTAAGAGCATTGCATCTGGACGTATTAACCATGGTGGCTCTCCTATTAGAGTTGGTTGGTAGCAGCATGAGTTGAGAGACCTGGGGAGGTGACAGGTTAATGGGGGGGCCACCTCTTCCAACAGCTCGACTTTGAAAATGATGTTAAGTGCTCCCCCTCCTCCAGTCCTCTCCTTTCACTTTGCTTGTGAACACCTGACTGGCTTAGGGAGAGACTGGTCCTTCATTACCCACCCAGTGATTACCCAGAGCATATGCTGTGCCTCCCATTTATGCCTTGTGTCTTTGGGCATCCACTCCACTTCAGGATAGCTTCTCCCTGCCTTGTGGGCATATATTCAATAAAACACCCATCTAGACGTGGTAGGAAACGTGAGTTATTCCTTCCCTTCCCACCAACGCCCACCCCCCCCAAAAAAAGTTTGAAAACTCTGACATATCCTGTGCTATATTATCTGAGTGACAGCTGCTGTGTATGTGGACTTTGTCTGTTTATCTATTATTATCTGTCAGGTTTGCATTTCTTGTAACAGGTGAAAAAAAATTCTCAGCCATCTTGGTTTTTAGTAGTTTCCTTTTTTCCTTTAATTCTTGGAGTGAATTCAGTGCATAGTTGAGAGGGGGATGACCCCCTAGATAAGTATCTAAAAGGTCAAGGGCTTCATTAAACCTCTTAGAGGAAATCTGACTGGAAGTCTTGCTAGCCTCTTTAACATTCTTCAGACCATCCCTATATCCCCTTGGATCAAAGACAGGAGCACCATGATTTTTCTCATTTCACTGCCATTCTCTGAGCAGCTCAGGCAGCCATAAGCATGCTGAACTTGACTATAAAAGCAGGAGGTAAGTGCTAGAAGCCATTTTGCCTGGGTTGGATTTGTTCTAACTTTAATTTCCCTAGTTTGACAAAATTTGAAGTTGGTCTTGTGTGAAGAGACCAATCAAAGTAAGCCCTGTTTTCCAGAAGAAAGCAGCCTGTGGGGCAGAGCCCATGGCCTCCATTGCTGGGCAGTCTTGACACTTGCAGGAGCACCCAGTGAGCTTCTACAAAGGAGCCTTTTCAGTGGGACCTCTCACTGCTCCTTTATTTTGTGCCTATAAAATCATGCCAGGAAATCCTGAGCCTGGGTGCCAGAATGATTAAAAACTTCCCAGCAAGGTGCGTGAAAATCAGAGAAAGTACCTGTTGCTGTCACTGTCGCTCCGCTCCCTTGGCTTCTAGGCGGCTTGTCACTCCCATCTTTCCAAACACCCAACTGAGACTTTTTCTGTGTTCTGAGAAGCAGGTAAGGACATTTGTCTCCCTCTGACCTCCCTCACATCTTCATCTCTTCAGATACCTCTAACCTATTTGGAAACAGTGGGGCCAAGACATTTGGTGGATTTGCCAGCTCGTCGTTTGGAGAGCAGAAACCCACTGGCACTTTCAGCTCTGGAGGAGGAAGTGTGGCATCCCAAGGCTTTGGGTTTTCCTCTCCAAACAAAACAGGTACTCCTATGTCTATTTGTTATGGTTATCTTTATATATGTATTTGTTTATGCATAGATATCTGGAAGGAGACATCTCTAGGGTGGTTATCTTAAGAGAGTAGGATTGGAGTAAAGAAGTTAACTGTTTCCTCCGCATTATTTTTATATTTACTGAGCATCTGCTACATTCCTAACATGATTCCAGGTCTTCCAAAACATGTTTAAAAGCATAGAATGCAAGTAATGCAACATTTTTTTTTCTTTTTTTTTTTGTGAGAGGGAGTCTCAATCTGTCGCCAGGCTGGAGTGCAATGGTGCGATCTCAGCTCACAGCAACCTCCAACTCCCTGGTTCAAGCGATTCTCCTGCCTCAGCCTCCCAAGTAGCTGGGATTACAGGCATGTGCCACCATGCCCAGCTAATTTTTGTATTTTTAGGAGAGATGAGGTTTCACCATGTTGGGCAGTCTGGTCTCCATCTCTTGACCTTGTGATCCGCCCACCTCGGCCTCCCAAAGTGCTGGGACTACAGGCATGAGCCACCGCGCCCAGCTGTAATGCAACTCTTAAGAGAACACAGATTCTTCTTGGGGAGAAAACATTGTAAATATTTGACAGTTGCAGAACAAACAAAATAAAGGAACACATAAGGAAATGATAACTGAAGTATCTGCAGGAAAGCATCCTGAGTCATGGATTTGTTGGGGTTCCCATTATTTGTGAGGGTCAAAGCAGATTATCTGTTTAATTTCTAATGTGTATGTTACTTTCCCCTCTTTCGCAAATCACTTTTTTTTTATTTTTATTTATTTATTTATTTTTTTTTTTTTTTTTTTTTTTTTGAGACGGAGTCTCGCTCTGTCGCCCAGGCTGGAGTGCAGTGGCGCAATCTCGGCTCACTGCAAGCTCTGCCTCCTGGGTTCACGCCATTCTCCTGCGTCAGCCTCCCAAGTAGCTGGGACTACAGGCGCCCGCCACCACGCCCGGCTAATTTTTTGTATTTTTAGTAGAGACGGGGTTTCACCGTGTTAGCCAGGATGGTCTCAATCTCCTGACCTCGTGATCCGCCCGCCTCGGCCTCCCAACGTGCTGGGATTACAGGCGTGAGCCACCATGCCCAGCCCCCAAATCACTTTATTTTTAATTGAAGTATATGTTTATCCACAATCCACATAAGTACACAGCTGAATTAATTATCACAGTTGGAATACACCCATGTAACCAAGGAAAAGGAACATTACTAGGACTACTTTTTATCCCAGCATTACTATTAAAGTATATATTTATATAAACTATATGCCTTTTTATAATCATGTATGATGTATTTATAACTACAAATTTTTAATGAACAGTGTATGTTTAGATCTGAAAACATGTACTTCATTTCTGTCATCTGCCTCTCCACCCTGTTTCTGTCTCTGAGATCTGCGGAGAGTCTGCACTCCTGTCCTTGTTGATGGAAAGTTGTGTGAAAAGAGTTTTTTTTAAGACAGGTGGTCCAGGGTGGGCTGTTTGAGCAAGCAGCTTTTTAAAGCAAACTCCCCCTGGGTAAGTGGGCAGGACACTTGGCCCTCGTATGCAGGGGATGCTCTGAAATATGCTAATTCCAGAGGAAGGATCTAACCTCAGGACTAGATGCATCAGTGGCTCTGACCTGGGAGTAAGGCTGCCCCAAATTAATACATGGAGTCTCATATTTAGAGCCTAAAGTGCTGTGGTTTCCAAATCCACTGTGCACCTTACCTCAGATTGTGACTCAGGTAGCTTAGTCTTTCTTTGGTTGCTAGTTGTTAATACTGTTTTCCTAGAAATTAAAACAGAATATTCTGAAATGGGCTTCACAGCTTTCTTTTTGCTACACACACAGTGCATTGTTTAAAAATGAAAGGGCCACAAGGCTTTTATCCCAGTTAGAAAGGTGCATCGTGAACATTTCAACTGGGGAATTTTAGTTCATCGATCATCAAGACTTTTTATGTTTTTAGGAGGCTGATAATGTTTTCTTTGACTCTTAACGGTTTTCCTATATATGGTTCTTTATCCTGAGATTATATCCCCATTGATTTGGAAATCTGACCTTTGAAAATTCCACCTGTAATCCCAGCAGTTTGGGAGGCTGAGGTGGGAGGATCACTTGAGCCCAAAAGTTCAAGACCAACCTGGGCAACATAGTGAGACCCCATCTCTAAAAGAAAAAAGGAAAATCACACCTAATTCAGACACTGGGTACAGTGGCTCACGCCTGTAATCCCAGCACTTTGGGAGGCCAAGGAAGACAGATCACTTGAGTCCAGGAGTTTGAAACCAGCCTGGATAACATGGCAAAAACCCGTCTCTACAAAAAAAAATAATGCAAAAATAAGCCAGGCACGTTGGTGCACACCTGTAGTCCCAGCTCCTCGGGAGACTGAGGTGGGAGGATCAATTGAGCCTGGGAGGCAGAGATTGCAGTGAGCCAAGATTATGCCACTGCACTTCATCCTGGGCAACAAAGCAAGACTCTGTCTCAAAAAAAAGAAAGAAAATCTGACCCTTTTATTTGTCTAGTCTTAGAGAAAATGTATGCCCCAACTTTTCATAGTAAGTACTTATTTGCCCCATGAAACTAATACTTAGATTGAGGCCTCGAATAGAGAACAACTATCTTTCAGATACATAAGATGAGTGAACTAGTAACCATAAACATCAAAGTGAGGGCAGGGGAAAGGCCACTCCCCCTCATGTTTCAGGACTTCATCTCTCTGCTGCAGAACTCGTATTGGTTCTGGGAGAGCTTTTTCTATTGAAAGAGGGGACTGGAAGTCCCGAGCAGAAGGAAGGGCTGCTGTGAATAGAGGAACTGCCTTCCTGTCCAGGCATCAGGGCACTTTTTGCTTTAAGAGAGATTTTAAGTTGATGATTTGGATGGGTCTTTGAAAAATTCCAAAAGTATCTATCCTCCCTTCAGTAAAATTGCATTATAAAATTATCCTGCTGGAGGTCATCCGGGGAGAGGACAGGAGGAAGGTGGGATGGACTGAAGATGGCCTTGCTGCCCACCATGGTCAGTGGTCTACACCCTGCTGTCTCGCTAAAGTGTTAGATTTGGAGGGAGGCAGGCAGGGGATGAATGATGGGGAAGATGAGAGGTGGGCGTTTGAGTCGCACAGACCTTGTTCCAGTCCCAGCTCTAGCACCCATCAGCTGGCTGAAGTTGGGACAAGTGGCATATTCTCTAAGTCTCAGTTTCCTCCCCTGTGATGTAAGGATCCCAGGCTTATTGGGAAGATTTAAGAAAACTGCTGTGAAGCACCTGGCATATAGTGGGCCCTCAATAAATCAGAAAGTTTATCATCATTGATTATTAGAAAATTTGTTTCTTCTGGAGAAGAAATTTATGAAAATACGGCAACTGATAAAATCAAACCCCTCCTGCCATCAGGAGAGAGTTGCCTCTTTAAGCCAGAGTGACTGTTTTCTTCCTGTTTAATTTGGCTGTGACCCAGGTGTGTTGTTTGGGGGCTTTTTCTCTCTGTGTATATTTAACCGCCACCCCTCCCCTGTCCAGTTTATTTTCTGTATCATCATGACTTCCCATTTTTCACTCACCTTCCACCAAGAAGTCTAAGCAATATTGATACAAGGTACTAGATAGCGCCCTGCATGTCTAGGAAGAAAGTGTAACTAGATCTGTGATCAGTCTTAAATAATTCAACTGTAAGGGTTTTTTAGCACTTTTTTTTTTCCAGTCTGTTATATTTATAACCCAACAGTCTCCATTATCATGGCTTGGAATTTCACTCAGTGTTTTAACATGCGGAATGTTAACCCAAACACGAGCCTTAGCAAAAAAGTATCTTCTCAGTTGTGCAGCCTACCACTGTTAATGGCAAATAGGCACATGAGTGAATCACAAAATAACAGTTAACTGAGGGATTCAGCTGACAACTTTTCATACCCAGGATTTGATCTTTCCTGATTCAGATGGCAGAAGCTTGTGTTGTGATTACATAAACAATAAGAAGTCTGGATTTCATCCCTCTAACAACAGATTGACTTTCTGAAAGGGGAGAAAAGGCTTGTCGCTAGGCCACCATTACTCCCGCTAGCACGCAGTTCATAGGCCAACACTCACCTTAAGAAGTACTCCCTTTAGAGGGTGCTCCCAGTTAGAGCACATTTCTTATGCCATTCTATTCCATTCATTCAAGAAGACACTCACTGAGTGTCTATTCTAATACTTTAGAATGATTTCAGCAGTATCTTGGAAGTTTGGGAACCCGCATCAGGAATAGCTCAGGAGAGGATGTTTTGTCTTCCTGCCTGACAGGCATCACCAGCAATCAGAGTAGGGTGCCCTGTGCGTGACCTGACCCTTGTCTGTGTGGCCACCTGTGTGGTGCTGCCCTCTGGCAGCCTGAGCCCACTGGGCAGCAGTGTTGGCAACGTTGCAGAAGGCATCTGAACTCTAGGGCTGTCCTCACTGTTGACTTATTATTTTATTAGATTTATGCAGCAGCCTGCCTCCAAAGAAGAAATTTGGTGTGTTTTTTCATTGGGAAGTAATTCCAGACTGCAGGAAAAAAGCATTTAAAAAAAAAAAAACAAACCTCCACTGAGCGAGAGAAAGGGAGACTCTGATGAGAGACGTAGGAGCCATCAGGCTGTAAATAAATAAAAAGCACCTGGCTGGGCGCCAGCATACACGTCTCTGTCTCTGCTATGACCCAATTCAGGGATTCTCCCTGAGAGGAGGTTTTGAGCCTCTGATTTTATAATTTGGGTTTCTATGAAGCTGGATGTCTTGCCTGTGTACTGATAAGTAATATAGTCTGTCATCTTTTGTCAGCTAGGTAGGGATTGGAGTTTTTGAGAATGGTTTTTCACTCCAAACAGCTCAGAGGACCTGGGAGGGGTGGAAGGTGCACCGAGTGGGCTCTTGGAGGTCTGCTCACACGGCTTCACAGTGACTTCACAGGGTCTGCAGGAGCTCTCCTGAGTGGACCCCAGAGCCCTCTGCTAGGAATGGAGGGGAGTGGTTTGGTTTGAGGGCTTTTGTTTTGTTGTTTTCATTACTATTTTCTTGATAGAAGGGCGGGGGGGAGGGGGGGTGTTGCCCTTTACTCTAGTTCTTGCATTTGAATTGCTAACATCCTCTTTTCCCTTTTTTCTTCCTATTTTGATTTGGTTTCTCATTGCTCAATGTCTTCTCTTCCTGTCTCCTCCTTTCTTTCTCCCTATTTCTGTTTGTTTGCCTCTGTTTTGCTCAGGTGGCTTCGGTGCTGCTCCAGTGTTTGGCAGCCCTCCTACTTTTGGGGGATCCCCTGGGTTTGGAGGGGTGCCAGCATTCGGTTCAGCCCCAGCCTTTACAAGCCCTCTGGGCTCGACGGGAGGCAAAGTGTTCGGAGAGGGCACTGCAGCTGCCAGCGCAGGAGGATTCGGGTAAGCCCCCTGGGGAGGGCCCTTGGGAACCCACACGCCAGCCAAAAAGCACTAGGGGCCTGTACTCTTGCTCTGAAAAGAAATTTGACCATGAGGTGAAGGCCCCTCCCTTGAAATTTGTGAACAACTCCCTCAAGGATTCCTGTACCTCTCCAGGGTAAGACTCATTTCGTTCAAGCCAGGCTTTGTTGAATTCATGGTGGACCTCAGCTGTGTTGCTGTTCCCTGGTATGAGAAATGCTGGTCATCAGAGCCCCTGTTCTCCTGCTGGGGCTAAAGGAAGGCACCAGCCCTGCCTTAACTACTGCTTTGTAGCCAAGAGGTGCCCCGGTGTGGAGCTTCTGTTAGGAAGTCCTCAATGAATGGTTTTCACCAGATTCTTTCCTCTTGGGATTATTCTGTGTTAGACCCGTTGTCCTTGAACAAACAACTCCCTGTGTCCCCTGCTCCCCTGCAGCCCCCCAGAGTGAGTATTCAGTTGCACAGGTCCTCCCGTGGGAAGATCCTGGATGATCAGGGATTTCGAAGCTGCTCTCATTGCCTCGTGTGCGTCTGCACTGGAAAAGGCCATTTTTAGGGAGTCGCTTTTAAGGGCAGAATTTCAGTGTGGTTGCCAAAACCCCAAGGGAAAAAAACCTTCACCACACCACAACATCCCAATTTAAAAAATGTACACGGGATGACTACCAAGTCTCTTGTTCAAAGGAGGTGTCGATGCCTGAAAGGAGTTCTAAAACGCCTCTTGCCGCAGTACTGGGCTCAGCATGAGCTGAAGGTTTGGGGGAGGGGAGATGATTTTGTCTAGGGGAATTGTTGAGATACTTGGATCTGAGTCTTGGCAAGATGACAGCATCTTTATCTTGAAAATAAACTATAGTATGTTCTTACTCACACCCTTCCCCTCCGTGCAAGATGCTGGAGCGCAGCAGCAGGAGTGAGAGGGTTGGCGTGCTGCTTCTCCTGTTTCACGGGAGACTGATGCCTTAGGTTTGCCCTCAGGAAACCCCAAGAATTAAAGTTAAGGAAAGCTTTGAAAGGACAGTTAGAGACCCACTTAGGCTGGTATTCTCAGAGGTCTTAATGGATGCTGTTCTCTGCAGTGATGAACCAGCACACAGTACCACAGAGTTGGTAGAAGGTTTGGGTTGGCTGGGTATCTTGTGAATTGATTTATTTATTTGAAACCAGCTGTTTTCTTTACTAGTAGAAAAGTATATTCTGCCTTGGGGCGGCTCTCACACAAATCCCGATTGGCTGGTTAGTCAGTCCTAAAAAAGGTTAATGCCAGGTCAGTTATTAAATCTCCATAAGAGCCCATTACCTTCTTCCAGGTCCCTGGCCATGAGCCTGTCTCCGACCCTGAAGGGCAGGCTGTTGCTGATGAGGCCCAAGGCAGGAGGAGGAAGGGAGCAGGCCGCTCCTGGGAGAAAGTCCAATGAGAGCAGATCCCTTGGCCACCTTTGTATGGAAAGAGCCTTGACCTCACCATTAAAAGTGAATAGAATGGTGGGAAGGCAGAGTTTTAGATACTTTTTCTTGCTTTGGGGTTGATTCTTGCCCCCAGGTGCTGCCCCTTCTCCCAGAAACCACTGATCCGTTTCCCTCACCTAGTCACCTCCAGACCCCAGAAGCTCTCCCCAACCCAGCCGAGTTCCTCTGCAAACAATTCAAGGGGCTCTGATAGGTCACACAGTGCCACCTTGTGTGCTGGACCATATCTGGAGGGAGAACTGAGTGAGGGGGCACAGGGGATTGTCTCCAGGTGGGGCGAGCAGGGGAAGGAAAATAGTGGCCACTTTTACATTGGTTTGGGTAGTAATTATTGATTCAGGAAGCAAATACAAAATCCTGAATGAAATGACTTGGAAAAAGTAAATAGAATCAAGATCCCAAGAGGAGCTGAAGATAAATAAATGGGAGCAGGATGTGGGGGAATGGTCGGTAAGTGAGAAATGCTAAAATGATAGAATAAAGCTTAAGGATTGTTGGAGGTAGAGCAGGAACTGTGTACTGCATAGTTCCCAAATGCCCTGGTGTTCCAATGGGGGATGGAAACTAAAACACTGGCCAGGTTGGATTTCATACTGTAGTCCTGCCATTTTTCTTCCTAGAGCAGAGATAAAAGTTGGCCCTGGGCGATAGCTCATTCTCTCTGAAAGGCTGCTAGTTAGGCCCAGCCTGTCACCCTGGATCATGAGTGTCGTGTGTATTGGGACTTACAGCAGGGGGCTGAGGCTTGCAGATGGGCAAGTGGTGAGAGGCCCCACTGACCTCAGTCTGTTTCTCACTGGAGCGCAGGTTTGGGAGCAGCAGCAACACCACATCCTTCGGCACGCTCGCGAGTCAGAATGCCCCCACTTTCGGATCACTGTCCCAACAGACTTCTGGTTTTGGGACCCAGAGTAGCGGATTCTCTGGTTTTGGATCAGGCACAGGAGGTAAGCTGCCACAAGTTCTCCCCTCACAAGCAAAATGGGTCCCTCTTGCCTTCTCCCCCAAAGAAATGAGTATGTTTTACCTGACCAGTCTGTTTAGTATTTTAAAAGCTGACTGGGCACGTGGTTCACGCCTGTAATCCCAGCACTTTGGGAGACCAAGGCAGGAGGATCACTTGAGCCCAGGAGTTTGAGACTAGCCTGGGCAACATGGCAAGACTCCATTCTCTACAAAAAATGTTAAAATTCGCCAGACATGGTGGCACACACCTGTGGTCCCAGCTACTCGGGAGGCTGAAGCAGGAGGATCACTTGAGCGCTGCAGTGAGCTGTGATTGCACCACTGCACTCCAGCCTGGGTGACAGAATGAGACCCTGTCTCAAAATAAATAAATATGTAACATACTGAAAGTGGTTGAAACATATATATATATATATATTTTTGAGACGGAGTCTCGCTCTGTTGCCCAGGATGGAGTGCAGTGGCACAATCTCGGCTCACTATAAACTCCGCCTCCCGGGTTCACGCCATTCTCCTGCCTCAGCCTTTGAGTAGCTGGGTCTACAGGCGCCCGCCACCAGGCCCGGCTAATTTTTTGTGTTTTTAGTAGAGATGGGGTTTCACTGTGTTAGCCAGGATGGTCTCCATCTCCTGACCTCATGATCCACCCACCTCGGCCTCCCAGAGTGCTGGGATTACAGCACCTGGCATATATATTTTTTTTTAGGTTTTAGTTAGACTTAGAACACTGTGTCATTTCTTACCAAAGAAATTACTGTCTTGATTTCCTCTCAGGATTTGAGAAGCCCAAAATAATAATGGTCTTACTAGGCCTTGGTTTAAAAAATCTAAGCCAGCAGACTCAAAAAAAAAAAAAAAGGCATAGAAACTTCACAAAACATCTTGCATTTGTTTAACACTCTGCTTCTTCAGATGGCAGAATATGTGTCTTCCATTTTGTTCTTGCAGTAAACTGACAAGGCACAGAATTTAGGTATCATTACAATTGTACCCGTGAAGAAACAGAAACTCCAAGGAACTAAGTGTTAGCAGTTAGCAGTAGAACCAGGCCTAGAATCCAGCCATCTTGCTTCTCTGGCCCCCAAAAAGAAGAGGAAGCAAATGGATGGAAAAACAACAACAGCAAAAAAAAAAAAAAAAAAAAAAGGTTTTCCTAATGAATGGATCTATGTGGTCCAGTACAGCTGAGAGGCCAAGCCAGAGACCCTCTGCCTACAGCTGGGGCCGAGGAGGGAGGAAGAACCCTAAAATACCAAGAAGATAACTCATAAAAAGTAAAGGATTTTTTCTGCCTTCTGGGGGATCTGAGTAGCTCCAGAGGACAAACTCAGAATAAAGGGGCTTCTGTGTGTACCTTTCCTGCCTTCCTGTAGGTGGTGGAGGCACGGAGGGCTTCCCACAAGAAGCACAGAGGAGGGCAGACACTTAGCATGGGGACCACCTTTGTCTTTCGAGTGGATGCGTGCTTTAACTTCACTCTTATTCTGCTTTTCAGGGTTCAGCTTTGGGTCAAATAACTCGTAAGTATCCCCCTTTTTGAGTCTCACCTTAATTAAAAGCATTAAATAAGGTTGGAAGTGTGTGGATCTTGCTGGATTTGTGCATTTTCTTTTCGTTTTTTCCTGTTTTTAGAGTTTGTCCTGGAAGTGTGGGGGTTCAGCAGCAGGGTTTGGGTTTTGTGGACTTGCTCTTCTCTGTAGCAATATGGCAGGAGGTGCCAGGCCTCGCCTTCTTAAGAGGCGTGGTTCAAAGAGAAAAGAGCACGCCTGCCAGTGAGCTGGGCCTGAGGGCAGCGCTGAGGAGATGCTGCTCCTGACTTCCCTGGAGGTTTCTCAGAAGCTGCATGCTAACCCCTGGGCTCTGGGCCATCACCAGGTCTCATGTGTTGATCCACCCTCTGTGCTTCTGTGTAAAATTTCATGGCGTTAAAATTCAGTCTTAGCCAGGTGGGTGGTTCACGCCTATAATCCCAGCACTTTGGGAGGCTGAGGTGGGAGGATTGCTTGAGCCCAGGAGTCAAGACCAGCCTGGGCAACAGAGTGAGACCCCATCTCTACTAAAAATTAAAAAAATTAGCCGTGCATGCTGGCTTATGCCTGTGGTCCCAGCTACTCCAGAAGCTGAGGCGGGAGGATCACTTGAGCCTGGGAGGTTGAGGCTGCAGTGAGCCAAGATGGTACCACTACCGTCTAGCCTGGGTGACAGCCAGACCCTATATCAAAAGAAAAAAATATATATACTGGCCAAGCACGGTGGCTCACACCTGTAATCCCAGCACTTTGGCAGGCCAAGGTGGGCAGATATTTGAGGTCAGGAGTTCGAGACCAGCCTGGCCAACATGGTGAAACCCCATCTCTACTAAAAATATATATATATACATATATAGATAAACACACAAGAATTAGCCAGGCGTGGTGGTGCATGCCTGTAATCCCAGCCACTGAGGCTGAGGCAAAAGAAGCACTTGAGCCCGAGAGACAGAGGTTGCAGTGAGCTGAGATCACGCCACTGCACTCCAGCCTGGGCAATAGAGTGAGACTCTGTATCAAAAAAATAATAATAAAAAATCTGAGTCCTGACCTTTGCACACAGGCAGAGCAGCAGAGCCTGTGACTGCTCTGTGACAGAGCAGCTGACTCCACCACTGTCCTGTGCTTCCTTGCAGGTCTGTCCAGGGTTTTGGTGGCTGGCGAAGCTGAGGGCGTGTCAGCAGGCCTTTCGATCCCTGGGACCAACCGCATCCTCAGCTTCTTCCCCGAGAAATGCTGGAGCAGGCTGTTCAGACCGACGTTGCCATCAAAACACATACACCCAGAAAGAAACAACAGAAACCAAAACTCACAAGGCGCATGATTACTTGTTTTATATTTCATGTTGGGTTTTCCCTCCCACTATTAAACAGTCTGTTTCCGTACAGAACGTATGTGGGTTTTTTCAGATCACAGCCAAGAAGATTGCCCCGTTTCTGTGGCTCTGAGAAGCCAGCAGAGCCTCCATCAGCCAGAACACTGTGTCTTCAAGGATGGCATCAGAAGTCACCAGCGTCGGGTGTTGATAAACAGCATCGAATGTGCCGTGGTCTCACTTGGACCTAGCGCCCTCCACATAGGGAAGAGGTTGAATGCTGGTGGGTCATCTTTTTGAGGCTGAAACTTGGTTATCTCCTCTCCTTGTTCTTTTAGCCATTGTGTATCAGGACCATCCAAGGACGCACTCTGCGATTGAGTGGAGGCAGAGGAAGCCACTCATGCCAGCAGCAGTTGAGTTTCAGAAGCAGCCATAGCGCTTTTCAGTACAGTACAATAGTAGCCAGCGTGAGGCAGGACAGTGCTGCGCCTTAGCCGGCCTTGGCTCTCATCTCCATGTGGCTCTTGGGTGCCATGTGTCCTACTCCAGAGAGGAGGGGGCCGGTCACTTGAGAAGACAGCCTTTATATTCTGTATGTGGCAGTGACATTGGTAGCCACACCTACCCAGTGTCTACTAACCACAGTGCAGATAGCCCTTGGGTAGACCCAGGAAGTGTGAAGACAGACACTGCTGTTGCCAGACAACACTAGCAGAACGATGCTGGATTTGACAACAGTGTTTGCTAGGACGGCCCAGAGCTCATCACTGCAGTTTTATTAGAGTGCTTCTTTATCTTTAATGCAGTATCTTTGAGGCCTGTAACATCCTAGATAGTTGCCATCAAACAAGGACCGTCTCGCATTGAAAACAGATGTAAGAATTTCTCTTTCAGGCCCAGAATCTGACAGTGCTTTGGCTTGGGTCATGAGCAGCGGGGAGTTGGGAAGAGATTTTTTTTTTTAGAGTTTTACATATTGGCAGGTTGTATTTTTTTAATGTTTTAATAAAAGTTTGACATGACATTAATTCATCATGTTGCAGACAGTGTGACCTCCTTGGTTCTGATGGCTTATGTGGGGACAGTAGACCATGGTGAGGTCTCCACTGTGTCACCACCTGGTCTGAAGGTCCCCATCTCGCCTGTGCCCCAGGGTCACCTGCAGAGTTCTTTGTCAAGTGCACATTCCCAGCCTCCATCCTGGGGACTCTGGCTCCAGAGGACTCCGATAGAGGCTGGACGCCCACCTGGCTTTGTGTTTGGTGATTTCTTAAGCTCACGAGAAGAGGAATCTCATTGTATAGCACTGTTGGGTTTCAGAAATCCCTCCCTCAACCAGATGCCAGCAGAGCCAAGAGCTGGAATTAGATCCGTGGTGTCTCTGGATGACTGTCACCCTGCGCTCTGTGCAGTTAGGAGAGGGAGGGGCTGTCTGTACGGTCCGTTATCTAGGGGCTCTGCCTCTCGCAAAGAGCTGGGGTCTCCATAAATTTAATGTGTGCTCTTTTTGGTCCTTGAGAATTGAAGAGCCTGTCACCTCCACCCTGTGTTCACAGGTGAAGTGGGGGGACAGTCCCCATGACATTCACAACCAGTCACAGGGCATCTTTCTCCCACGTGGGCTCGTGCTAGTCTAGAGACAAAGGGACTCAAGCTCTGACAGGAGAGGCTCGTGGCGGAGGGCTTAGCTTTAAAGGGAGAGATGTACCTGAAGCTCTGCAGGCTCCGTTCTGCCCTTGGCTGTCATCCTGCCGACTGGCACCCAGGCCGAGCCAGTCTTCTCCTACCCTTTTGCTTCCCCCTGGACACTCCTTTTTATAAATAGAAATGGTTCGGCCTAAACCCTTGACCTCAAATTCTCTGCGTTGATCCTCCATTGAGGTGGCATGTGACATCTCTCCATAAGGCACTATCAGCTGTGCTCAGGCAGATAACACCCCCACTCCCTGTCAGGCAGCAGCCCCGGAGGAATGTACTACTGGCATGTGAGCCCCTCCAAGTTCCTTTTTTGGGGGTGATTACAGCGGTAGATGGCAGGGGTCAGCTCAGCCTGCATCCCCTGACGCCTGAACTGTCAGGATATCCGGCTGGAATGCACAGTCGCTCCCACCTGCCCAGGGAGGAGATGGCGGGGCTTGAGCCATCTCCAAATCGGGGCAGGCAAAGAGCCTGGATGACAAGAAGGGGCCCCAGGGATGCCCACGCAGCCCTTCTGGGGCATGTGCTGCAGCGGCAGGCACAGGAGGTTTCATTTATGTTTCTGCTCCGCGTAACTCAGGAAAGGGGGCGCAGACTGAGCTAGGCTGTGTTTTGCTTGGCTTTTCCAGACACACATATCACACTGGTAATTGGTGCTTCAGATGGCAACATAGGGATAGAGGCCAAATTGAGCTCCTCAGGGACAGGTAGAACCCCAGTTACACGACACCCACAATCCCGGCCTCTCGTTTGGGCAAAAGTATGAGTCCTGTGGCACGGTGATGTGGCTGAGCCGGTGGTCCCCTCCACATGGCCCTGCCCACCTGTGAGTGTCCTGGTGCCTGCTTTCAGCTTTGCGTTCTCTGTGGCAGCCTCCAGAGAGGCTTCTAGGTCAGGTCTCTGGCATTACAGAGAAGGAGTGGACTGTGCAGGCTGCCCTCACTCTTACCCCCACCAGCTCTGTAACCAGAACGAGGCACTTGGCCTCTGTGTCTTGAGAGTTTTTCCCCTCAGTTGTAAAGTAGAATTCGAATACCTGTCTGGCAGGGTGGCGGTTCGGACTAAATGAGGTGCACCTGGCCCAAAGCTGCTTCCCAGTCTTGGCGATGCTGTTACGCTCACCCGCAGGCTCTGGCCTGACATCTGGGTTAAATGATCCCAAGTTGGTTCCCACTTTGACCTCATCTGGTCTGTGGGGTGGGGACATCTCCTGCCTGGCCTTCAGGCCCCTTATCAAACACAGGACCCTGCTGCTGGGGAATGGTGCGGCTCTAGTGCGGCGCTCAGGCTTTCGCTGGAGATTTTTCATCAGGGCTAGGCTAGGCCCTTGAATCTGTGTTTTTCCTAAAGTGGGTGATTCTTGTACAGATGGTCCATGAACCCCATGGGCCTTCTGCTTTAATCTAAGGACAGTAGCCATAAATACCCACCCAGGGGGCATCTGAAAAACAGAACCCAGCTCCCATGAACATGTTTATTTTGCAGTTAATCCAGGCTAAGGGATTTTATCTGAAATTGTTGATAAGAAACACAAGTGTAAATTTAAGCCGCTCTGGCACCTGCTCAAAAAAGAAAAACTCTAAAAGCACAAGTGGGCCAAGTCACCTCCTTGCCACTCAAAACACTTTGAACCCTCCTCTGTGAGTCCCTGTAACAGAGGAGGAAAGACCTTCCTTGCCCTCATCCTGCCTTGCAGCAGCTCACCCCACTTGGCTTCTGGACTGCCACTTAGTTGTTTATTCTATTTTTTTTTTTTTTTAAGACGGAGTCTTGCTCTGTCACCAGGCTGGAGTGCAGTGGCACAATCTCGGCTCGCTGCAACCTCCGCCTCCCAGGTTCAAGGGATTCTCCTGCCTCAGCCTCCCGAGTAGCTGGGACTACAGGCGTGCACCACCACGCCTGGCTAATTTTTGTATTTTTAGTAGAGACGGGGTTTTACCGTGTTAGCCAGGATGGTCCTGAACTCCTGGACTCAAGCCATCCGCCCTCCTTGGCTCCCAAAGTGCCGGGATTACAGGCATGAGCCAGTGCACCTGGCCCCATTTGTAATTTCTCTTAGAAGACCTGTCCAGTACTTCTCGGCATTTGATTTTCAGCCAACAAAACTGGCCCAGTTTCATGCCAGAGATGGGGCTTCTTGCCTGAACTTCCTCTGAGGAAGTCCGTGGAGCACCCTGGCTGGAAGGCAGGGATAGTGGATCTCCCAGCCTGGGCTGCCAGCTGGTCGGATTCCTGCGTGTGCACCCCCATTGCTCTGTCTCAACATCACTCTCTACTTTCCTCCTGGGGAAAGGAGGAGGAGCAATTGGATGGAGGGTGTATCAACCCCCAAACTTCTGCCGTTTTCAAAATGTCTCCTATGGGAAGTTAGTATTCTATAAAAAAAAAAAAGGTGGGGGGGGGCTCTATGGCCATATAAGTTTAGGAAGAGTGGATGGAACAAAATTTAACATCTTTTTATTATAAAAAAGACCTTTTTGAGCCTTTAATATGCAAATATGTTTTGTAAATCAACAAGAGGAAACAGTCCGCCATTTCCCAAATACGTTTGCTCGGAACCTTTCTCCTTGGAGTTGGGGTCCTTGGCACTCAGGCTGGGAACCGCTGCCTCGTTGATGTTGCTATACGGAAGCACAGCTCACTTCCTGCTGGTTGTGTTTCTAACACACATTCCTTTTTAAAAATTGCTTTGTAATAGTAACAACTCACTGGATGGCTACAGCATGCCAGCACTGACTATGCTAAGCCCTTCACTGACATTTTCACATTTCACCCTGTGAGCCACGTACTACAACCCACAGCTTTCAGATGAGAAAATGAGGCTGAGCCAGGAAGCGGTTTGCCCAAGTCTCACAAGAGAATGAGGGGCGGAGCCAGCACTGGGGCCCGGGCAGTGTCTCCCTCCCGCTCCTGCCAGGCCCTGGCTGGCTACCATTGGATCTCCTGATTCTTCTCCAAGATACCTGTTCATTTCCAAAGAAATCTTGCCGGCTGGTGCCAGCAACACTGCTGAACCCCTTACCGACCAGCAGACCACCCTGTGAAAACAAGCCGGCCTTGACATCAGTCACAGCAAATAACCCTGACACCACGCAGTTACCTGTCCCCTCTGCTGCCTCTCACCTGTTTGTATCTGTGATCACGATCTGTCTACAACGGCAGCCCGGCGGGGGCTGGGCAGAGGCCGGGCCTGTCTAGCTTATGTTGGCGTGAACCGCACATGGACAGGGGTTTGCGGGTCCTGACGAGGACTCCAGGGTGGGAGCAGCTGGCTCCATACCCTTCAGCTGTGTCATCTGCCCTTCCTCTGCCGTCTCCTCTGGGGTCTGGCTTTGAGGCTTGCCAGAGTCCCACCAGAGGTCAGGCCACAGGCCCACTGAGGTGGCAGTTGCTGCATTGTTATAAATAGAAGCCCATCCATACCGCAGCCCCGGCCGGCCGGAGATTCTCTGCATTGTTTTCAGACCTAGATTGCCAGCTGCAGAGGCCACAGGCAGGGGTGGGGGGAGCGAGTGGGCTGTGGATGGAAGGCGGGAGCCCCAGCATATGAGACAAGAGCCGAGCCCGGTCCTGGCTAGAGGCGACCTCTCCTTGCTGGCATCCTGGCCCGTGAGGGTACAGAAGCAGCTTTGCTTTGTGGCCCATCGGATGTTGGCTTTCTCGACCTCACCTAGTGCCTTTCCATCTGGAAGCCTAGAAGGGGGCTTGGCTGCCATGCAGCCCTCACAGTGCCTGCAGGCCCTCCTGTCTGGCCCTCCTCCCCCTCCTGCCCCCTTCCGCATCTAACTCTCCCTGCGGTTCTCCAGGCCCCTCTGCACTTTCTCTGCTTCTCAAATGGCCCATTCTCCTCGTCGCCACAGGACCGCTCCATCCTCTGTCCCTTCCTGCTCATCCTGCAGGTCTCCATTTAAGCGCCACCTCCCCACGGCAGAGCCTTCCTGGTGGGCTGACCTGCTCACAGGCACTGGCTCCCTTTGTGTGCTCCTGCCCTGCCGCACTGCTATTTTGAGGCCTCCGTCGCAATTGAAATTTCTCGTGTAGTCGGTGGTTTCATTCATTTATCTAGTCCGTCCCAGCAACGGGCAGCTCTGTGAGGGCAGTGCCAGGACAGAGCAAGAGTCAGGAACTGTTGATAAATGACTCCCAGCACGACTTCCTAGAAAGAAGCCAAGACTTGTTCAAAAGCCAGACCCCCACCTGAGATGACAAGAGATAGCAGGTATTCAGACAGTTCAAGGGCACAGGGCCAGCTAATGGCACCAGAGGCACACAGCAAGGCCAGGGCTCCCCCACCCTGCCCAGGGGTCCTCTGGGTCTCATCCCAGGAACGCACTAGGGCAGGGCAGCCAGGTGAGTGGTGAAGAGTGCAGACTGGGTGCAGGAGGCCCTGGGGAGGAGGCCTTTCTCTGAGACACCAGCTGGAGCAAGCCGTCCCATCTGCCCCCCGTGAAAATGAGGCAGGTGCCGTGTGCCTCACAGGGCAGGGCTTGCACGGGGCTCAGGGCAGCGCCTGGCAGAGTCACTGGGGTGCTCACGGTGGCTTCCCTGCCTTCTCAGGGAGAGACCCAGGCCCCAGCAGACGGACCCCAGTGCCCCACGAAGTCTTCCCTGATCCCACAGCTGACCGGCAGCACTCACTTCAGGAATGGGGCTCGGGGACCCGCAAAGGTCCAGCCTGGGTGACAGAGTGAGACTCTGCCAAAAAAAAAAAAAAAAAATCAAGACAGTAGACATCAGACAAGGAAGGACAGTGATCCCCAAGATTCAAGAAACTAATGAATGAGCCATATGATTGCCCCAGTTACCGCCTGGAGAGTGTGTCCAGATCACAGTGCATGGAAGGAGAGCCCAAGAGGAGCCCGACAGTCTCCCGGAGTTTACAAAGCAGAGGACTGGGGAGGAGAGGGCCTCACACAGAGAGAACTCTGGACCCTTGCGGAGGGTCCTCTCGAGTATTCAACTGAGTACTGCTCAGCTTGGTACATGTGAGGAAATCCCGGGTCTAGAGAAGGAAAACAACATGAGAGGATTAGAGGCAAACTCTTCAGAACTCTAGGGCGAAGAATAGTGCCTCTTCCTGCCGGCCGAAGTGGAAAGCCTCATAAATCACTTCGCATTGGAAACAGTGCTCAGAAACGTTTTGTCTCGGTGCTGGGAGAATATGAGTCCTACCCAGAATGCCACTTGGATCTCACCTAACAACGCTTAAAAGCAAGACCCAAACAAATCAAACTATTTCCAAGTAAGAGCCCAGAACAAAGCCCAAGAAGCGCATAGGAATACAAAAGCACCCGGTAACGGGCGGCTGTCAAAGGTAGCAGAGGGGCAGGCCCTGGTACGCAGTGGCTGAGGCCATCTCCTGGGCCACCTGTGGCTATCACAGCCAAATAGGTACTGCTGGACCAAGAGGTGGTGGTCCTGGGTGGCAAGGGCATCAGCGTTTCTGGCAATTTCTACAGAAACAAGTGAAAGTGCCTGCCCTTCCCCTGCAAGTGGATGAACGCCAACCTATCCTGCGCCCCCTACCACTTCCAGGCCCCCAGCCACATCTTTAGGCAGACTGTGTGGGGCATGCTGCCCCGAAGACTAAGTGAGGCCTGCCGGGCACAGTGGCTCACGCCTGTAATCCCAGAACTTTTGGAAGCTGAGGCAGGTGGATCACCTGAGTTCAGGTGTTCAAGACCAGCATTGGCCAAGCTGTTGAACCCTCATCTCTACTAAAAATACAAAAATTAGCCAGGCGTGGTAGCAGGTGCCTGTAATCCCAGCTACTCAGGAGGCTGAGGCAGGAGAATCGCTTAAACCCAGGAGGAGGACGTTGCAGCAAACCGAAATCGCACCACTGCACTCCAGCCTGGGCAACAGAGCAAGATGCCATCTCGGAAAAAAAAAACCAAAAACAGACTGGCCAGGCACAGTGGCTCATGCCTGTAATCCCAGCACTTTGGGAGGCCAAGGCAGGCAGATTACGAAGTCAGGAGTTTGAGACCACTGCACTCCAGCCTGGGCAACAAGAGCGAAACTCTGTCTCAAAAAAAAATTTAAATTTAAATTTAAAAAGACTTAAGTGAGGCCAGGCTGCCCTGACCACCTCCAAGTATCTGGTGGGATCCCACCACCCTATGACAAGAAAAAGCAGAGGGTGGTTCCCGCTGCCATTAAGACTGTGTTTCACGCCTCTGAGAAAGTCTGCCCACCTGGGGCGCCTGGCTCACAAGGTTGCCTGGAAGTACCAGGTGGTGACAGCCACCCTGGAGAAGAGGAAGAAGGTCAAAATCCACTACCAGAAGAAGAAACAGCTCATGAGCCTACAGAAACAGGCTAAGGGCAGGCATGGTGGCTCATGCCTGTAATCCCCGCACTTTGGGAGGTTGAGGTGGGCGGATCACTTGAGGTCAGGAGTTCAAGACCAGCCTGGCCAACATGGTGAAACCCCGTCTCTACTAAAAATACAAAAATTAGCTAGGTGTTGTAGCATGTGCCTGTAGTCCCAGCTACTAGGGAGGCTGAGGCAGGAGAATTGCTTGAACCCGGGAGGTGGAGGTTGCAGTGAGCCAAGATCGTGCCACTGCACACTCCAGCCTGGGCCACAGAACGAGGCTGAATCTGAAAAAAAAAAAAAAAAAAAAAAACAGAACAAAAAAGTCCTGCTTGGGCGGGGTGCAATAGCTCACCCCTATAATCCTCGCACTTTGGGAGGCTGAGGCAGGAGGATCATTTGAGTGCAGGAGTTCAAGACCAGCCTGGGCAACATAGGGAAACCCTGTCTCTACAAAAAAAAAAAAAAAAAAAATCAAAGTTAGCTGGGCATGGTGGCATGTGCCTGTAGTCCCAGCTACTCAGGAGACTGAGGTAGGAGGATCACTTGAGCCCAGGAGGTCAAGGCTGCAGTGAGCTGTGATGGCATTACTGTATTCCAGCCTGGGCACCAGAGGGAAACCTTGTCTCAAAAAATAATAATAATAAATATAAACTTCCCACTTAGTCATATACTATATCTGCAGATGTTAGAATGTGAGAAAGTGGCTGGGCACAGTGGCTCACACCTGTAATCTCAGCATTTTGGGAGGCCAAGGTGGGCAGATCACCTGAGGTCAGGAGTTCAAGACCAGCCTGGCTAATATGGTGAAACCCCGTTTCTACTAAAAATACAAAAAATTAGCCAGGCGTGCAAAGAAGCAAAGAAATATAATCTATAATGGGTAAACTCAAACAATTGAGATGGGCCCCGAAATGACTCAGATTAAAAAATTCGCAGTCAGGGCCGGGCGCGGTGGCTCATGCCTGTAATCCCAGCACTTTGGGAGGCCGAGGAGGGCAGATCATGAGGTCAGGAGATCGAGACCATCCTGGCTAACACGGTGAAACCCCGTCTCTACTAAAAATATAAAAAATTAGCCGGGCGTGGTGGCGGGCGCCTGTAGTCCCAGCTACTCGGGAAGCTGAGGCGGGAGAATGGCGTAAACCCGGGAGGCGGAGGTTGCAGTGAGCCGATATCGCACCACTGCACTCCAGCCTAGGCGACAGAGCGAGACTCCGTCTCAAAAAAAAAAAAAAAATTCGCAGTCAGAAACTTTAAAACCATGATCACAACTGTACTCTGTATTTCCAAGAAGCTAGAGGAAAGATTAAACCTGTTGAATAGAGGCATAGAAGAGATACAAAAGATCCCAGCTGAACTTGTAGAGATGAAAATTATGGTATCTGAGAAACACCGGGGAGGGATTAATAGGCTATTATCCACAACAGAGGAAAAGATGAGTGAACTTGACTTGAAGAAATAGCCATAGAAACTACCCAAAATGAACTACACACGGAGATAAGAATGAACAAATTCGGAACAGATCATCAGTAAATGGTGGGACAACTTTGAGTGGCCTAATATATGTGTAATTGGAGTCCCTGAAAAAAAGATGGGGAGAAAAATACAAAAAGATCAGAAATGGTAACTACATGAGTAAATGTAAAGATTGGGGTGTAGGGGCTTTTCTAAATCTCTTTAAAAGAACTGCTTAGGCCGGGCACGGTGGCTCACACCTGTAATCCCAGCACTTTGGGAGGCCGAGGGGGGCAGATCACGAGGTCAGGAGATCGAGACCATGAGACCATCCTGGCTAACACGGTGAAACCCTGTCTCTACTAAAAATACAAAAAATTAGCCGGGCGTGGTGGCGGGCGCCTGTAGTCCCAGCTACTCGGGAGGCTGAGGCAGGAGAATGGCATGAAATCAGGAGGCGGAGCTTGCAGTGAGCCGAGATCACGCCACTGCACTCTAGCCTGGGTGACAGAGCGAGACTCGTCTCAAAAATAAATAAATAAATAAAAAATAACTGTTTAAAGCAAAAATAATAACAATGTACTATGGGTTTTATGATATATGTGGAAAAATGTAGTATGACAACAGCTGGGCACAGTGGCTCACACCTGTAATCCCAGCACTTTGGGAGGCCGAGGCGGGCAGATCATGAGGTCAGGAGATCGAGACCATCCTGGCTAACACGGTGAAACCCCATCTCTACTAAAAATACAAAAAAAATTAGCTGGATGTGGTGGCGGGCACCTGTAGTCCCAGCCACTCGGGAGGCTGAGGTGGGAGAATGGTGTGAACCCGGGAGGTGGAGCTTGCAGTGAGCCAAGATTGTGCCACTGTACTCCAGCCTGGGTGACAGAGTGAGACTCTGTCTCAAAAAAAAAAAAAAAAAAAAAAGAATTACAAGGAGGAATAGATAGATCCATAGTTATAGTCAGAGGTTTCAACAGCCCTGCATCAATCTTTTTATTTATTTATTTATTTTTTTGAGACAGGGTCTCGCTCTGTCACCCAGGCCGGAGTGCAGTAGCACACTCTCAGCTCACCGTAACCTCCGCCTCCTGGGCTCAAGCAATCCTCCCACGTCAGCCTCCCAAGTTGCTGGGACTACAGGAGCACACCACCATGCCTGGCTAATTTTTGCATTTTTTGTAGAGAAGGGTGTTTGCTATGTTGCCCAGGCTGGTCTTGAACTCCTAGACTCAAGCAGCCCTCCCACCTCGGCCTCCTAAAGTGCTGGGATTACAGGCAGGAGTCATTGAACCCTACCCTGTCTCAATAATTGACAACACAAATAGACAGAAAATAAGTCAGAATATAGAAGACTTGAACAACACTATCAACACACTTTGAACCTAATTAACATTTGTAGAACACTCCACCCAACATCAGTAGAATATGTGTTCTTTTCAAGTGCATACAAATAGGAAGACCATATTCTAAGTCATAAAATGTGGGCGGCAAGCCACCCAGGTGCCGAGGCAAGAGACCGAGGACACGAGCTGTTGCAGTATAATAAAATATAAAACAAGAATAGTTATACCAGATATAGATCTTAGATATGATTATCTATGAATATCATTAATCACTAGTTTGTAGCAATTACTCTTTATTCCAATATTATAATAATCCTTGCTCTACAATCATAACCTAGGAAAAACCAGGTCACACAGAGATAGGAACTGAGGGGACATAATGAGAAGTGACCAGAAGACAAGAGTGCGAGCCTTCTGTTATGCCCAGACAGGGCCACCAGAAGGGCTCCTTGGTCTAGCGGTAACGCCAGTGTCTGGGAAGACACCTCTTGCCAAGCAGACCATGGTCTAGCGGTAGCGTCAGTGTCAAGGAAAAACACCCACTACTTAGCAGACCGGGAAAAGGAGTCTCCTTTTCCCTGGGGGAGTTTAGAGAAGACTCTGCTCCTCCACCTCTTGTGGAGGGCCTGACATCAGTCAGGCTCGCCCGCAGTTATCCGGAGGCCTAACCGTCTCCCTGTGATGCTGTGCTTCAGTGGTCATGCTCCTAGTCCACCTTCATGTTCCATCCTGTACACCTGGCTCTGCCTTCTAGATAGCAATAGTAAATTAGTGAAAGTACTAAAAGTCTCCGATATGCAGAAATAATGGAGTAAACTGTCTTTCTCTTTGTCTCCTCTCTCTCTCTGCCTCGGCTGCCAGGCAGGGAAGGGCCCCCGGTCCAGTGGACACGTGACCCACGTGACCTTACCTATCATTGGAGGTGACTCACACTCTTTACCCTGCCCCTTTTGCTTTGTATCCAATAAATAACAGCGCAGCCAGACATTCGGGGCCACTACCGGTCTCCGTGCATTGGTGGTAGTGGTCCCCCGGGCCCAGCTGTCTTTTCTTTTATCTCTTTGTCTTGTGTCTTTATTTCTACACTCTCTCGTCTCCGCACATGGGGAGAGACCCACCGATCCTGTGGGGCTGGTCCCTACAATAAAACAAATCTCAATAACTTTAAAAGGATTCAACTTACACAAAATATGTTCTCTGACCACAATGGAATTAAATTAGAAATCATTAACAGAAAGATAGCCAGAAAAATCTCCAAATAGTTGGCAGCTAAATAACACATTATTTAAAAAAAGGAACTCAGAAAATATTTTAACTTAATGAAAAATGAAAACATGACATCACAAGTTGAGGTGCTAAAGTAGTACTTGCAGGGAAATTCATAGCACTAAATGCCTATATTAAAATAAGAAAAAAGTGTCAGGTGCAGTGGCTCATACCTGTAATTCCAGTACGTTGGAAGGCTGAGGTAAGTGGATTACCTGAGGTCAGGAGTTCGAGGCCAGCCTGGCCAACATGATGAAACTCTGTCTCCACTAAAAATACAAAAATTAGTTGGGCATGGTGGCAGGCACCTGTAATCCCAACTACTCAGGAGGCTGAGTCAGGAGAATCGCTTGAACTGGGAGGCAGAGGTTGCAGTGATCCAAGATCGCGCCGTTGCACTCCAGCCTGGGTGACAAGAGTGAGATTCCGTCTCAAAAACAAAGCAAAACAAAACAAACAAAAATTAGCTGAGCATGGTGGTGCTTACCTCTAGTCCCAGCTACTAGGGAGGCTGAGGCATGAGAATCGCTTGAACCCAGGAGGCAAAGGTTGCAGTGAGCCGAGATTGCACCACTGCACTCTAGCCTGGGTGACAGAGTGAGACTCTGTCTCAAAAATGAAAAATAAAATAAGAAAATAAAGAAAAAAGCTATCTTAGGAACTAGAGGAAGAAAAATAATAAATAACAAGAAAGGAAATAAAGATCAGAGCAGAAATCAACGAAGTAAACAAAACAAGACAAAAATAGGAAAAAAATAAAATCAAAAGGTGTTTCTTTGAAAAAATTAATTAATTAAACTCTAGCCAGACTGATCAGGAAAAAAGCAATAAGATATAGATCACCAATGTCAAGGAATGAGAAAGACAACGTCACTACACATCCCTTGGATATTAAAAAGAAAATCAGGGAATATTATGTATGTTTCTATCAAAATCAACTTCAATGAAATAGACAAATTACTCAAAAACAACAATTATCCAAGTTCACTCAGCAAGAAATAAATAACCCGAGTATCCCTATGCCTATTAAAGAAATTGAATTTATCGTCAAAAGTGTTCTCGTAAGGAAAACTCTTGGCCCAGATGGCTTCCCTGGTGAATTCTAACAAACGTAGAATTCTTCCTTAAGGAAGAAATAATATGATTATATGCAAACTCTTCCAGAAAATTCAAGAGAAGAGAATACTTCCCAATTCATTCTATGACACTAGCATTACTGTGACACAAAAACCTAACAAAGACATATAAGAAAAGAAAACTACAAATACCCATCAAGACTGATGGAAAAACTCTTATTTTATTTTATCAAGAAGTTTTTTCTTCCTACAAGATGCCAAACAGAAAAATTCTTAATAAGCTTTTAGCAATCAAATCCGATAATTTATAAAATAGATAACACTTGATGACCAAGTGGGGTTTATTCCAGAAATTCAAGGTTGATTCAACATTTGAAAATCAATCCATGTAATTCACCATATTAACAGAGTAAAAAATTAAAAAAAAAAAAAACCATGATTATCTCAGTAAATACCGGAAAAGCATTTGATAAAACCCAATGTCCATTCTTGATAAAAACTCTCAGCAAACTAGATATTGAAGGGAACTTCCTCCACCTTATAAAAGGCATCTAAGATAAACCTACTGTTAACATCGTACTTAATGGTGAAGATAGAGTGCTTTCACCCCAAGATAGGGAACGAGACAAGAATATCTACTCTCACCACTTCTATTCACATTGCACAGGAGGTTCTAGCCAATGCACTTAGGCAAGGAAAAGAAACAAAAGGCATGTAGCTTAGAAAGAAGATGTAAAACAGGCTTTACATGCAGATAACATAATCATCTACTCAGAAGATCCTGTGAAATCTAGGGAAAAAGTTATTTTCGAGACAGTCTCACTCTGTCACCCAGGCTGGAGTGCAATGCTGGGATCTCCGCTGGCTGTAACCTCCACTTCCTGGGTTCAAGCAATTCTCGGGCCTCAGCCTCCTGAGTAGCTGGGATTACAGGCGCGTATCACCATGCCCAGCTAATTCTTGTATTTTTACTAGAGATGGGGTTTCGCCATGTTGGCCAGGCTGTTCTGGAACTCCTGACCTCAAGTGATTGCGAGTCGTCCGCCTCTCCCTCCCAAAGTACAGGAATTTCAGGCATAAGCCACTAAGCTCGGCCAGAAAAAGCTATTAAAACTAGTAAGTGACTTAAGAAGGCTTCAGAATACAAGCTCAATAAACAGAAAACAATTGTCCTTCTGAATACTACCAATAAGTAATCAGAAATTGGAATTCAAAATTCCAATATCATTTACAATAGCAACAAAAATATGATTTGCCTAAGTATAAATCTAACAAAAGATGTGCGGCCGGGCGCGGTGGCTCACGCCTGTGATCCCAGCACTTGGGGAGGCCGAGGTGGGCGGATCATGAGGTCAGGAGATGGAGACCATCCTGGCTAACACAGTGAAACCCCATCTCTACTAAAAATACGAAAAAAATTAGCCAGGCGTGGTGGCGGGCGCCTGTAGTCCCAGCTACTCAGGAGGCCGAGGCAGGAGAATGGCATGAACCCCAGAGCAGAGGTTGCAGTGAGCCGAGATCGTGCCACTGCCCCCCAGGCCGGGGGACAGAGCGAGACTTCATCTCAAAAAAAAAAAAAAAAAGACGTGCAAGACTGTACACCAAAAACTACAAAACATCGCTGATTGAAATTAAAGAACACCTAAATAAACGGGACACACAGTCATGAATCAGAACATTCACTATTGTTAAGTTACCACTTCTCTCCAAATTGACCTATGGATTCAATGTAGTCCCAATCAAAATCAAAATCCCGACAGACTTCTTTTTTTTTTTTTTTGGTAGCTGATTCTAAAATTCATATGGAGATGCAAAGGAGCTATAAATATTTCATAAAATTTTGGAAAAGAAGAACAAAGTTTGAGGACTTACACTTCTTTTCTTTAAGACATTATAAAATTTGGCCAGGTGCGGTGGCTCACGCCTGTAATCCCAACCCTTTGGGAGGATGAAGGGGGAGGATCACTTGAGGTCAGGAGCTCAAGACCAGCCTGGCCAACATGGTGAAACCCTGTCTCTGCTAAAAATACAAAAAATAGCTAGGCATGATGGTGCACTCCTGTAGTCCCAGCTACTCAGGAGGCTGAAATAGGAGAATCACTTGAACCTAGGAAGTGAAGGTTGCAGTGAGCCGAGTTCGTGCCATTGCACTCCAGCCTGGGAGACGGATGGAGACTCCATCTCAAAAAAAAAAAAATAATAATAATAATATATATAATTTATATATATAAATTATTAAAATAGTACATGTACTTCCAAAATATATACAACTATTATTTTAAAAGACATATTAGAAAGCTACATTATTCAAGACCATGTGGTCCTGGTGTTAAGATTTAAAGAAACATAGGTTAATTGTACAGAATAGAACATCCAGATATAGATCCACACGTATCTGGTCACTTGATTTTCGACAAAGGTGGAAGGTAACACAGTGAGAAAGGACAGGCTTTGCAACAAAAGCTGCCGGGACGATTAGGTCTCCATGTGCCAAAATGAGAACTTTGACTCCTGCCCTGCACATATAAAACTGACTCAAAATTGGACCATAGACATCAATATAAAATCAACTATTGAAGAAAACACAGGAGAAAATCTTCATAATCTTGGATTAAACAAAGATTTCTTAGACCAAAAGCATAATCCATAAAAGAAAGTATTAATAGCTGGGTGCAGTGGCTCTTACCTATAATCCCAGCACTTTGGGAGGCCGAAGTGGGAGGACTGCCTGAACTTAGGTGTTTGAGACCGGCCTGGCCAACATGGCGAAACCCCATCTCTACAAAAAATACAAAAATTAGGCTGGGCATGGTGGCTCACGCCTGTAATCCCAGTGCTTTGGGAGGCCGAGGCGTGTGGATCATGAGGTCAGGAGTTCAAGGCCAGCCTGGCCAACATGGTGAAACCCCGTCTCTACTAAAAATACAAAAAGTTACCCAGGCGTGGTGGCAGGTGCCTGTAATCTAAGCTACTCAGGAGAGGCAGGAGAATTGCTTAAACCTGGGAGACGGAGGTTGTAGTGAGCAACCTGGGCAACAGAGTGAGACTTTGTCTTAAAAAAAAAAAAAATAGCAGGTTTGGTAGCTTGTGCCTATAGTCCCAGCTACTCCAGAGGCTGAGGCAGGAGGATGGCTTAAGCTTGGAAAGTTGAGGCTACAGTGAGCTACGATCATACCACTTCACTCCAGCCAGGACAACACAGCAAGACCCTATCTCTTAAAAACTAAAAAATTGTTCACTTTACATATTATATGTTAATTATACCTAAAAAAAGCTGTTTTTTTAAAAAAAGAGTTTGAGCAACATCACCTCCCCTGCTCCTACTCTTAAGACTTAAGAGAAATTCAAGGCTAGGCACGGTGGCTCATGCCTGTTATCCCAGCACTTTGTGAGGCCGAGGAGGGTGGATCACCTGAGGTCAGGATTTCGAGACCAGCCTGGCTAACATGGTGAAACCCTGTCTCTACTAAAAATACAAAAATTAGCCAGGTGTGGTGGCAGGCACCTGTAATCTCAGCTACTCAGGAAGCTGAGTCAGGAGAATCACTTGAACCTGGGAGGCAGAGGTTGCAGTGAGCTGAGAGGCGCCACTGAACTCCACTCTACTCTAGCCTGGGCAACAGAGTGAGACTCCCTCTCAAAAAAAAAAAAAAAAAAAAAAAGGGCAAACTCTTTTTTTTTTTTGTTTTGAGATGGAGTCTCGCTCTGTCGCCCAGGCTGGAGTGCAGTGGCACGATCTCGGCTCACTGCAAGCTCTGCCTCCCGGGTTCACGCCATTCTCCTGCCTCAGCCTCCTGAGTAGCTGGGACTACAGGCGCCCGCCACCATGCCCGGCTAATTTTTTTGTATTTTTAGTAGAGACGGGGTTTCACCGTGTTAGCCAGGATGGTCTCGATCTCCTGACCTCGTGATCCGCCCGCCTCGGCCTCCCAAAGTGCTGGCATTACAGGCGTGAGCCACCACGCCCGGCCAAAAGGGCAAACTCTTAGAGTGGAGTGCTGGCTGCCAGGGGCTGGAAAGAGAGGAGAAGGGGGAACTGTCCTTTAATGTGTGTAGTTTCAGATTTGTAGGATGAAAAAGTTCTGCAGCTCCGGGAAGGTGACTGCCTGCCAAGGAGGCAGGCGGCCAGCCACAGTTCTGACTCCAGGAGCCACATGTACCTATGCCTTTTTTTTGGGACAGAGTCTCGCTGTTTTTGCCTGGGCTGGAGTGCAATGGCGAAATCTCGGCTCACTGCAACCTCCGCCTCCCGGGTTCCAGCAATTCTCCTACTTCAGCCTCCTGAGTAGCTGAGATTACAGGAGCCTGCCACCACCCTGGCTAATTTTTGTATTTTTAGTAGAGATGGGGTTTCACCATGTTGGCCAGGCTGGTCTCGAACTCCTCACTTCAGGTGATCCACCCGCCGCGGCCTTTCAAAGTGCTGGGATTATAGGCGTGAGCCACCGCACCCGGCCGCACCTATGCTTTTGATGATGAGTCCAATGACAGTGATTGCGGTTAACACGGATCAAACCTTAGGCACTGGCTGCCCACCTCGGTCAGGCTGCAACCAGGAAGGAGGCAGCCCACCCTCCAAGGGACACGTGGTCCACATGAGCAGCTCGGCCAGGGGCCTTTCTTCCACCCACCTCATCTATCTGCCTCATTTATACCAAGTGGGCCCGGGACAGATGCCGGCCACGGCGCTGCACAGCCTCAAAGCATGTCCAGCAAGATGGCCTGTGGGGTGGGGGACCTCACCCCTTGTATTGTTTTGTCCTCTCAAAGTCTCAGCTAAAATTGGGGCAGCAAATAAAAGCTTTTTGGGCGGTGGGGGGTGGGGCAGGGATCGGGTCTCGCTGTGTGACCCAGGCTGGAGTGCAGTGGTGCAATCACAGCTCACTGCAGCCTTGAACTCCTGGGCTCAAGCAATCCTCCTGACTCAGCCTCCGGAGGAGCTGGGATTACAGGCATGCCCCATCACGCTGGGCTAATTTTTTCTATTTTTTGTAGAGATCAGGGTCTTACTATGTTGCCCAGGCTGGTCTCCACTCCTGGGCTCAAGTAATCCTCCTGCCTTGGCCTCCCAAAGTGGTGGGATTACAGGCATGAGCCGTGGCGCCCAGTCAAGAAAACCATTTTATCATCCTGTTACAACAAGGTCAATAATAGGTGTTAGCTATTGGCGGTTCTGTGCTGAGGGCCTTGCCTGATGACCCCCCGGAACCCTCCTCCCTGTGAGGAAAGCGTAACCCTGTCTTGCAGATGAGGAAACCGAGGCTCAGTGGTGCCGCCGAATCACTCGGATTTGCTAAGCGCTTACTCTGGGCTGGGCACTTGTCCAGAAGCTCAGGACCATCGGCTTCACGTGCCTCCGCAATCTCGTGAGGTGAGGAACCACCTCCGTCCCCACTCCATGTCCTAGGAAACCGAGACCTGAGAGGAGGGGGACTTGCTCAAGGTCACAGCCGTAGAGGCACCGCCCGCCCAGGAGGGCTCACATGACCCTCTCCGGCCTCCAGGCCCAGCTGCAAGAGGAAGCACCGTCCTGGGGAGCCCGGAGACCCAGGCCCCCCTCACAGGCGAGGGGCTGGCACGCGGCCTCTGGAGGAACTTCTGGCCTTCACCGTCTCCGCCTGGTCACTCGTCAATGGCCGGCTGCCTTCTGGAAAGCTGCTGCTGCGCGACAGTGACCCTGGGTGGAGTGAGGCATCCACGGGTGCTCGCTCCCAGAGATGGAGGCCGGAGCCCTGAGCAGAGGCGCCGGCTGTGCCCCGGTCCTCTGTGGCCCCCAGGGCTGCAGAGCTGGGCAGGTCGATTCCCTTGTCACTCCTAAAAGAACATTTGAAGCCCCCAGCAGGCTGGTGTGGGCACCCCAGTTCCTCAGCTACTCTGGGCTCTCCTTCCCCAGAGGCTGTGGGACCTGCCTTCCGGCCTCCGTCACATGACCGCACAGCGAGGAGGCGCTTCTGTGAACCAGGAGGTGGCCCTCACCACGCAGAAACTGTGGGCGCCTTCATCTTGGACTTCCAGCCTCCAGAACTGTGAAGGATTGGTTTCTGTGGTTGACGAGGCATCCGGTCTATGGTTACTTTATTCTAGAGCCCAACTGGGCCAAGGTGATTGTACGTATCTGTGAATATACTAAAACCATAGAACCGTACACTTTCTATTTGCTTTTATTTTGTGAGACAGGGACTCACTGTCGCCCAGCTGGAGTGCGGTGGCACGATCAGGGCTCGCTGCAGCCTCGACCTCCCACCTCATTCTCCTGAGTAGCTGGGATGACGAGAATGTGCCACCGCGCCCAGCTAATTTTTGTTGTTGTTGTTAGCTTTTTGAGATGGAGTCTCACTCTGTCACCCAGGCTGGAGTGCAGTGGCACAATCTCGGCTCACTGCAACCTCTGCCTCCCGGGTTCAAGCAATTCTCTGACTCAGCCTCCCGAGTAGCTGGGGTTACAGGCGCCCGCCATCACACTCAGCTAATTTTTGTATTTTTAGTAGAGACAGGGTTTCTCCCTCTTGGCCAAGCTGGTCTTGAACTCCTGACCTTGTGATCCACCTGCCTCAGCCTCCCAGAGTGCTGGGATTACAGGCATGAGCCACTGAGTCTGGCCTATGCCTGGCTAATTTTTAAGTTTTTTTGTAGAGATGGGGTCTCACTATGTTGCCCAGGCTGGTCTCAAACTCCTGAGCCCAAGATCCTCCCACTTCGGTCTCCCAGAGTGCTGGGATTACAGGCAGGAGCCACTGCACCGGCCAGAACCGTACACTTTTTTTTTTTTTTTTAAATGGAGTCTTTGTCACCCAGGCTGGAGTGCAGTGGTGCAATCTCACTGTAACCTCTACCTCTCAGGTTCAAGTGATTCACCTGCCTCAGCCTCCTGAGTAACTGGGATTACAGGCGTGTGCCACCATGCCCTGCTAATTTTTGTATTTTTTTCAGTAGAGACAGGAGTTCGCCATGTTGACCAGGCTGGTCTTGAACTCCTGACTTCAGGTGATCTGCCCGCCTTGGCCTCCCAAAGTGCTGGGATTACAGGCAGGAGCCACCACACCCAGCCAGAACCGTACTTTAAATAGGTGAGTTGTGTGGTATGTGAACTGTATCCCAATAAAGCTGAGGTAAAGCATTTTAATACGTTTGTGTGACTGTCTGACCAGCATTCAGTCTGCATTTGTCATGGATGCTGAGAATCCCACATCACTAAGCCAGGCCCCTGTGGTCTAGATGTTGCAGAAGAATTGAGCCGTATTTAGAGAGAAGAGTCCCTGGTCTCTGAGCTAAGCCCTGGTGCTCAGTGTGATTATTCTGGGGGCTCCATTTGCATGTTTAACACGGAGCACAACTGCTATGCCTTTGCTGGGCCCCGGACCGGGGAGGACAGGGTAAGTGTGCGTGTCTCTGGCCTGACGATTAGGAAACTCAGGCATGTGAGGTTGAGCGACAAGCCTGGCCTCACTCAGCAAGGCAAGTGGCAGCCAGGAATAGTGCAGGGCTCCCAGCTGTGTCTGGCCCGCCGTAAACACCCACCCTTCTTCTGTCTGATTGAAAAGGGAACATGAAATAAGAACCAGGGCTCAGGCTGATACAGGAACTAATCCTGCCTCTGCATTCCAAGTCGTGCCGTCTGGGCCTGAAGGGAGCTGGGCTGGCCTTCGCCAGTTCCCATGTTGATTTCGGGTTCACCTCCCTGCACACAGGCACAGAGATGGAGTTCATTCACTCCGACGTGTTCGCTTGCATTTAGTAGTTTCCATCGGCCGGGCGCAGTGGCTCAAGCCTGTAATCCCAGCACTTTGGGAGGCCGAGGCGGGCAGATCACTGAGGTCAGGAGTTCGAGACCAGCCTGGCCAACGTGGTGAAACCCCATCTCTACTAAAAATATAAAAATTAGCCGGGCGTGGCGTGGAGCGCCTGTAATCCCAGCTAGTCAGGAGGCTGAGGCAGAATTGCTTGAACCCGGGAGGCAGAAGTTGCAGTGAGCTGAGATTGCACCATTCCACTCCAGCCTAGGGGACAAGAGTGAAACTCCGTCTCAAAAAAAAAAAGTTTCCATCGTCCAGGGTCAACAGGGCTGCTAAGGACTCGGACTCAGCGTCATGCCGAGGAACCTTAGCAACAGGACAGCTGAGGGCAGTCTGGTAGAACTGGGGTACCAGAAGGCTGGGGTGTCATAGAAGGAGCTGAGACAAAGCACGGGGTCAAAGGCCGGGTGTTTGAAACCAGCCTAGCTCTGCATCTTCCCAGAAAAGTGACCTTTGGCAAGCCCCTTGGTCCCTTCTGTGGGGCAGCGTCCTCACTGATTGAAGGGGAAGAGCATACTTGAAGGGTCAGCAGTGGCAGGAAGGGGCCTGGACAGCACCGGAGTGGCTGGTTGTGCCCTGTGATCCTGATGGGCAATTTTTGGACTGTCACACAGTAAAATATTTGCTTTCATCCTATGCCCAGACCCCAACCAGGTGGGAAGCCATTTCTGTGGGGGCGCCCAAGCAGGATAGAGGATGACCAAGAGAACCACCAAGCCAGAGGCGACAGAAGATCACCTGGGCTGTTAGAAACCTCCGAGGGCCTGCAAGCGCCACAGGCCATCACACTTTTTTTTTTTTTTTTTTAGATGGAGCCTCACTCTGTCACCCAGGCTCTGGAGTGTAGTGGTACAGTCTCGGCTCACTCCAACGTCTGCCTCCTGGGTTCAAGCGATTCTCCTGCCTCAGCCTCCTGAGTAGTTAGGATTATAGGCACCCGCCACCATGCCTGGCTAATTTTTGTATTTTTAGTAGAGACAGGGTTTCACCATGTCGGTCAGGCTGGTCTTGAACTCCTGACCTCGTGATCCACCCACCTTGGCCTCCCAAAGTTCTGGGATTACAGGCGTGAGCCACCGCACCCCGCCAGGCCATCAGCTTTTTTGTTTCCTGATGAAACTGTCTTCTTTTGGGCTCCAAGAGGGGCTTTCCTGTTTGGCCTCATGGCCCAGACTACAGCAAGTCTCTGTCCCATTTAAAACAGCCCCAGAGCAGAAGAGGCTCTCCTGAGAAGTGACTTTGAAAGTGGGAGGTGGAGATGTTATGGGGTCGCTGTGCAGCTGCTTCTCCCAGACCCTGGATGTCTCAGGCAGGTGAGCCTGGCCTGGCCCAGACAGCCGGCTCTCCCAGGCCCAGATCCTGGAGAGGAACCCGTGACAGCTGGGCAGAATCTACTGTCTGTGCCTCTTCTCCCAGTCTGGACTTCTAAATTTCACCTGCTGTCAGCTGGAGAGGCTGGAGGGCTTCCACTCTGTGACTAAATGCCACTTGGAATCCACTTTACTCACAACTCCCTCCTTGTACATTTCCCTCTCGAAACTGTTACCCACAGATTCAGCTGCGTCTCCCCATCTCCCGTCTCACTGCGCCTCTGCATGAAGGCTTTGCTCTCCTGAGCTTCTGAAACCCTGCTATCAGGTTAGGCCTGCATCCCATTCTCTGTACACACACACACACACACACACACACACACACACACACACACACACACACACACACACACACACCATAGTCTCTCATGGGCAGAGCTCAGGAGCCGACTCCACACCGAGAAGCCAAACCACGACAGTGAACTGCACCACCCAGGAGCCATCTGCGTGGAGCTCGGCCAGCAATGCCTGTTATGCAATTTCCTGCTTTGGTGTCTCAGCCCCAGGAGGCAGGATGTGAGCGCCGTTGGTTTGCTGCAACGTGGAGAACCCACAGAAGACCCGAATTCTGATGCCCAGAGTGCATGGGGCCTCCCTGTCCCCGTGGGGGTGCAGAGAAGCCACTGCCCACCCTGGATGATGAGCCTGTGTGCGGTGGGTGCAGCAGCCGGCCCCTGCTCAAAGGGAATCAGATGGGCTCATTGTGGGCCAGAAAGAACTGACTGCCCCGAGACTTCCGGGGTGGGGAGGGGGGTGCACTTCCTGCCCGGGGCACCCAGGATGGGGGAGCAGAGGCCTGGGACCTTCTCAGTAACAGTCACCAATGTTATTGGACACTGCACATGGCCCCACCGTCTCAGGCTCAAGACTGAGAGTGCGCTATGGCGAGAGGTGGCTCTGTGGCCAGAGTTCGAATCCTGGCTCCGCCTTCCCCTAGCTATGTGGTCTCAGGCAGCTCCTTGGCGTCCACTCTCCCCGTTCCTTCGTCTGTGAAATGGGGGTGGCAGTTAACACCTCCCTTGTGGGGTTGTCATGAGGATTCAATGAGTTCGCACCCAGAAAGAACAGGGAGTTTCCACTGAATCCGCCAGGAGGCAGCTCCTCTGAAAATCTCCATTTTCTTTTTCCTTTTTTTTTTTTTTTTTTTTTTTTTTTGAGACAGGGTCTCACTCTGTCACCCAGGCTGGAGTGCAGTGGCGCAATCTCGGCTCACTACAGCCTCTGCCTCCCGGGTTCCAGTGATTCTCCTGCCTCAGCCTCCTGAGTAGCTGGGACTATAGGTGCCCACCACCACACCGGGCTAATTTTTGTATTTTAGTAGAGACGGGGTTTCGCCATGTTGGCCAGGCTGGTCTCAAACTCCTGACCTCAAGTGATCCACCCACCTCAGCCTCCCAGAGCGCTGAGATTACAGGTGCGAGCTACCACACCTGGCCACATCTCCATTTTTCCATACAAAGTAAGTAGGGCTCAGAGGGGCTGAGTGTCGGGCTCAAGCTCACATAAACGGCCTTGAACCTGTGATCTACCTTCAGAGCCCACAGCCACTCCAGGACCTCCAGGGCCCCCACCCATGTTTACACAAGAAAGCTCCATTTATAAGATGGTATCCATTCAAGGCTGGGGCCCCACAGGACCCCTCAACAGCTGCTGGCTGAGGGCAGGGCATGGAGCCCCCGTCCAGACTGACACTGTCCTGCTTGTCCACAAGAAGACAGCTTTGCAGGCCCAAGTTAAGGGTCAATCTAAACCTTAATCGCCCTTGACATAGGGGTTTTACTGTTCGCCAAAAAGTCAAGCTGCCCCCAATTCCTAGCTCTACCTCCAAGCCCACCACCCTCCAGGCAGGGCACTGGCAGGGGCACTTCCAGGTGCAAGGCTGAGACCGCAGGGCTGCTCTCGCTGGAGCTGGGGCTGTGAACAGAAGCAGCTGGAAGGAGCAGGACTCAAAGGCTGGCTCCCTCCTCCCATCTCCCAGGCCCTGAGTACGGGGATCCCAGCCTCAGCCCATCCTCCTGCCCCCCAGATACGTTCACCCCCGCAGCCAGCACCGCTGAGCCACCCACCCCAAAGTGAATCTCCACTTCAGAAACATCCAGGACCTAGCCAAGCCTACTTTAAAATTACATTTTATTTCTCTTTATGAATATTTGCTTTTTGTTTTTTGTAAAAAAAAAAAGGTTCATTGTACATCTTCTTCAAGAGTCTTGTGCCTCCTGGTAAGTGCATTGGTTTGTTTCACAGTACTCTCCACGACCAAGGACGGTTCTTATTGCTGGAAGGAGTGAGTGGATGTCCACGCCAGGGCGGGGCTGGAGGACATAAGAAGAATCGGGGCCCTGGCAGGAAGCCTGGGGCCTGTGCTCCAACATGAGCAAGGAGGCTGAAGGAGCAGACCGGGGCTCAGCTGAGCGTCCGTGGCCGGACCTGCAGCCTCTCCAGGGTGTTCCTAGCCCTTCTTCGGTGAGGAAGGGCAGAAAGAAGGGGCACGGGTGAAGGTGGGTCAGGGGGCAAGGTGGGCTGGGGGCCGGGCATGCAGTGGGAGGGGTGCTGGCTCCTGCCTCGAGTGTTTGCTCTCACTCAAGAAATGCGGGTTCGGGGGTCCTTCACCCCCTAGCAGCTCAGGAAGCCCCTTTCCATTCTGGTCTCCAGCCCCACCTCCAGGAATAAACCAGCGGCCTGAGACCCGCTTCCTGAACCCCCAGGGTCCTGTCCCTGCTTTAGTGCAACAAAGACCTGAGTGGAGAAGTCTCCAGTGAATGAAAGCTGAGTCCCAGCCCTGTCCCCACCCATCCTCAGACATGCAGCTGGGACCCACTGTTCCCCTAAGGCTACTGCCTTTCGGGGTGGCACGGCCTCCATCCTCACAAGAGAACCTGCAGTTTCTGCGGGGAGGTCCTGGCCCCCATCAGGGGCCCCCTGAGCACCGTGCCAGCCGGCAGCTCCAGCCCAGTGTGTCCCAGGACAGCCTCCTGGCACGAGCTGGGCCCGGAGACCGACGGCAGTGGCTAAACGGTCATTAAGCACCCCTTGAATAAACGCAATAGCCCGTGGACAAAGGAGCAGGGCAGGGACTTTGGTTCCCACACCGTCCCACGCTGTCACGGAGACTCTTACAAGTGGCTCATCTGCAGCAGAAATGGATTATTTTTCTAAATGGACGGTTTTCTGTGCTTGATAATTATTAGGCTGAGTGTGGGTCCCGGGCGGGTAGCTGTGGGTTTGGCAAGCTGGAAGGAGCGTGGCTTCAGCGGGATGTCCCCTAATAGCCCCTGCAAGTGGCCACAAGGCCGACACTGCTCAGAACCCTGGCACAATGGGTCAGGACTAAGTAAGCCCTGGAGCTCCAGTGACCTGGGACCGAGGGAGGGCAGGTCCCAGGGATGGGCTTCCAGACGTCTGTCCTCACCTGTTGCTCTCCACTGTGCCAGCCCAGCCTCCAGAGTGGCTCTGAACCCTCTCGACGATAAGCCCACCCAGCCCTCCCAGCCCTTGGCCTGGATTCACTTATTTGAGGACAGGAAGCAGGGGCTCGGCCGACTGCCTCCCAAGACTTCCCTAGAGCTTGGGTGCCTTCCACCTCCATCACTGTGGCACCCAGAGCCTGACTGCACCGTCCCGCTGCCCTGAGGGCCTGGGAGGGGCGCCCCTGAGAACGAGCCCTGTCTTGGCCCTTTTACAGTACACCAGGGGCCAGCCAGCCACAGGGGCCGGGGCCCACCCGATTCAAGTCTTAAAATGCCCTGCAAGAAGGGACGTGAATGCCTTCCTTACCTTTGAGACTAACATTGAGGCTGTGTGTCGGCGGTCCAGGTGGCCGGCCCCCAGGCATTTGGGACCAGTGTGGATGGAGAAGGAAAAAGCCACACACCTGGAGGAAGGGCCAGGGACTCAACTGGGGGTGGGTCCTGAGGACTGAGAGGGTGAAAATTCCCTGGGCTCACAGGAGCCTGCCTCTCTCCTCCTAGAGCCGCCCAAGGGAAGTTAAGGCTGCTGGGAAGAGAGGGGAGAAGAGGCCAGGCGACTGGTGGAGCCACCCCCCGCCAGAGCTCACAGCCCCTCTCCGCAGGTGCAGGGATACGACCTGGGGGTGGAGGGAGAGAAGGGGCTGTTCAGGCAGAATCTACCTGTGGTTTTATTTCTGCCAAAAAGAAAGAGTGAGCAGCTGGTTTCGGGTCTAAATGCCCATCCTCACCCTTCTCCCAAGACAACCGGGAAGAAGGGCTCAAGAGACTCTCGCGGGCGACCCCAACCCTCCCTCCACCTCTGGCAGAAGAGGAAAAGTCCGGTAGAAAAGAGATCCTGCTTTCTTTCTCCGATTGGTTTTCTTCCTTTCAATTCAGCTTAAGGCAAAAGTTTGGCAAAGCAAGTCTACATAAGGCCGCATGACAGAGGGCGGAGGGACCTGGGGGGAAGGCCGGCCAGCGCCACAAATCGGCAGCAGTGTGGATCTGTCTCTTTGATCGGGGGCTGGAGCTTCCCTCCTAATCAGCTCCCCCTCCTCCTGCCCCTGAGCCCCCAAAAGAGGAGTTTTTTTAAAAAACGGAAAAAGCAGTGTTTCAGGGAATCTGTTACAAGTGAGCGACTGAAACTGAGAAAAAGGAGAGGCAAGGAGACCAGAGGTCACCCTGAGGGCGCACGTGGGGTCTGTCTGTCCTGCTTAGATCTCCCCTCTCCCTGAAAGGAAGCAGGTGCCGAGAGCCGGGGAGGCCTTCCCGGGGGCATCAGCACAGTGAGATCCGCCCGCTGGAGAGGGTAGAATGGTTGTATCTTGCTGAATGACTGAAGAGTGAGTCTGAGTTTTGTTTTCAGCGGTATTATTATTTGTGAGTCTAACCTAGCGGGTGGTCCTGGCTGTCACCGGTGCTTGGGCGGGATCACCACCAGCGGCTGCCCGTACTTGGGCCGCCACATGAGGACCTGGGCATCGTTGGCATTGGGCTTGACCAGGGCGCTGGGCGGGATGGGCTCATTCTTGCTCAGGATTTTGGGCTGGTCCTGGGCGATGGGCTCCCGCAGCCGGGCGCGCTGGCCCAGGGGCCGGTTGGGGTTCACCTCGATGCTGAGCTGCATGCGCCAGTGCAGCGTCTGCAGGATGATCATGTCGTTGGTGGAGGTGTTGGTGGCCACCAGCCAGGTGGTGAAGCTCTGGTCCCGGTAGATATTGGTGAGCTTGGCCACGTTGCTCTCGCTGACGGGCACGGCCCATGTGACGCTGGGGTAAAAGTTGTCATTCATGCTGATGATGAACTTGGAGTCCCTCTTGGTGGGGCCCACGATGGTGCAGGTCTCTGTGGTGTTGCCGTACCAGGGGTAGTTCACCCCATCCGAGTCGCTGATGGCTTGGATCTTGCCCTCCTGGAGGTCGGGGAGCTCCCAGCTGGACCTGAGGACAAGGAAGGCCAGTTCACTCACTCGGTCACTCAAGGAGGGCTTTCTGTGTCCCCCTGGCAGGCCAGGGGCTGTCCTGGGCCCTGAGGATGGAACGGACCCAGCAGACCACCCGGTCCCCTTTGACGTTCTGGGGGCAGGGGGTCAGACAGTAGCTCGGAGTCACTGTCATCACTGCTGCTGTTACAATCATAACCCTCAGACAGAAGAAGGTGGCCGGCCTGGCCCAAGTTGCTCTAGGGACATACAGATCCCACACTCCCATGTGGCCATGGATATAGTAGCATCTGGGAGCCCACCCCAGACTGTAGGGGCCCCTTACTTTAACATTACAGGCTCACAGACAATCTTCTCCATGCAACCCCACCCGGCAGATACAGAAAGTGAAGTGGTGGGCTGGGGGTGGAGAGTGAGGCTACATTTTCCTAAGGACATTTGGCCAAGCGGTGGGGCCTGGGACCCCGGCGCATTTCCACCAAGGCACCTGTAACAGGGAAGCTCAGGACACCCTGCGCCCACTGCGCCTTCTGCTCACCTACGTGCACAGCGGGTACTCCCAGGAACAAGCTACTGTTAAAAATGCACTCCTGGCCGGGCGTGGTGGCTCACACCTGTAATCCCAGCACTTTGGGAGGCTGAGGCAGGCTGATCACTTGAGGTTAGGAGTTCAAGACCAGCCTGGCCAACATGGTGAAACCTCGTCTCTACTAAAAATACAAAAATTCACTTTGGGAGGCCAAGGGGGGCGGATCATGAGGTCAGGAGTTTGAGAACACCCTGGCCAATATGGTGAAACCCTGTCTCTACTAAAAAAAATAGAAAAAATTAGTCAGGCATGGTGACATGCGCCTGTAGTCCCAGCTACTCAGGAGGCTGAGGCAGGAGACAGAGGTTGCAGTGAGCCGAGATCACGCCATGCACTCCAGCCTGGGCGACAGAGTGAGACTCTGTCTCCAAAAAAAAAAAAAAAAAATTAGCGGGGTACGGTAGCAGATGCCTCTAATCCTGTAATCAGGAGGCTGAGGCAGAAGAATTGCTTGAACCTGGGAGGCTGGGTTTGCGGTGAGCTGAGATTGTGCCACTGCACTCCAGCATGGGTGACAGAGTGAGACTCTGTCTGCAAAAAAAAAAAAAAAGCACTCCCAACTGGACGCAGTGGCTCACACCTCTAATCCCAGCACTTTGGGAGGCCGAGGCTGGCCAACACAGTGAGACCCTACCTCTAAAAAAAAATGCATTCCTGTTCCTAGAATTAATCACAATAGCCAAAAGGCAGAAGCGATCCAAGTGTCCAACGACAGATAAATGGATAAACAAAATGTGCTACATACGTACAATGGAATGTTCTTCAGCCTTAAGAAGGAAGGATGTTCCAACACAGGCTACAACACAGATCAACCTTGAGGACGTTATGTTGAGTGAAATAAGCCAGCCACAAAAAAACACAAACTGTGTGATTCTACTTATGTGAAGTCCCTAGTGTTGTCAAATTCATAGAGACAGAAAGTAGAATGGAGGTTGCCAGGGGCTGGGAGAAAGAGGAACGGAAAGTTGATATTTCTTGGGGACGAAGTTTCAGTTTTGCAGATGAAAAGAGTTCTGGGCTGGGCGCAGTGGCTCACACCTGCAATCCCAGCACTTTGTTAGGCCGAGGCAGGTGGATCACCTGAGGTCAGGAGTTCCAGACCAGCCTGGGCAATACGGTGAAACCCTGTTCTACTAAAAGTACAAAGATTAGCCAGGCATGGTGGTGGGCACCTGTAATCACAGCTACTCAGGAGGCTGAGGCAGGAGAATCGCTTGAACCCAGGAGGCGGAGGTTGCAGTGAGCCGAAATCACACCACTGCACTCCAGCCTGGGCGATAAGAGCAAGACTCCATCTCAAAAAAAAAAAAAAAGAAAAAGAAAAGAGTTCTGAAGATAGATGGTGGTGAAGGCTGCAAAACAATTTGAACAGACCTAATGCCACTGAGCTGTACACTTATGAATGATTAAAATGGTCTATTTTGGCTGGGCACGGTAGATCACTTGAGGTCAGGAGTTCGAGACCAGGCTGGCCAACATGCTGAAATCCCGTCTCTACTAAAAATACAAAAATTAGCTGGGCGTAGTGGCAGGCACCTGTAATCCCAGCTACTCGGGAGGCTGAGGCAGGAGAATCGCTTGAACCTGGGAGGCAGAGGTTGCAGTGAGCCGAGATCATACCATTGCACTCCAGCCTGGGTGACAGAGCCAGACCCTGTCTTAAAAAAAAAAAAATTAATAATAAAATAAAATGGTCAATTTTATAAAATGTTACATAGGCTTTACCATAATTTTAAAAATGCATTCCCCTACTTATGCATCATATAATGTTAACAGTTAGCAAAATTGGGGCCGCCGCAGGAGGAATGATTAGGAACATGATTTTGCTAATTTTCCTGTTCATCTCATTGAAAAGCTCACTCATTAGAGTAACACCTGCTTAATGGGCATCTCCTGCCCAGCCCCTGAGTACCCAGACTCAGGGAACCTGCAGGCAGCTCAGACAACCTCACTGTCCGGAAGTACCCAGCAATTCCTAAGATCTAGGGGGGCCCCACAGCAGCAGGCAGGATGACAACAGGGTGAGCCTGCTCATTCATTCCCCCGCACAGATGGAGAAGCGGGTCAGGGTCTCTTTGCCCACTGGGGGCCTAGTCTCCTATTTCAGAAGGAAACGCCCACTCTGTCCTCACACAGTGCTTACACTTGCTTGGAAAAGTTTTCCGTTTTTTTGGTTTTTCAGGGCAGGAAGCAAACTTGCATAAGGAACCCCGCTTTGGCCTTGCCCCCTCTTTCGTTTGCAAAGAGCTGAAGGTCTGGTTTGGGGGAGCAGGACTGAGCAGCAAAATAGCCCTCCTCTTCCTGACCCCAGCCTTGGGGTTTTCTTTCCTTTCCCAGTCCTGAAACTCCCAGGCCCTGGCTCAGGCAAAGACAGGTGAGGAGCCTCCCAGGCTGGCAGACAGCACTGCGTCACGCGGGGCATGGCTCAGGGCCAGGGCCAAATCGTCACCAGGCTGCGTGGATCCCTCCACCTGGGGGTTGCAGCGGGTGCAGCAGCCCAGGGTCCACTGTCAGCCCCAGCTACTCGCACTGTGGTCCAGTCACAGACGCGCTGAGCTCTACCAGCTCTTCAGCAGCCCACAGACAATCCGCCAACATCTGCCTGCCCGGTTTTTGTGATGATTAAATGTACTGATACTCACTGCCTGGTGCAGCCAACAGCAGTCAGTGGAAGCTTCTGGAGACCCTTTGAGGGTGGCATCAGCAGTTAGAAGTGTGCCTCTCCCAGACCAGGTAGCCCTGATTTGACCCAAAGCCCTAATTTGACCTGAAGCCTTTTCTGACCTTTTTTTTTTTTTTTGAGACAGAGTCTCACTCTGTCACTCAGGCTGGAGTGCAGTGGCGGGATCTCTGCTCACTGCAGCCTCGGCCTCCCAGGTTCAAGTGATTCTTCTGCCTCAGCCTCCTGAGTAGGTAGGACCACAGGCACCCACCACCACGCCCAGCTAATTTTGTACTTTTAGTAGAGACGGGGTTTCACCATGTTGGCCAGGCTGGTCTCAAACTCCTGACCTCAGGTGATCTGCCTGCCTTGGCCTCCCGAAGTGTCTGGGATTACAGGCGTGAGCCACCGTCCCCAGCCGAATTATTTTTATATGAACTTGTTTCTCTTCTCTATTAAATTTCTATTGAGTTTTTTAGTGCTTTTTGTCCACCATTCTTTTGATTACAGATTTTATTGGTATTTTTCTTCTGTTTCTTCTTGGTACTTATTGGGGATTTAAACATTCTAATTCTGTTCTCTTAGTAGTTGTCCTTGAAATTTTCCGATTATTTTTAACTTAAAAGTCTAAAGTTAAGCAATATCTTAACCACCTTTCTCCTTTTTTTTGAGACAGAGTTTCACTCTTCCTGGCCAGGCCGGAGTGCAATGGCATGATCTCAGCTCACTGCAACCTCTGCCTCCTGGGTTCAAGCGATTCTCCTGCCTCAGCTTCCCAAGTAGCTGGGATTACAGGCATGTGCCACCATGCCGGACTAATTATTTAGTAGAGATGGGGTTTCACCGTGTTATTCAGGTTGGTCTCGAACTCCTGACCTCAGGTAACCCACCCACCTCAGCCTCTCACAGTGCTGGGATTACAGGCGTGAGCCACCATGCCCGGCCTAATTTTTATATTTTTTTAGTAGAGACGGAGTTTCACCATGTTGGCCAGGCTGGTCTCAAACCCCTGACCTCAGGTGACTGCCCGCCTCGGCCTCCCAAAGTGCTGGGATTACAGGCGTGAGCCACCGCACCTGGCTGTAAACAACCTGAGATTTTCAATGCTGAGACGGCAGAGCCTTGAACCACGCTCAGGGCCCTTCTGAGTGCAGGCCCCGGACAGCTGTCCAGTCTAGGAGCCCAGCAGGCCGTTCACCTCCATGGCTGTGGGCAGAGGCAGGCAGAGCCACCTGTCACACTCCCATCCTCCTAGGGACCCCAAAGGACAGCAGGCAAGTCCAGGCTGGAACCCAGGCGTCAGAATGCTTCCCGGGCTGAAGTGGCTTCCTCAGCCTCCCGCAGCGTCCCTGTCCTGAGTCCCATCATCACCCACCCAACAAACATCTGCAGGGCACCTGCTTTCCATGTCTCACGAAGCCCTGACATGGGTGGACAGAGCCACTGGCCTGGCTGGCAACGGGGAGGCCTGTGTCTCCGGGACACAGCGCCATCCTGGACTCTCCCTCGCCCCTCCAGGCTGTGCCCCTTCTCCTCCTCTGCCTCCACCATGGCCTTACCCCTCCCTGGTCTCCCAGCCTCCTGCAATCTGTTCCCCTCCCAGAAGCAGCCCGAAGGATCTTCTAAAAACACAAATCCGATGGCATGGCTCCAACCCTGTTAAACCGGCCATGACTCCCCTATGCCCTTAAAACCGACGCAATTGAAGCCTAGAGCCCTGCGTGTGTGCACACGTGCACAGCACAAGCACACACACGTGCATGTACACACACGCCCTCCCTGGGCTCCAGGGCCCCAGCCATTCTCAGCTGCTGCAGTGGGCCATGCTCCTCCCTCTCAGGGCCTTCTACCGGGAGCAGCGTCATCCTCGTCCTCATCCTCATCCTCCTCCTCCTCCACTCCTCTTTCCTCCTCCTCCCCCCCACTTCCTCCTCCTCTCCTCTCTCATAGCTGCTCATCACTCAGCTCTGCAGCCACCACCCCAAAGAAGCCTGCCTGGACCCTCCACATGGGCCAGGTGCCTCCTGCTATTCAACGCCACTGGATCTCATCCCACTGCCCCGTGGCCTGTTCATGAGGGTGATTAAATACTGATGCACTCATCTGCTGCCAGTCTCTACCCTAGACAGACCACGAGGCCGTGAGGGCAGGGCCAGGCCTGCCTCGCCCATCACCACATATCTGGGATGTATCACAGCACCTGGCCCAGCTTCAGGCACCATAATGTCTGTGGCCAGGATCAGTGGCTGTCAGTGCACGCTGGGTCTCCCTCGAAGCCCACAGGGCATCTCTGTGAGGAGTCCAGGGCCCCCAAAGTTGCCCTGAGCTTCTGCTTATCCTGCAGGGCTGCAGCTGCAAAAGCCTCTTGTTGGACAGTCACCTTAGCACGCGGTGACAGCAGGTACCACTCCCTGAGCACACGGGCTGCGCCAGGCACCACACCTCCCTGGGGCCGGGGCTGTGGGGAGCATTTAACAGAGGAGACTTACGGCAGTGAGAGGCCGGGTCCAAGGTCACACAACTGGGAAGTAACTGGGCCAAGGTCCCCAACCTGACCCAGCTCTTACCCCACCAGCCTCTAATGGAACCTAAGCGATCCTCTCACCTCAGCCTCGCAAGCTGTTGAGATGAGCCACCGTGCCTGGCCTGATCACCTTTTAAAAGACTCAACTATGGGAGTCTGAGGCTGGAGGTGAGGGGGCATCGCTTGAACCCAGGAGGTCAAGACCAGCCAGGGCATCAAAGCAAGAGACCCTCGCCTGTACGAAAAACTTAAAAATTAGCCAGGCATGGTGGTGCGTCCCTATACTCCCAGCTACTCGAGAAGCTAAGGTGGGAGGATTGCTTGAGCAATCAGGAGGTCAAGGCTGCAGTGAGCTAGGATTGCACCACAGCACTCCAGCCTGGACAACAGAGTGATACCCTGTCTCTGAAAGAAACAAAATCAACTAAATTTAGAAACAACTTTGAAATAACAGGTTGGATATGCTATATATACAGATATACAGATATATGTTCTAATAGGCAATAAATATGTTGCATTAAAATAAAATTTAGCCTTAACCTTAAATGATTTACTCAAATATTATCCCACCTCCTACAAGTGGCTCACATTGGGCACCTTAAGAAACACCTTTACAGATAAAGACTTGAGGCTCCAGGCCGGGCGCGGTGGCTCACGCCTGTAATCCCAGCACTTTGGGAGGCTGAGGCGGGCAGATCACAAGGTCAGGAGATCGAGACCATCCTGGCTAACACGGTGAAACCCCGTCTCTACTAAAAATATATTTTAAAAAAAATTAGCTGGGCGTGGTGGCAGGCACCTGTAGTCCCAGCTACTTGGGAGGTTGAGGCAGGAGAATGGCATGAACCCGGGAGGCGGAGCTTGCAGTGAGCCGAGATGGCGCCACTGCACTCCAGCCTGGGCGACAGAGTGAGACTCTGTCTCAAAAAAAAAAAAAAAAAAAGACTTGAGGCTCCAGGGCAAGGATCTGCCCATGTCACACAGTCTCCCGCTCAGTCCTGGTTTCAGTCCCTCACACAGGCTGGGCAGGAAGTTAGGAATTATTTTACCTACTCCCCAACAGTATGGATTTTATAATCTGATAAAATTTGCAGAAAGTACTCATTCTGTAAAAGCTTTACAATTTTACAGAAACGAATGCCCAAGAGCCCCCATTCCACACTGGACAGGCATCCTGGGTTCCTGACATCCCCCCCGCACTGCCGCCCCCCTGGGCTGTCCCCACCACCACCGGGTCACCAGGCCCTGCTCTCCTGGCCTCCCCAGTACCTGCTCACCAGCTGAGGGAGGGGCTGGAGGTCTCGCCTCCCACAGGGCCTGCCCACGGGGATTCCCCCACCACAACAAACCCCATTCCTTCTGGGACCCAGACACCTTCTCCCTGCCAACCCCACTCCCCTTAACCCAGGCACAGCTGTGGATCACTGGGATCTCACAAGGGGAGGAAAGACCAACAGCGCCTGTTTAATTTTAGTTATAAAAGAAGTGCTTGGCCAGGCACAGTGGCTCACTCCTGTAATCCCAGCACTTCGGGAGGCCGAGGCGGGCGGATCACAAGGTCAGGAGATCGAGACAGAGACGGGTGAAACCCCGTCTCTACTAAAAATACAAAAAAATTAGCCGGGCATGGTGGCAGGTGCCTGTAGTCCCAGCTACTCGGGAGGCTGAGGCAGGAGAATCACTTGAACCCGGGAGGCGGAGCTTGCAGTGAGCCGAGATGGCGCCCCTGCACTCCAGCCTGGGCGACAGAGCGAGACTCCGTCTCAAAAAAAAAAAAAGAAGTGCTCTTAGGCCGAGCGCGGTGGCTCATGCCTGTAATCCCAGCACTTTGGGAGCCAGAGGAAGGTGGATTGCTTGAGGTCAGTTCAAAACCAGCCTGACTAACATGGTGAAACCCCGAGAGGCAGAGGTTGCAATGAGCCGAGATAGCACCACTGCACTCCAGCCTGGGCGACAAGAACAAAACTTCGTCTCAAAAAAAAAAAAAAAAAAAAGAAGTGTATCAAGTGAAAACTGAAACCTACCTCCCCATGCGCCCCTCCCCATGTGCCCCATGTACTCTGGTAAACATCCTTTGAGACCTTGCTCTCTGCATACACACACAGGATATGTTCCCAACTTCAGTATTTTCTTTTTAACAAAAATGGGTTACTACCCTACATATTGTTTGATAACTTTAAACAAAAATGTAACAACAATGTATCATTTCCCCACTTGTCTTCATCGCCTATGGCCCTGCCTCAGAGTCTGCACTGCAGGCAGAGCATAATTTCACTCCCTCTTGAGGGGACACTTGAGTTGTTCCTGGCTTTTTGCTATTAGGAGCCGTGCTGGAGTTAACATCCTCACGTGTGCATTTTTTTTTTTTTGAGACAGTCTAGCTCTGTTGCCTAGGCTGGAGTGCAGTGGCGTGATCTCGGCTCACGGTAACCTCCACCTCCCAGGTTCAAGCAATTCTTGCACCTCAGCCTTCTGAGTAGCTGGGATTAAAGGCACGCACCACCACACCCAGCTAATTTTTGTATTTTTAGTAGAGACAGGGTTTCGCCATGTTGGCCAGGCTGGTCTCGAACTCCTGACCTCAGATGATCCACCTGCCTCAGCCTCCCAAAATGCTGGGATTATAGGCGTGAGCCACCGGGCCCAGCCCATGTGCATCTTTATGTGCTGCTTCTCCCCTTCGCGTGATCATTAACTCACTTGTTCAGTAGATTATTTTTTTGCCTCCAATATGCAGGCCCTGAGCTAGGGGCACAAAGTTTCTACAAGAGGCTCTAAAAGTACAGGCCGGGCACAGTGGCTCACACCTGTAATCCCAGGACTTTGGGAGGCCGAGGCAGGCAGATCACTTGAGGTCAGGAATTTGAGACCAGCCTGGTCAGCATGGTGAAACCCCATCCCTACTAAAATAAAAAAAAAAAAAAAAAAAAAAGCCAGGTGTGGTGGCAGGCACCTGTAATCCCAGCTACTTGGGAGGCAGAGACAGGAGAATCGCTTGAACCCGGGAGGCGGATGTTGCAGTGAGCCAAGATCATGCCACTGCACTCCAGCCTGGGTGACAAGAGTGAAACTGCATCTCAAAAACAAGTACAACCACCGAGCTGAAGGGCTTGCACATGTGGACGGTAACAGGCACAGCTGAGCTCACCTCTCAGCATCCTCACCTGCCTCAACTGTCCTCCCACAAACAACAGGTGAAGACGCTTCCTTCCCCCAAACACTGGGCACGACTGATCTTTTTCAATGCACCCAACTCCAATCAGCAAAACAAAGGATATCAGTATGTAACTTGTCATTTCCCTGATTACTACGGCTGTTGAGTGACGCCTCACTTGGTCTCCAATGTTTGTTTCCAGTGCTTGGAAGGTGGATGAGGGCTGCAGCAATCCCTTGGCCAGGGCTGGTCCTGGGGGAGCTCTCTTTAGGCTGGGTCATCCCCCCTACTTCCTCCCACCCCAAAGCCTTGAAACAAGGACTTCCCTCTCCCACCCACCCCGCCCTTGCCTCCGCCAGGGCCCAGCAGATGGGGGAGGCCGCCTTCCGGTTACAGAGAGGAAGCCTCCTCCTCAATTGTTCTTTGCACAACTGACGCTCAGACCCCGGCTTCAGGAAGAGGCCACGTGGTCAACAGGGACATTCCTCCATGGCCTGTCCCCAGATCTGCTGGCGCTGAGCAACACTGCTCTGGCAACCAGCTTCAGGTCTTAGAAGCTGTGACCACATCATAAAATGAGGCCTTCCTGAGCTCCTGGGGAGGACGCTGGGAGACGGCAGGTGGGAAGGCGCCCGAGGCAGCCATTCTCAGCGTCATCCCAGCAGGACAGGGTGGCACCCAGCGGTCCCTCCACCCCTGCCCTGTCCTTTCCCACCAGTCTTTTTTTTTTTTTTTTTTTTTTGAGATGTGGTCTCACTCTGTTGCCCCAGCTGGAGTGCAGTGGTGCAATCACAGCTCACTTGCAGCCTTGACCTCCCCAGACTCAGGTGATCCTCCCACCTCAGCCTCCCAAGTAACTGGGACTACAGGCACATGCCACCATGCCTGGCTAATTTTTTTGTATTTTTTGTAGGGACAAGGTTTCACTGTGTAGTCCAGGCTGACCACTGGCCGTTCATAACACAGTGACAGCACTCATGCTATAGACAGGTATCTGAAACCCAGGAGAAGGGATAATGTAACAACAGCAACGAGGCAGCCACCTTTCCGGTGACTCCGACAGGCATCGCATAATGCATAAGACATTATTAGTATTACGATTCATAGCTATGGTATTGACGGCTACCATATATTGAGTGCCTGGTATTCGTGAGGTGCTGGGCTAAGGTCTTATCATCACAAGCCTATGAGAGAAGACTCATATTCCCATGTCATAGATGGGAACAGTGAGGCTTGGAAAGGTTAAGAGGCTGGCCCAAGGGTTGGGAGCTGGAGTTCACACCCTGCCATACATGGGCATGGGGTAGTGTCCCCATCCACCCAAAGAAACCCTTTCTATCTGAGCTGCTCCCCCTCCTCCCCGCCCAGTCTGCCCTTTGGCAGAATCCTGAGCCATAAACTGCCCCTGACCTTGGCCTTGGCCATGGGCGTGGCTGTGGGCCAGGTTCCCAGGGGGCTCCAGAGAAGGGCAAACCAGGGACAACGTGGAACTTCTCCCACACAGGCGAGAAATTGTGACTTGTCACTTAGAAGACTCTGTGCCAGCTGACAGGTGGCAGTTGAGGAATTGCGGGGGCCGGGCTGTGGAGGCAGGTGTCTCCAACAATTTGGATGGGGGGGGTTGGCTTTTAAAGCAATGTGGGTTGGACCCAAAGCCATATAGAATCCTCTCATGCTGGCACAGAGAAACTCACTCTTTTCCAGCTCTGTCTGCAAAAGTCAGGGTATTATTGAGATGGTGGTTTTTTTTTTTAATTGTTCCATTTCAAATATTTCAAACCCAGAATGTCATTCTAAAAAGTTATCCTCTTGGCTTAGGGATTAATTTTAAGCAGGGATAACGTTTGGGGGTATTATGGATTTTGGTTAAGTATTTGGAATTAACATTTTGGATACAAGCCCATTTGTAAAGAATGAAAGCCCTAACCTAGCTCTCGCTACCTAGCTGTCCCTTCCCCGGGCCACTAAAGCACAGGGCCTGGGTTTCATTTTAAGGATGTGAATTGTCTGGGTCAAGTCCAGTGGTTCTCCACTAGGTGTGATTTCATAGCCCCTCCTGGGGACATCAGGCCCTCCCTGGGGACATTATTGACTGTCACAGCTTGCGGGGATGTGCTCCTGGCATGGAGTGGGTAGAGGCCAGGGATGCTGCCCAGCCCCCTACCATGCACAGGACACCCCCCACCAGCACAGACAGAATTACCTGACCCTGGGCCAGGCAGAGCAGAGGAACAATTCTGGGCTGGTTGGGGTTTCTGGTCACCCCAACCACTGTTCCCTTTCCTTTTCATGCCACAAGGCTTAAAAACTTGGAAAATGGAAGTCATCACAGGAGGCCTGGGGCAGGGGAGACAGGAAGGGGGTTTTAAATCCCACCCAAGGCTCACACCTGTAATCCCAGCCCTTTGGGAGGCCAAGGCAGGCAGATCACCTGAGGTCAGGAGTTCGAGACCATCCTGGCCAACGCGGTGAAACCCCGTCTCTACTAAAAATATAAAAATTAGCTGGGCATGGTGGCGCATGCCTGTAATCCCAGCTACTCTGGAGGCTGGAGCCGGAGAATCACTTGAACCCGGGAGGCAGAGGTTGTAGTGAGCCAAGATTGGCACCATTGCACTCCAGCCTGGGCGACAAGAATAAGACTCTGTCTCAAAAATAAATAAATAAAAATAAATAAAAATTAAAAAAAAGATAACTAAATCCCACCTAAATGCTTCTATTTCCATTCAGCAAGGAGCTAAAGCAAGGCCGCATCCTGGCCTTCTCCATGAGCCCTTCAAGGGTGCAGGTTGAATCCGGGACTCTGTTCTTTGGTAACTCGGCCCCTTAGGATGATTCTGTTGATTACTACCAAGTACTCGGCAGCCTCCTCCTCTACGTCTCAGCCACAGGACGGTCACCCATACTGGCCTCTCGCTGAATCCTCACAGCAGCCTACGGGAAGTTCTCCCCCTCATGGACGGACACCAAACGGAACCCCGGGGGCTGCCTGGCCAAGGCCTAGGAGCCAAGACACGTGGACCCTTCTGCCCGACTGCTCCAAGCCGCCCCTCCCAGGAAGCTTCTGACTCCATCCTGTCCCTGGGGCTGGTCCCCGTGTATCCCAACCGGGATTGCACAGCCAGTGCACCCAGGGAGAATGAGCTGGGTGGGACACAGAGGCTCCCTGCAGCAAAAGAGGAGTCCCGAGAGCGAGAGGGAGCAAAGAGAAACATCAGGGGCAGAGAGAGAACAAGGAAAATGGCCTGGAGCCACTTTAAAACGCAAGTTCTTCATGCCTTACACTGCTTTAAAAAGTTTTAAACTCAGGAAGTGGGCCCTACGTGACAGAGAAAGACTCGGCCTGGGGAGAAAATTCACTACACGGTGTGGCTGACATCTGTCCTAATTCTGTAGTTTTAGCCACTCACATCTGATAGAATAACAGTAACAATCACAACACCGCTAAGGATGATCCCCATCCCATTACTGCCTGCGGTAAGTATTCACCACCAGCTTGGCGCAGGGCTGACTGCATGGCGAATTTGGTTAGCTTGAGTGATTCTCACAATAAGCCATGGGGAAGGGGTTCTTGCCAGCCCCAGTTTGCAGATGTGTAAACTGAGGGTCAGAGCAGTAAAGGGACTTGCCTAGGGCCACATCCTGGAGAGTGGCAGAACCTGGCCTCCCGCCCAGATCTGCCTAAGAAGGCATGAGGCTCTTCCAACCAGGAAGCCAGGACTGCGACAGGGAGGGCAGGGTTGTCTCAGGTCCCAGTCTCAGGCCTAGCTCCAGCCACATCACCCACACCTACTCAGGGTCACCAGATGGAGAACAAGTCTTAGACAAGACATCGGAAGCCCATGTGCACAGATGGGGAAGCTGAGGCTTGGAGTCTGTACCTTGGGTCAGGCCTGTGGCCTCCCCACCACACGTTGCACCAACCACATTAGCATCCAGTCCCGTGAGTGCTCATGTCTTTCCAAGTTCAGAAGAACCCACTGGCTTCCTTACCCCTTCCAGGGAAGAAACTAGGCTTAGCCCAAAACCCCGAGGAAAACTTTTGTTTCTACAACTGTCCCGATGCCTTCAAAGCCCGAGGAGGTTTCTGGGCTTAAGCGTTCTTAGAAAAGGTCCTCACTGCATAACTAAGAATCATGTTTCCCTGCTTAGAACAGAAAGGCAGCACCCCCTCCCCCGAACTGGATTACTAGCTGCTCTTGAGACACAAAGGGGTTGGCACAGAAATCAGGCTGGTGGAGAGGGCCGGTGAGAGCCTCTAGATGTGCCCCCCATGTACCTCTTTGGGACAGTCACTGTCACACGCTGGACTTAAGGGTTACTGTGATCCTCATGTTTCCTTTAGAACTTTGGAGTCATTAAGTAGAGAAGCCACCAGACTTGGTGTCCCGCCATCCTCCACCCCTCTCATTTACAGGTGGCCCATGAGATTCTTAAATCTGTGATAAGTTCCAGCTCCTGGGGAAATTCTCCTCTTTTCCCCACTTGCAAAACGGGGACGTGAAGCTGCACAGGGTAGACACTGAGAGAGGCTCTGGGAGTGTCAGCGGCCAGTCACGGGGCCACAGGGTAGACACTGAGAGAGGTTCTGGGAGTGTCAGCGGCCAGTCACGGGGCCGCATGGGTGGGCTGCCCGCCGGGGCCTGCCTAGCTCTCTCCAAAGGGTCCTTACGCTCAGAAACAGCTATTTTCACCATCCCTGTCTTAGGGTGAACCTTCAGATTAAGTCACTCTCCCAACTCTGCCTAAATGCAGCTCTTTTCACCCTGGGGACGGCCTTCTCTGGGGTCAGGAAGCAGGCCAGGAAAGGAGCCCCAGGGTCCCAGGGTCCTCACCGGGACCCCCAATACCCTAGGCACACTCTGGAGACCGGGCTTTGGGGCTGCAGAGGAGAGGCTCCTCTTTGCTGTTCCTGTTAGGGCCTCGCCAGAGGGACACTGGACTTGTCTGCATAAAGCGGTCTTCTGCCTTGGAGACAGAAAGCGATACACTGTGAAGAAATCGGGCTTCTAAAACTAACTGTGCTCTCAAACACAGTGCCGTTTGGAACGGGGAAGCACTCCCCCAGCTCCTGGCATACACTGGTAAAAGCCAGAAAGATAATTGAGGCCCAATCGCAAAGCCCTGAACACACCGGTCTGGGAGTTGCAGAGTGCCTGAATGTCTGCCATGGGCCCGCACAGGGCCAGAGGCCTGGAGGGCAGCCCTGCAGCCTCTCTGGTGACCCCTGATGGCACAGACACTCCTCAGGCGGACGGCACACTTGCTCTGCCAGGAAACACTGGGAGTAATGTCTCTCTGCTTTCTCGGCATCTTGCAGGGAAGGACACAGGAACCCGGGGGGAACAGTGGCAGGGTAGATTGCAGGACCGTGACTCCAATCTGGATCCACAGGCAAACTTTTCAGGGAGCCACCGGGCCAATGAGGCCACCTGCATACCTGCCTAAAGCTTCCCTCTGGCCTCCGTCCTGTCTTCATGGTATCTCCACCTTCCCCCTATCCGCGGCCCCCCACCAGGCCTCCAAGCTCGGCCATCCCTAGCAGTTCCCAGAGCTGGCTCTCGGCCGTACTCACATGCCCTGCTCGCCGTACTGGTTGTAGAACTCCATGTGGCTGCACGCCTGGATCCAGCCAACTACCCAAGTCTCCTTCTTGGGGATGGGCGGCATGACCACCTGGGCCGAGGCCCGGAAGTGGGGTGTCCGGTAGCGGAGCACCACGCTGGAGGACTCATCGATGCTAGTGGGGACGGGGTCGATGGAGGCTTTCACATCAATCACCGTGATCCCTTCCCGGAAGACTCTGGCTTTGCCTCCGATGCTCTGAATACAGCCCATGGCATACAGGAGCGCTCTGATCTCCAGGGAAGGCCAGCAGTCACAGAAAAAACCAGGCATTGAAAGGACAGAGGCTGCAGGACCCAGTACAGACGGCGCTGCTCTCCAATCTCAACTCTCAAGACCGATATCCATAGGATAGAAAACTCACTGAGTAGACTGGGGTTGCATATATCACTACCGCGGCCTGTTTATAAATAAGGATTCTGCTGCATTTCATGAGCCCTGGGCTCTCTCTTCTTCTCCTCGCAGTGGACAAAAATCACCGATATTCTTTGGGTTAAAAAAAGTTTGTAGTTTAATGAATAATTATGCGGTTCTGACATCCAGCCCTTCTGTGCCTCACACGCGGGGACGGCAGCTCGCAGACTCTCCCTGAAGTCTTCGGAGGAAGCAGGCGAGCGCCGGCAGACTCATAAATAAGGAAGGCTCTGTCCCCGCGCGGCCGCGCCACCCTCGCGGCAGAAGCCTGACTTCCTGCCCTCCGGCCTTCCGCACGCGCTCCCTCCGGGCCCCGCACCCGCACCCGCCCGGCGCGGTCGAATCAATTGCAGAGCAGTTTGTGTTCACCCGGCCGAGGTCCCGGCGCCCTCGGGGCGAGCGCCGACCCGCGGCTTCCAGGAGGCGAGCTCAGGGCTCCGGCCGCTCGCCGGTGACGGGGGAGCGCGGCGCGGGTCCCCGTCGGCGCCCACTCGCGGGCGCGGGCCGGACGTCCCCACGCAGGGGCGCCGCGTCCCTTCGCCGCTGTCGCTGCCGGCCGCCGTGCAGGGTCCCGGGGCTGCGCTCCGGCCGCCGCCGCCTGCTTCGCCGCGGCCGCCGAGGACCTGGTGGGAGGTGGAAGGGACAGCGCGTCAAGGCCAGCCTCAAAGTTAAGCCGAACTTTGCTGCGGGGGGCGCGCGGGGGCGGCGACGCGTGTGCGCTGGGCGCGGGCTGCGGAGCTGACGGCGCAGCTCTGGGCGGTCTCCCCGGAGGCGGTGGCCCCCGCCCCCCGCGCCCGCCCCGTCAGTGGCGGCCGCACGACCGCGCGCACCAGCGAATAATAGCCGCCCGTGACATCTCCGCTGATACCGTCCCGGACGGGCGGGGTGGGGGGCGAGCGGCTGCCGCTGCAGGGGGCGGCGAGCACTTGCCCTGCTCTGTCCCCACCGCCGCGCCGCCAGCGCCAGGTGCCCCTTCCCCACCCCGGTCCCTCCGGCTCCCTGGGCGCAGGGCCACCCACCAGTGCCGTCGGATCCGGCGGGCACCCCTTTCCCGGCTGGGGTCCCTCGGCCCTCGGAGGGCATAGTGCCCCCGCTCCGCCGCGTCAAGCGCCTCTGTCGCCCCTCTCCAGCCGCGAGCAGCCCCGGGTCCCCACGCGTCGGGCGCGCTCGCCGCTGCCGGGGAACTTTGGCGCGCACGCCCCCACTCGGGCGGCGCCGCCGACTCACCTGCCCCGGGGGCCACTCCGCTGGCCCGGGCAGCCGCTCTCCGGACGCCCCTGACCCGGCCGCGGGCACGTTCTTGGGGCGCCCCCACCCCCTTCCCCGGGCACTGTCCCTTGGCTCTACTGGAGTCTGGGGCCGGCGTGGGCGCCCCCGGCCCCCACCCTCCTCCCGGCTTGGGGCTTCGGGGGGGCGGCCGGGGGCGGAGGGCTGAGGCTCGGGGCTCTCTCGCCCCCACCCCGCGCGCCTCCTTTATTTTATGATCATTGTGAGCGCGCTGTCGCCGCTCAGCCCCGCCGCCGCGCCGCTGCCGCCTGGCGCGCCCCGCGCTGCCTCGCTCTGCTGCAGCATCGGAAAGGCAACCGGGTCAAACTTTGCAGAAACTCGGCCCCTGCGCCGGCCCGGCCCCCGCGTCCGCTCGCCGCCGCCGCCGGCCGAGCGCAGCCGGCGCACGCAGGGACCGCCGCCCGCTCGCCGGCCCCGCGGGGATGCAGGTCCGCAGGCGGCGGCGGCGGCGGCGGGCGGGCGCCGCCTCCTCCTCCCCGCCCGCCTGGCTCTCCACCCTCGCTCCCCGCACACAGCCCGCCCTCCCCCTGGTAATCCCTCGCTCCCCCTCGCTCCCTGTCTCTGCAGCTGCTCGGGGAGCTGAGCCTCTCCTTGAACAAACGACATTTCCTTTTTGGCCAGCCCCGGGAATTCTGGGTAGTGTAGTTCCGCTGCTGTCTCGGGGCCAGGTGGGCTGCTCCCAGTGCCCTTTGAACTCTATGGACCAGAGGCTTTCTGGGGTTCGGAGCACCCGCAGAAGGGCTCCCTTGCCCTGGGGTTCCTGACCGCAGGGAGACAGTGGCTTGGTGGAGACAGCGCGGGGGCTTTGTAGGCTCCAAGGCTGGGAAGGTCGCGGGGAGGGGAGAGCAGTTTGGGGAGAGGTGGGTCCCCTCGAGCAGGTCTGCTGGCTGCCTGTTGGACCCCGGCTGTGTGATGAGCGCTGTACAGAGCATCATTTCAGCCACCATCGGCCTCCCTGTGGAGGGAGACTGATGATGTGCACTTCACAGAGCAGGCACCCAGAGCTGAGAGGCTAGGGGATTTGCCCAAGGTCCTTCCCCCCGTCCCCCCGCAGGGGTCCCAGTGCAGGGGCTCAAAAGGAGCATGAGGCTGTACAGCCATGGGAGAGCTATGAACCCCACCCCTACCTTCCAGCCAGCCGTAGGGAAAGCCCAAGCAATTTGTGACATAAGTACATCTGGCAGCTACATTAAAGCCACGCTCTTCGTCCCCACCCCATCCCCATGACTCTGACTTCCACAGGTGCCCACAGCCGGCACAGGGCAGGTGCTTCCAGCCAGTCCCAGAGCCGGAGCACGCTGAGTGTGTGAGGGCAGGGCTGGAGGGACCGAGGGGCTGGCCACTCTTGGATCTCTCCTTTGAGGGGTTAACAACCAGGACATCTCACAGCAGCACCGGCTCAGCCATGGAGCAGGAAGTGGCTGGCTAGGGTGGCCTCCGCCTCTCACCCAGCCACACCCTCACCCCAGCACTGCTATGGCCCGTATCCCCAGCTAATGAGGAGGTGGTCCCTTTCCAGTTCAGCTAGTAGGTGGCTTATTCCTAGTCCCACTGACTCGGGCCAAGGCAGGGCCACAGAGATGGCCCCCTTGGCCTGTTGGACACAGTAGAACCCCAGACAGCACACAGATTACATCAGGGCTCTACATAAATGTCCATTTCCAGGAAGAAGTCTTCTCTGGCCTCTTCACCATGTGAAATGGCCTCTCCCTTCCATGAACTAATGGCCCCCACAAAACCTTCTGTCCCTCTGACAGTCACAGGGCCTTCTGCACCTCTTGTGCCATCAGATAATTACTGCACTACCCAGTTTATATGTAGGGACGATATTCACTTTTGAGATGTCTGTTTCATTTCCCGACTCTCATCACCCCGACAGCCTGGCCAGGGTGCTCTGTGAGGGTAGGAATGCTATCCTGGAAATGAGGTGACAAGTTCAAGTGCTCAATGAACAGGGCCAGAGCTGCACGTCCCTCTCGTGGAAAGGACAGGGACCAGAGCCCTGAACCGCCTTGTGAGCAGTGAAGCTGCTGGAGGTGATTTCCCGGGGGTGGGCTCTCTTCAAGGCCAGCTGGGAGTGACAGTGCCCCGCCCCCTCCGTCCTGGGCTCCGCCTGGGTTTGTAAAGCACCCACTGTGTGTCAGGCGTTACATTGAGCAGGCACTGTCTCTTCTATCCTTGACCTTAGCCCTAGGCAGTGGGCTCCACAGATAGAGAAACCCAAAAACCCAGGGATCAGGGGATAGAGACTTCTCAGAGGCTGGATGCCAGCTCCGATCTGACCAGCTCCAAAGCCCACATTCAGCTTCTTCACCAAGCACACCCCACTTGCTAGCCAGGGCCAGCCCCTCAGAACTAGGATGGGACTGATCACTAGGAAGTCCTACCAGCAGAGGTGTGTGGGCGCCCACATGGTGAGGACTTGCAAAGTAGAAGACCCCTCTCCCTTAACCTGCTCCCCCTTGACATCACCCCTGCACAGGATGTCATCTCAGTCTGCAGGAGAAGGGACCAGGAAGCATCAGTCCATGGGCCTGTTTGCCGGCTTTGAGCTGGGGGGCAGCTCTGCCAGGCAGAGGGTGTGAATGGGCTCGGCTCCTGCATGCACTCCCTGCCCTGGCTTCTGAAGCGCCCACCAGGGTTCTGGTGGCTTCCCCAGCTCGCGGCCCCTCCGGCCCTGCCGCTTCCCTACACAGCCCTTCCTCCTGCTCGTCATTTTCCGGAGCTCCGTGGGTGTTGGGCACAGACCCACGGCAGCCTCAGCATATGTGGAAGGCTCATGACGCATCCACGCGCGTGTGAAGTGCCGGTGTCTGCAGAGCAGAGGAAGGGGACATCTGTTTGAGTCATTGCCCAACAGCACAGGGCACTCCCATTGCTCTCAGGACCCTTTCCCCTCCCCCAGGCCTCAGGCTCCCTGGACTCTGAAAAATGAGAAAGAGGAGGGGTGGGGAGACACGGCCCCATCCCCCACCCGGGATGGTGAACACTGGGATGGCCACTTGGGAGCTCAAAGTGTTGTCAGTGGGAGGACAAGGTCCTCAATTCCTGGCACATTGGCCCAGAGAAGTCATGAAAACCCAAAGCCACACAGCAAGTCAGAAGTAGAAACAACACTGACCCTGCCAAGCTGCAGGGACCTGGGAAGTCTTTGGAAAAGAGACTGCTGCAGTGTCTCCTTGCAGGCATCACCGTGAGCTGGGGCTTTGCACACAGCATCTTCATGGCTTTCCACAATGATCCCAGAACTGATCCAGAGAAACCCAGGGATCAGGGGTTGACCCGACCCTGTCATCATCCCATTCTACAGATGAGGACACTGAGGCCTGGTGAAGAGGGAGGGGTGGATGGAACCAGGGGGCCTGGCTCTAAGACCCAGAGGCTGGATGACTGGGATATAGTGGGCGCTCTCACCAGCATTCCTTGCAGTATAGGGACCTTGTTTTCAGTGGCCACCAGAGACAGTCCCAAGGCTCTTTCTCTCTCATGGACCACTCTGCATTCAGAGTTTCAGCGGGTCCTCCAAGGGCTTGCCACCTTCAAGGCTGGGGTCATCAGAGGCCAAAAAGGAATCTCAAGAGAGGGAAAAGTTTTTGTTCTGCAGATGGAAATGTTCGGTGCTGGAATTCTGTTGCCCTGGGAGACAGCGTTCTCTCCCCAACTGTTGGGGACCAGACCGAAAGCCAATGACGAAGCTTGGAATGTCCACCAGGGAGGTGGGTGGGGCCAAAGAGCCAAACAGGTGTCTGAAGGTGGGAGACATTGAGAGGCTAGGTGGCAGATGGAGGCGTAGGGCATGTCTGCATCCCTGACCTGCCTAACTGGGACAGGGGGCAGGCTGAGCCTGGCCAGGGGAGTAGGGACAAGATCTCAGAGAGAGCTGGTCCAGCAGCCTCCCCTACAGGTGGGGAACAGAGGCCCAGTGAAGTCCTCCAGGGAGGCTTCCTTCACTAGAACCCGGGTCTTCTGGCCCTGCACTCAGTGAGAGCGTCACTCTCCACTGAGGGCCATGGTGCCGCATGGGTATGGCAGGGCATGGGACAAGGGATTGAAACCGCTGCCTGTGCTGGCTGCAAATCTGGAGGCTGGGGCCTTTTCAGCCGAAGCTCAGAACCACATGGCTTATAGGGCAAGTTAGGCTTGGGGCACCTGCCCACTGTTCCAGCTCATTCCTTCCCCAGTGTGGACCGGACACGTCCGCCGGGCCAGGCACTGAGAAGATATAGCGGAGGAGTCACAGCCAGGCCCAGACAACAGCACTCACATCCCCTTCCCTGAGATGTCGGGGATAATGCCAGGAGCCATGAATGAGGGTATTGATTATCATCAATAATAAATAGGTACAGACTGATGCTCAAAATGGTTATGAGTAAGCATCGATGGCTATAAATCAGGAGGTATGTCGGTCAGTTGTTTCGATGTGTGTGTCTGCTGCTGAGCTGGAGGAAGGGTGCGTGCACCAGGGCTGTGGGTTGTGAGGCTGTGGGGTGTGTGTGCAGTGGGATAGGGCGTGTGGGGGCATGTGCATCTCTGCGTGATGATGTGAGTGTGCATCTCTGCGTGTGAGGCTATATTTGACAGTTGTTGGTGACTGTGGGTGTGTATGAGTGTGTCCATCTTGTAAGTGTATGTGCCTGCATGCCATGTGGGTGTGTGTCCATGTGTGTATGGGGTGTGTAATGGTGTGAATGAGCATATGTGGTATGGGTGTTGATGGGCACGTGCGTGCAAGTTGTGTATAACCGTGTGTGTATTGTGTGAGGGGATGAAAGTGGGGGTGTAAGGATGTGTTTAAGTGTGTGTTCTGGTTGTGTGTTTGGGTCCATGTGTGTCTGTGGATGAGGCCATGTGTCTGTGTGTCTGTGTGGGTGTGGGTGTGAACTGGATTGTGTGGTGAGCACATCTGTGGGTGTGCATGAGTGTGAGTGTGCAAGTGTGTCTGCACATGCGGGTGTGTTGGGTGTGAGTGTGGGGCTGAGTCCGAGTCACTGAGGCTGAATCGAGATCAGGAAGGGGCGAGTAGGGACTGTCCCTCGCTGCCCACCGAGGGTCCCAGGTAGGGCTCCTGGCCTCGCACTCCGCCCCCCGAACCCCCGCAACACCCTCCACTCCCCCTCTGGCCGGGCTTCCCCATCCTCCTGGAGGTTTCTAGGAGCCTCCAGCCACCGCCCTGAGCGCCTAAGGTCTTCCCCGCCCGGGGCGCGCGTCAGAACGCACAGTCTCCCAGCCCAGGTCCGGAGGCTCAGGCAGCCCAACGCCGGCACCGCGGAGCTGCAGCGCGCTCAGCACCGCCCCGCCCACCCCGACGCCGCCCCTCTGCACCCGCTCACCACCAGTCCCACCCAGCAGCCTCCGTCCGAGAGGTCAGAAGCCCACGAGCAGGAGATGCCAGTGGGGGGACGCGGGCAACCCCGGCCGGGCCAGGGGCGCGCCGCCCACCAACACGCCCCGCGGTCCCCCGCCCCCCGCCGCCGGGGAAGGACGGAGGGGGCGGCCTGGGATCGGGTGCGGGACTGGGAGTTCTCCAAGGTGCTAAAATAAACCCAGCGAAGGATCAGGTTTCCCGACCAAAATAACCCAGGAGCGGCCTTAGAAATGCGAACTGAGAAAGCGATCCGGGCGGGAGGCGGGGGTGAAAAATGCTTTCCGCGGGGCTCCCTCGCCCTCCTGGCAGGGGAGCCCGCGGCGGACCCTCCCTCCTCTCCCCTGCAGCTGCCAGGCCGTTGGCCCCACCCAGAGTGGAGCTTCTCACCCACTCCCTCCCCTTCCTTTCTGCCGTCAGTCCCCCAATAGTGTCACAATAGTCCCCTAACAGTGTCCCACTGGCCATCTTTGATGACCAGGTGTGTAGCAGGTTCGAGCCCGGCTTGGAAGTTGTTTCTACTATGAGCCAGGCACTGCCTGAGCACCTGGGTCCCACCAGTGAACAAATAGACGACAGTCCCCGCCCCGGGGGACTAGCCTTTTCCTAGCAGGACACAGAACCCCAAACACTCACAGAATAAAGAGGTGAGGCTATGCTGCGTCCGAAAGGGATATGGGCTTAAAAAAAAAAAAAGAAGGCTGGGCGTGGTGGCTCACACCTGTGATCCCAGCACTTTGGGAGGCCAAAGCGAGCAGATTGCCTGGGCTCAGGAGTTTGAGACCAGCCTGGGCAACATGACGAAACCCCATCTCTACTAAAAATACAAAAAATTAGCCAGGCGTGGTGGTGCACACCTGTAGTCTCAGCTACTCGGGAGGCTGAGGCAGGAGAATCGCTTGAACCTGGGAGGCGGAGGTTACAGTGAGCTGAGATCACGCCACTTAATTCCAGCCTGGGTGAAAGAGCGAGACCCTGTCTCAAAAAAACAAACAAGAAAACAGCAGAGAGCAGAAGAGGGAAGAGGGCAAGGGGTGGGGGGTGAGATTTGACTTGGGGCTCCCTGCTGGTTCATGCAGTGGCCTGGCTAGATCCCTCAACTCTGAGCTTGTTTTCCCCTTTGTGTGCAGGGCGTGAAAAGCCCTGTCTGTGAAGTGTCTGTGCTGGTTACACTGGGTGATGTAGGGCGTAAACTCTACTCCAAGCCTGGCACAGGCATAGCAAGGGTTAGGTATAAGCCAGGGGTAAATATGCATGTTTGTATTTATGGTAACTATCTTAAACTCTTAAAGACAGAAAACAAGTGTCTGCAATGTCCAAACTGCTCTAGGTACCAAAAGCTGCCAGAAAACTCCTGCTGTCAAGTGAGAGAGAAGTAGTATTGTCAGATGGTTAGGGATTTAGGCTGAGCTTTGGGTCTGAATCCTTGTACCAGCTGTGGGCCCTGGCAAATCAATTCACTCCCAGCCCACCTCTCAGCAATCGATATTTGGAACAAGGCCCAGGTGGAGCAAGGCTCCTGGGACGTCTACTGGTCTAAGGGGACAGGGCCACCAAGGTCATCTTTGCTCTTCTCATTGGTCCGTCCATGGGGCCTGGCACATTGTGGCTTCAAGAAGTGTTGGTGAAGGCTGGGTGCGGTGGCCAATGCCTGTAATCCCAGCACTTTGGGAGGCCAAGGTGGGCAGATTGCTTGAGCTCATGAATGCAAGACCAGCCTGAACAACATGGTGAAACTCCATTTCTACAAAAAGCAGAAAAATTAACCGGGCGTGGTGGCATGCGTCTATAGTCCCAGCTACTTGGGAGGCTGAGGTGGGAGGATCACTTAAGCCTGGGAGTTGGAGGTTGCAGTGAGCCAAGATCATGCCACTGCACTCCAGCCTGGGCAACAGTGCGAGACCCTGTCTCAAAAAGAAAAAAAAGTGTTGGTGAGTGAATGAATGAAACTGAATGAGTAAGTGAATGAGTGACAGACGAGGCCAAGCAGGCAGGGAACAGAGAAGCTGTGGGACACGTGGCCAGGAGGACAGCTCACAGGCTCAGAGTCAGAGGGACTGGCCTGCCTAAGTCCCAGCTCTGGCCCTGGCTAGCTGTGTGGCCTCACAAGTGATGTCACCACTCTGGGCCTGCACTTGTTCCTCTAACATGGGAAGAGGGTGGTTGGACTTGGCTTGTCAACCGCGAGTGTCTGTGGCCCCATCCTGCCTCCCATGTCTGGACGCTACAGTAGGTAGTTTGGGCTAGCCCACCAGATCCCATGGGGATCCCTCCCAGCATGGTCCCAGCCACCCCACCTTGACTACTTGTTTCTTTTTTCTTTTTCTTTTTTTTTTTTAATTGAGACGGAGTTTCGCTCTTGTCATCCAGGCGCTGGAGTACAATGACGCGATCTTGGCTCACTGCAACCTTTGCCTCCCGGGTTCAAGCGATTCTCCTGCCTCAGCCTCCTGAGTAGCTGAGATTACAGGTGCACGCCACCAAGCCCTGCTGATTTTTGAATTTTTAGTAGAGACGGGGTTTCACCACATTGGCCAGGCTGGTCTCAAAGTCCTGATCCACCTGCCTCGGCCTCCCAAAGTGCTGAGATTACAGGCGTGAACCACTGGCCCGGCCTTTTCTTTTTTTGAGACGGAGTTTCGCTCTTGTCGCCCAGGCTAGAATGCACTGGTGCCATCTTGGCTCACTGCAACCTCTGCCTCCTGAGTTCAAGCAATTCTCATGCCTCAGCCTCCCAAGTAGCTGGGATTACAGGCGTTAGCCACCACACCCAGCTAATTTTGTATTTTTAGTAGAGACCAGGATTCACCATGTTGGTCAGGCTGGTCCTGAACTCCTGACCTCAGATGATCCACCCGCCTCGGCCTCCCAAAGTGCTGGGATTACAGGCGTGAGCCACTGCGCCCGGCCTTGACTACTTGTTTCTATCCTGCTTTAGAGCACAGGGATATATGCAGAAGGACAGCCACCCTAGAGTAGTTTTTGAATAGTTACACAATGGAAACAATGAAATGTCCAATAACAGGGGATTGGTTACATAAATTCTGGCCCATCCATGTGACAAAATGCCAGGCAGCCTTTGAAAAATAATAGAGTGTCATGGAAACATGGCCAGATTTATATTGTTAAGTGAAAAGGATAGGTTGCTTTTCAGAAGAATGTATAATGTCATCACATGTTTAAAATGCATATTTTGGGGCCAGGCGCAGCGGCTTACATCTGTAATCCCAGCACTTTAGGAGGCCAAGGCAGCAGACCACTTGAAGTCAGGAGTTCAAGACCAGCCTGGCCAACATGGTTGAAACCCTGTCTCTACCAAAAAATACAAAAATTAGCTGGGTGTGGTGGCATGCACCTGTAGTCCCAGCTACTCGGGAGGCTGAGGCATAAGAATCACTTGAACCCGGGAGACAGGGATTGCAGTGAGCCAAGATCATGCCACTACATTTCAGCCTGGGTGACAGAGTGAGACCTTGTCTCAAAAAATAATAATAATAATTTTTAAATGCATATTTTTGTGTATGTTGCATATATATGATATATAGAGATATAGCTTATTTAGTATATATTATTTTCTAATTAATAAAGTAATGCTTGGTTGATGCAAAATATTTTAGTAATTGGAAATGAGACAAGTGAGAAACCGTTTATATCCTGATCACCCTCACGTTAACACTGGGTGGTAGGATGAAACCTATATCAACCGCGTGTGTTGAATCTATTGCAGTAAGTATGTAACACTTTGATAGTAAGAAAAAATAAGGCTATTGGTAAAATTATACTCTTTTATAAATTGGCTAATTATTTTGTGGATGTGTGTCCTGGTATCCCCAACTAGACTGCGAGATCAATGAGAGGACGAGATCAATAAAAGCATTGAATGAATGAATGGATGGATGAATGAATGAATGAATTCTCAGTCTCTTGGGAAGTGGGATTGTGCGGCCCATATTGGGTGCTTATAAAGGTTTGTGGGGGCCAGGCACAGTGGCTCGTGCCTGTAATCCCAACACTTTGGGAGGAGGAGGCAGGAGGATCACTTGAGCCCAGGAGTTCGAGACCAGCTTGGGCAATATAGTGAGACCTCGTCTCTAAAAAAATAAAGTAAAAATAAAGGCTTGTGGGTTGAGGCAACCAGGAGTGTCTGTGGTCCCATCCTGCCTCCCTGTATCTGGGTGCTATAGTAGGTGGTTCAGGTTAGCCCACCAAGCTTGCTTGCTCTTGCTTCCCAGCTACCTGAGACTGTGAACAGTGTCACCCCACCATACAAGGGAGAGGAGCAGGTCTCAGGGTCCTGGAGGAAGCCACCAAAACCATCACAGACAGAAAGAGCCCTTCACACAATCTTCTTGCCAGCCCTCAAAGGGGAAAACGGGCTTGGAATGGCGAAAGGATTTGCCTGGGGTCACTCTGGAGGTGGCTGAGCCAGGGTTTGAACCTGGGGCCATCCTACCCCAGACTTTATGTCTTAACTACTGCTGGGCAGGAGCCAAATCAGACCCCATGGCCCCAACAGTGTGAGGCCCATTGTGGCTCTCAGAACATGCCAGCAGCTCTAGCCAGACGAAATGCTGACACAGCCTCTGGGTATTAATAGCCCCTGTCTGGGCCGGGCTCCTGTGCCCCTCCTGAGGCCACCCAGGGAGAATGGGGTGAGTGCTTGGTGGGGAGATGAGCAGATCAGTTCCCTGTGGTCCAGGGATCTGAGTCCAGCGGCCCTCGTGCCACCCCCCATAGGGACCACTTAGGAGCCGGACCCCTTCTCTTTTCAGCTTCCTGGCTCGAGGCCTTCACCCACTCAGCCTCAGCTTCCACGTCTGTAAATGGGGATATCACAGCTGCGTTACAGGACTGTCATTAGACTTTGTCGATAAGCTGAACACATAGAGAGCTCAGCACACAAAGAGCTTATACACGCTCAATATCCGTGCCTGGCGTGCACACTTCCATGTGCGCCAGGTTCCAGCCGTCTAGTGTCCGGGATGAAGCAGCACATGTCATCATTGCTGCACCCAAGATGGCAGGACGTCTCGCGGCCACGACATCCCCTCTATGGCCGCACAGTCTGAGTGGAGCACGCTGGAGAGGAAGAGTGGGGAATGAGGCAGGTCTAGCCTGCTCCAGCCCAGCTGGACCCAGCCAGGGCGTCTGCAGGGAACCCCAGACTGAAGGCTCCTGGACTCTGGCCTCATCCCTGCCAGGAAAGGGGTGGAGGCCAGACCACAGGGTTGGGCCCTTCTGAAGCGGGCACTCAAAAGGAAGAGACGGCTGTGCCTCGTTTGTCAAATGAAATCAATTACTAACCCACAGGGCTGAAATTGATTCCTAACTCACTCTGCAGCAGGGACTCAGCTCAGCGTTTCACAAACACTGTCTCACCCGGACTCACGAGAGCCCTAAGAGGTGGACACTGTCATTCCCATGCGACAGGTGGAAACACCAAGGCCCAGGGAGGCCAAGTGAGTTGCTCAAGGTCTCCCAGCTGGTTGATGGCGGGGCAGAGCCCCGTCTGTCTGACTCCAGAGCCTGGGTGCCCATCCCCCATGGCCAGGGAACACCCACTCCCTCCCAGGGCAGCTTCCTGTTCTTGGGAGGCTCTAGGTGGGCCTGAGGCACCGTGGGCTGGCTCCATGGTTGGAAGAGAAGTTGCAGCCCCCTGCCTTCATCTGGGCGAGCAGACAGGCCTTGGCCACTGAGAATCAGGAGACGGAGGAGCTCACTTCTGACTCTTCTGGTCAGCTTAAATTGGCAGCTTCCCCCATCGAGCCCAGGCCCAATCAGCCCTAAAAGGGCTGTGGAGACTTCGGGTTCCCACAGGTGGTCCAGATGGGAGCAGGGATACCTCCCTCACATCCGGAATCCTCAGCTGGGCCCTCTGGGTCTGCGTTCTGGGTTTGCAGCCTCTCGTCCCCTTGGGCCCCATGCAGCCACACGGGCCTCCTGGGCCTCCTGCAAGGCAGGCTGTCCCCGAATGGGACTCCCCCTTTGTTCTTCCTTCCTGGGGGCAGCCGTCCCTGATTCCCAGACCAGACCCAGAGCCCCCAGAGCCCCGCTTCTAGGATCCTGCCACACATTTGCACACCTGTGACCACTTACACGTGTCCTTCTTTCCATCCCCACTGAGCTGTGAGCTTTTCGCAGTGCGCCCAGCACTGACACACTGCCAGGCGCTCGGAAACTATTTACGGGTTGCCTGAAGCTGCTGTCACACTCCCGTCCTTTGCGAAGTTCCAGGTAGTGGAGGCAACCTCCAAGAGGCAATCCATTACCAACCAACTCATGACCCCTCCCTCCGGTGGAAATCAGAGCTCACGGAGTGTCGTTTGATTGGACTGTGATGCACTGAAGCTGAATTCAAGACTGATTTAAAAAAAGACCTGCCAGCTGAATGAATGCTGTCACAGAGGGAGGAGCTGGACCTGGCCCCAGGGACCCAAGATGATGCTGTCAGTGACGTCGTTCACTCCATCTGGTGCCCAAAGAGGCCTCGGCCCAAGCAACACCGTCCAGTTTACAGGACCAGGTCCAAGCTGCCCGGCAGCTGGGGCAGGCAGGCCTGACTTGCAGGGGTCTGGACGGCTCAGAGGGAAGCTGGTAAAAGCAGGGTAAGCCCAGGTCCCACCTCTGCCCCTTCAGAGGCCAAGGCCACTGCAGAGTCCAGAGCAGCCGGAGGACTACATTTCCCAGAGTCCCCCAAGCCCAGGGATGAGCCATTGGCCGATTTAAATAGCCCAGGCCCGAGGCAGCCAGGCCGCAGCTGTGGACTCCTCACCTCCCGGAGGCTCTGCTGGTGCAGGCCCCGCATTGGAGGGCTCGATTGGCTGCCCGGCTGGCACTGACGTCCCCTTGGAGCTGGGTGGCAGAGGAGATAAACAGCCATGTGCAACTCTCCACACTATATTTAACAGCTGCGGCGGAGAAGGCAGGGAGGCAGCCACGGTGGCGGCTCTGGGGGCAGCTCTTGTCTTCGGGGAGAAGGCCCTTGGAGCCGGGCTGGCATCGGCCTTCTCGGGGTGAGCGAGGTCACCATGCCAGCTTCCCAGAGCCGGGCCCGTGCCCGGGACCGCAACAACGTCCTCAACCGGGCTGAGTTCCTGTCCCTGAACCAGCCCCCCAAGGGGGGCCCGGAGCCCCGCAGCTCGGGCAGAAAGGCCTCGGGCCCATCAGCACAGCCCCCACCTGCTGGTGACGGGGCCAGAGAGCGACGCCAGTCACAGCAGCTGCCAGAGGAGGACTGCATGCAGCTGAACCCCTCCTTCAAGGGCATCGCCTTCAACTCCCTGCTGGCCATCGATATCTGTATGTCCAAGCGGCTGGGGGTGTGCGCTGGCCGGGCGGCGTCCTGGGCCAGTGCCCGCTCCATGGTCAAGCTCATCGGCATCACGGGCCACGGCATCCCCTGGATCGGAGGCACCATCCTCTGCCTGGTGAAGAGCAGCACACTGGCCGGCCAGGAGGTGCTCATGAATCTGCTCCTGGGTGAGTGTGCCTGCCGCCCGCCACTCACTGTCAGGCCCCTCGGGAGGCAGCCTGGCCTGCCCAACCCCACCCTGGCCGGGACCTGCACAGCCCTCAGAAACCGGCTGGGATGGTCTAATGAGGTTAGGCAGGAAGGGTGCCCCAGAAACAGGCAGGCTCCGGCGTGGGGGAGCGACAGCCAGGGATGCATAGACGAGGCTCTCCTGCCACATGCCAAATGAAGACAGAGGCCATTGCGGCCCTGTGAGAAGGACCTGCTCAGCAAAAGGCACCGCTGCCCAGAGGCAGCTTGAAGGGAGGCTGGGCCAGAGGCGGTGGCCTCAAGGGAGACGGTCAGGGCTCTGGTGGGCATCCTGGAATGGGGTGTCACTGTTTGACTCCTGCCCCACGGCTGAGGTCCTCGCTCCTTGACAGCTCCCAGCCAGGCTGTTCCCGTGAGCTGCCCCATGAGCACCTCCCGCCTCGGTTCAGGAACCGGGAAAGCTGCCCAGGCTTCTTCCCCAGGGTCTGGGGACCCAGGGAGTTCCCCTGGGACTGCCACCCACTCACAGCCCCCTGGAGTTCTTCCCTGCTCCTTCCCAGGGGGAGTCACTGGAGAAGGGTTCGGGGGGCCAGTTGTGGGTTTGTTTGTTTGCAAAGTCTTTGCCACCAATGTCTTGCAGATTAGCACCGCCCTGTGCCAGGTGCCACGTGGGGCCCATGTGGAGGCAAGCCATTCCCTCCACCCAGAGGTGATGCCCAGCCCCCGTCCGGCCCACCCTTCGGGCACCACCAGGTCCCCAAGGTGCCCCAGGAAGCTTCCACCCTCCACGCCAGGCCCGCATCGATTTCCTTGTCTTTCCCGGTGTGGCCATCATTTGAGGGACATGTGAGGTGGAGGTCTCAGGCAAGGCAAACATTAACAAGGGGTCTCAGTTCCAAAAGGGCATTGGGTTGGACCACGGAGAACATCAGTTCCAGAGGAAGTTACAATAAAAACACGTATCTCCCTGCTCTAGTCTCAGTCTGGAGGCTCTATGCTCTCTGGGTGGGACTCGGGGAGGCAGAAACCATTGGATACTTCATGCAGGAGATGGCTGGGTCTGCCACCTTCGAGGTTTTCTTGTTCCTTTTTTTTTTTTTTTTTTTGACAGAGTCTCGCTCTGTCACCCAGGCTGTAAGACTGAAGTGCAGTGGCACGATCTTGGCTCACTACAACCTTCAGCTCACTACAACCTCCGCCTCCCGGGTTCAAGCAATTCTCCTACCTCAGCCTCCCAAGTAGCTGGGATTACAAGCGCACACCACCACACCCAGCTAATTTTTGTATTTTTAGTAGAGATGGGGTTTCACCATGTTGGCCAGGCTGGTCTCAAACTCCTGACCTCAGGTGATCCACCCGCCTTGGCCTCCCAAAGTGCTGGGATTATAGGCATGAGCCACCGTGCCTGGCCAGTTTTCTTGTTCTTATTACTAAATTATTTACATTACAATAACTTATGATTTACTCCTGAATAAACAGTCTCACGAGGTTGGTGCCATTATCATGCCCATTTTACAGATTAGGGAACTGAGGTTCCTATAAATAAAGCAACCTGGCCCAGCCTCAGGGCTTGAGATTTGCACTGGCTCCAGCTGACACACAGGCCTCTGCTCTTCCAGGTGCTGTGCCATGGGCGTGGGAGGGAGGGACAGAGCAAAGTGGCCGAGGCACTAGGCCAGGCGCTTCCAGGGGCAGAACCTGCTCTCATTATCCACAGTTTCACACAGGGCCACGTGGCTCAAGAAGACTGTTGGGATTTAGAGAGGTAGGTTGCCTGCTGTCAGAAGATGGGGTGGGAAGGCATACACTCCAGTCTGTCTCTCAACCCTGCTCCCTTGACCCCATCTCTTCCTTCCCACCTTCTTTCCCCATGTGACAAGGGAGGTGATGAAGATGTCATTGGTTGAGTGCTTACCGTGTTCCAGGGCTTTGCATAAACCATATCATTACTTCTGATCTTCACCATAACCCATGGAGCTTGGTGCTGTTATTATTCCCCATTTAAAGAGGGGGAAATTGAGGCATGGGGTGACGATGGTTCTAAGGTCCTGCAGCTAGTCAGTGATGGAGCCAGGAGCAGAACCAGGAGCAACTCTAGCTTTGCTTTGCGTTTTCAGAGGAGAGGGAGAGGGAACCAGCTCAGACTGTGTGAAGCTTCCAGCAGGGGGAGGATCAGAGAAGAAAGGAGGTGCATCTCAACTTACCCACAGTCAGTGGATGCTCTAGTAAGGGGGTGAGCTCCCCGTGGTAGGAGGTATGCAAGCAAGCTGCCTCACATCACCAAGTAAAATAGCTCTGCTTTGTTTTTTTTTTACAGGAATGTTTGCTTTTAAGAACATTTCCCCTGCCCCAAACATTGAAAAATTTGCAACCTACTTGTTAAGATAAGGCTTCAGGCTCATTCCAGCAGCCAGCTGCCATGGGCACAAAGCTGTTTGCCCCACAGGATAAAGATGAAGATTTGAGTTGCCTTCCTCCTTGAACAGAAGTGATAGACATTTTTAAAAATCTTTAAAAACATCATGTATTGAGCTTTATTATGTACCAAAGACAATGGCATGAACGGCCTGTATTTTATGATGTAAAAAAGCTGTCGATGACCTTTCAAGGTAAATATTAATATGCCCATTTTACAGATGAGTAAACTGAGGCTCAGAAAGCTCAAGCAACTTGCCCACCATACAGCTATAAGCGGTAGGTTCAGGAAGTAAATCCAAGGCCCCGTGACTGCAAACCCCCCCACTCCTCGCTGCTCACCGTGGGGCTGCAGGTCGGGCATATCACCCGTGTTCACTGCACTCCTGGAGCGTGTGTGCTTTGCGGAGGGGAATGATCTGGGAGGAGGTTGACTGTCTTCATATCCAGGTGTTGAGGCCATGGGGACATAGGGCCTGGCACAAGTCAGGCATTCAGCATAGGCCACAGAGCAGGCCGGGTGGGTCTGGGGACCCCGAGGTCACTCTGTGGGGATGCCAGCCCAGACCTCGGCTTGGTGGGAGAAAATTGCAGCAAATGGCCAAGGCAGGCTCTAATCCTGCAGCTCTGGTCTGACCTGCCAGGAAGGAAGGTCCCACAGTCCCCTGCCCCGGGGAAAGCAGACTGCCCACTGAGCACACGCTGCAGGTTCCATCTGTCCTTTTGTCTTTGGAGGGCACCCTTCAACCCTGGAGCACAGGCTCTGGGGAGAGACTGGCTATTGTCCAGGTCCCTGCTCTGACCCTTACTTGCTGTACGCACATGCTCAAGTCAGTTCCTGTCTCTGAGCCTCAGTTTCCCTATCTGGGGGCTGAGGGGGATGTGGCAGGGATGTGAAGGGAGATGGCAAAGCATTTGGCATGGTGGGTGCCATGCCACACGGTGACATCACTGCAATACTGAAGGGGGAGGGAGCCCTACCTAGCCCTGCCCACCCGCTCTGGCCCCGTGGCACTCAGCTAACCCCCAGGGGCAGTCTCTGGGCTGGGAGCAAGACCTCCGAGCTTGCAGTTGGGACCTGGGTTCCACTTGGCTCTGAAGAGGCAGACTTGGGAGCTTGGGAAATGGGAGCTGCAGCTACGAGGCCTAGGAAGGGTCCTGCTGGGCCTGGGGAAGTTCTCTGCATGCTCCCTGCTTGGCAAGCAGTCCCATGCCCTCCCTGCTTGCCCCTCTCCTAGTGCACACTGTCAAGACTCTAGAAAGCTCAGAGCCAGAAGGGGTCTTAGCAGCAGGCAAAAGTTTGGACTCCACAGGCAGCCGGACCTGAGTGCAAATCCCAGCCCTGCTGTGGGAACTCAGGCAAGTGACTTTGCCTCTCTGAGCCTCAGTTTCTTCATCTGTCAGGTGGGTTGTTGGGAAATCTCCCTGATGAATCACACATGAAGTGCTTGGCACTTACTGATGTTGGTTAACGGTTAAGTAGCAATGATTATCATCATCATTATCACCGTCATCATTGTCAGAAGTCCAGGACCAGCCTCCTGCCAGGTACCTTCCAAGCTCTAGATGCCTTGAGACCACCTGTCCCCTTCTCCCTCCCGAGCAGCACCCAGCTTGATGATCCGAAGGGAGCCAGGTGACAGGTGACAGGTGACCAGGCCCATCCCAGTTCACTAAGCCCATCCTTGTTTCCTCATGGGCCTGTCCTGTGGTGGGAAATGCCTCTGGTCTTGTTCCTTGATCTATGTCCTTTATGAAAGTATCTTTTTGTTTGTTTGTTTGTTTGTTTGTTTGTTTGTTTTTGAGACACAGTCTGTCTCTGTTGCCCTGGCTGGAGTGCAGTGATAAGATCTTGGCTCACTGCAACCTCCGCCTCCCGGGTTCAAGCAATTCTCCAACATGGTTTCGTTATGTTGGCCAGGCTGGTCTCGAACTCCTGACCTCAGGTAATCCACCCACCTCGGCCTCCCAAACTGCTGGGATTATAGGCGTGAGGTGATCCACCCACCTTGGCCTCCCAAAGTGCTGGGATTACAGGCTTGAGCCACTGTGCTGGCCTATAAAAGTATCTTTTTTTTTTCCTTTGAGACGGAATCTCACTCTGTCTCCAGGCTGGAGTGCAGTGGTGTGATCTTGGCTCACTGGCATGAACCCGGGAGGCGGAGCTTGCAGTGAGCTGAGATCGCACCACTGCACTCCAGCCTGGGCGACAGAGTGAGACTCTGTCTAAAAAAAAAGTATCTTTATTGAGATTTTCCTGAATATGAAAACTACTTTTTTTTTTTTGAGACGGAGTCTCGCTCTGTCACCCAGGCTGGACTGCAGTGCTGTGATCTTGGCTCACAGCAACCTCTGCCTCCCTGGTTCAAGTGATTCTCCTGCCTCACCCTCCCGAGTAGCTGGGATTACAGGTGCCCGCCACCACGACTGGCTAATTTTTGTATTTTTAGTAGAGATGGGGTTTCACCATGTTGGCCAGGCTGGTCTTGAACTGTTGACCTGATGATCCACCTGCATCAGCTTCCCAAAGTGCTGGGATCACAGGAGTGAGCCACCACGCCTGGCTATGAAAACTACATTTTTATGTCATTTTTTATTGTGATAAGCTATACATCACACAAAATTGATCATTGTAGTCATTTGAAGTGTACAGTTCAGTGGCATTGAGTCCATTCACACTGTTGTGCAGCCATCACCACCATCCATCTCCAGAACTCTTTTCATCTTTCATCTTAAAACACAGAAGCTCTGTCCCCATTAAGCACTGACTCCCCACTCCCCTTCCCCCAGCCCCTGGCAACCTCCATTCTACACTCTGTCTCTGTGGATTTGACTGTTCTAGGGACCTCAAGTAAGTGGAATCGTACTGTATTTGTCTTTTGTGGCTGGCTGATTTCATTTAGCATGATATCCTCGAGGTCCATCCATGCTGTAGCGGGCGCCGGCATTTCCTTCCTCTCTAAGGCTGAATAATGCTCAGTTACAGGATGGACCACATTTCGTGTATCCATTCGTGCACCCATGGACACTTCGGTTGCTTCCACATTTTAGCTGTTCTGAGTAACGCTGCCGTGCGCACAGGTGTATATGCATCTTCTTGAGCCCCTGCTTTCAGTTATTTTGGTTGTATACTCGGAATCGAGCTGCTGGATCACAAGGTAATTTTGTGTTGACTTGTTTGAGGACCTGTCCTACTGTTGCCCACAGCGGCTGCGTGATTTTACATTCCCCCAGCAATGCCCAAGGGCTCCCATATATCCACATCTTCACCAACACTCATTATCTGGTTTTTCAATCAGAGCCATCCTAATGGGTATGAGGTGGTATCTCTTGTGGTTTTGGGTATTTTTTGTTTGTTTTTTGTTTCGTTTTGGGGGTTTTAGTTTGTTTGTTTTCTGAGACAGAGTCTCGCTCTGTCACCAGGCTGGAGTAAAGTGATGCGATCTCGGTTCACTGCAACCTCCGCCTCCCAGGTTCAAGCAATTCTCCTGCCTCTGCCTCCCAAGTAGCTGGGACTACAGGCGCCTGCCACCATGCCTGGCTAATTTTTCAGAGATGAGCTTTCACCATGTTGGCCAGGCTGGTCTCAAACTCTTGACCTCAAGTGATCCTCCGGTCTTGGCTTCCCAAAGTGCTGGGATTATAGGCGAGAGCCACGGTGCCCAGCCTACACATTCTTGTAGTAAGAAAAAATGCAATGATTACAAGGCTAGATCAAGAAGAAAGTGAGCCTCTCCCTTAAACCCTCTCCCAGGAAGAGCCTCTGCCGCAGCTTGGGTCACGTGCCCCTGGATTTTTCCCCGTGCGAATGCTAATGTGTGATGTGTTTCTCAGGCTGTGTTTTGCCCGGTTTGGCCTCACTCTCACAGCTGTGGCCCTCCCACCTGGAATCCTGATCTGGACCCTCCATGTCCCTCGCACCAGCATGAGGGGTTCAGATGCTCCAGATAATCTGTTCTGGCAGCTCTCCCATCCCCTGCCCTCTGGCTCTTGCTCTCAGGGACAATTTAGGTGACAGCCTCTCCACGAGGCTTGTCTAGCCTGTTCCTAACTGAGGGGTATTTAGGCTGATCCCAAATCTTCGCTCAGATACCCTCCTGTGGGAAACCGCACATGCTACCTCCTCGGAAGTAGAGGGGTTCCCTCCCCAGCCTCCTTTCTCAGCATCTCAGTGGGCCTCAGTGCAACAGTCAGTCCCTCAGGGGGGCCTTTGGCCACCCCCAGGCCAGGTCAGGGCCCCTTAATACACTGCCCTGGCAGCTGTCCACACAGCGGATGCAAGAGAAATGCAATAGTTTGTGGTGCCAGTAGGCAGGGTCTGGATCAGCATTGCCCACCAGCACAGCTAGTGATTTCATGTCCCTGGGACCTGCTCCTAGCAGGACCTGGTGCTCAGCAGAGTGAATAACCAGCGCCATCAGTCTTTCTATTGATGATCCTGAGTGCTTTGCACACCACTGGTCTTCAAAGATAGGGAGAGCTGGCTTTAGCAGGTGGAGTCTTTTTTTTTTTTTTTTCTGAAGAGAGTCTTGCTCTGTCACCCAGGCTGGAGGGCAGTGGCGCGACCTCAGCTCACTGCAACCTCTGTCCCCCAAGTTCAAGTGATTCTCCTGCCTCAGCCTCCTGGGTAGCTGGGATTACAGGTGCCTGCCACCACACCTGGCTAATTTTTGTGTTTTTAGTAGAGACGGGGTTTCACCATGTTGGCCAGGCTGGTCTCGAACTCCTGAGCTCAAGCTATCCGCCTGCCACCGCCTCCCAAAGTGCTGGGATTACAGGCGTGAGCCACTGTGCCTAGCCTGTAAAAATAACTTTTTAAAAATGTGCACAAATAATGCGTGCTTGTGGCAAGAAAGATTTTAAAGTGCAGAATTACAAGAAGTCAGTAAAAATCACCCCTAATCCTCTTGCCCAGCAAGAAGCATTGTTAGCATTTAGAGCAGTAGCTTCTAGATTTTTTTCTCTGTATATAAGCACGTTTGCTTACATACATATCTTATTTTATGAAGATGGCATCCTACTGGAAATCCTATTTTATAAGTGGCCTTTTCCACTTAACATACCCCATGGCTTTCTGATATAGTCGGGCTATAAATATACATGGGCCTTATCATCTGCAGTGGCCACAGCATGCTCTGGTGTCTAGATTAGGCCACAGTTTGTCCTGTCTGTCTCTTGAAGGGCGCTGGGTCGTTTCACGTTTTTCGGTGTTATAAACAATGCTGCAGTGAACATCCCGGGCCATGAATCATGGCCCACATCCCTAACGATTTCCCAAGGAGATATTCCTGCAAGGGGAAGAGCTGAGTCCAAGGGAGACACGTGGAGGAGAGTTCTGATTCCGAAGCCAAATGCCCTTCGGGAAGTTCAGACCGATTTACACACTCCCTGGGCAGTATATGGCTGGCTCCCAACCTTCCGGAAGCCAGAATGGGGGATGAGAAGCAGGATTGACTTCCCAGCCCAGGAGCACTGGGACCCCTCCTCCCAACCCAGCCGGAGAGAGACATCTGCCCACAAACCCAGCCCTTCGCAGCCTGCAGGGCATCCCAGAAGCCCCGTCCTTGTTCCTTGCTTTAGAACAGCTGAGCCCACAGCCTTCACCTCCCACCCCTACCCCACTAGCCCCAACTCCCCAAAGACCCTGCCCTGCTCTGAGCTGGTCCCACAGAGTGCGTCCTCAGGGGGAAAGCAGCCCAAAGCCACAAAGGGCCACACTAGGTCACCCCAGCTGCCCCTCTTCCCGCAGTGCACATAGCTGCTGGCAGACAAGTGATGTTCTAATTTTCAGAGGCCTCAGGAGGAGATGATTCCAAATCTTCCAGGATGGCAGCAGCTCTTCTCCAAGAAAGCCCTGGCTCCTGCCTGGCCTCTGGGAGCCTCCAGCACTCTGGTTCCCTGGCCACCACCAACCCCGAGGGACCTGGGCTAGGGGAGAAGGGTGGGCCTCGAGGTGGGTTCTTGTTGCCCTCTGAGGGCCGGGAAGCCTCCAGGACAGCAGGGCCCCGGGGACAGCTGTGCTTCCTGCATGGGGGGTTCAGACATTCAGGCCCCAACCCTGTGCAAAGAGCGGAAAGTGGAGCTGGTTGGGACGGAAGAGCGTGAGGGGTGGTGGACAAGCCCTGGTGTCCTCTGACATGGTCCCGGGGGTCCATTACCAAGTGTCTGCTATACACAAGCATCAGAGCAGGCCCCTTGGCATCCCAGCGTATCCATGGCAGGGAGCTCTGGGGGATAGACACACCGAGGTTTTGCTGTCCACAAGTGGCCGACCTTGAAGCCGGTCTCTTTCTGGAGCCTGAGTGCGCCCTGGGTGATCCTAGTGAGTGGAGGCCAGTGGAGGCTGAGTGACCTCCCTGAAACGTGCACATAGCAGGTCCAGGGCAGTGCAGCTCCCACCAGCTCCCCGGCTCTTGCCCCTGAGCCTCCTGCTGGGTGGACCTTTCCCCTCACAGGGGTCTCCTTGCCCTCCTTGAGTCAACTGGTCGACTGGACAGGGCCATGTGGGCGGAATCAGCCTTGAGTGATGGTGCCGTTTGCTTCTATTTCTGGGCACCAGATGATGCGCTCACAGTGTCAGAATCACAGTCACTCAAGGCCTGGCTGCGCTGGAGGAGGAAGAGAGGCCCTGCAGGGGCAGCAGGAAAGGGCAGAGTGGGGTGGGAGGCCCAGGGGAGACTACGGCTCTGTTGGAGAGCTGCCCTGTGGTCTGAGGGTGGCAGGCGGGCCACTGCCTCTTCCATTCACAACCCTCCCGGCCAGACGGCTGCGGCATGGTGAGGGCGAAAAGCCACGCACCCCGTCACACCTGTGATAGAGTAACGCTCTGTGTCACTATGTGCTTACTGCCCACCGTCCCGTTTGGCCATAGGAGACCCTGCCAGCCTCGTTCACAGTGCCAGGCCTGACACACGCCTGAAATACCCAAGAACCGGCGGTGCCCAAGAAAGGGTGGAAAAGTGAATGAACCAGGCACAGGCTAGGTGGGTCAACCCAGCTGGAGAGCCAGGCTGGGCCCTATGGTCCCCGCAGGGCCCAGGGAAGAAAGGGGGCAGATACCCCCCGTCATTATGGCCTGAAGAGAGGGAACCAGCCTGAAATAGCCACAGCTTCCCAAAGGCACAGCTGTGGGGCGTCTTAGTCCATTTTGTGCTGCTGTAACAGAATACCACACACTGATTTATAAAGAATAGAAGTGTATTTGGCTCATGGTTCTGGAGGCTGGGAAGTCCAAGGCTGAGGGGCCGCATCTGGTGAGGGCCTTCTTGCTCCCTGTTGCCTTCTGCATCACGTGCAAGGGAGCACATGCCTGGGAGGGCAGGAGGTGACCACACTCACCCTTTCGTCAGGAACCACCCCTGGTACCTGCATTCATCCATTCATAAAGGGAGAGCCCTCCTGGCCTATCATCTTTTTATTTTATTTTATTTATTTAGTCCCAGCTACTCTGTTTCCTACACCGAGTCTGTATGCTTTCATCGGGAAAAGCAATGTTTTGCTGCTAGAGATTTGAAAGGAGCCAGGCACAGCGGCTCACACCTGTAATCTCAGCACTTTAGGAGGCTGAGGTGGGAGGATCACTTGAGCTCAGGAGTTCAAGACCAGCTTGGGCAACAAACTGAGATACTGTCTCTACAAAAAATCAAAAAATTAGCCAGTTGTGGCCTGTGCCTGTGGTCCCACCTACATGGGAGGCTGAGGCAGGAGGATCATTTGAGCCCAAAAGTTCAAGGCTGCAATGAACCATGTTTGCACCACTGTACTCCAGCCTGGGCAACAGAGGGAGACACTGTCTCAAAAGCAGAAAAAAAAAAAAAAAAAAAAAAAAGGGAAGGTGTGGGTCTAGCTTAGTTCTTGGCCTATGGATCCTGACAGCCCATGCAGAGAGCTGGGGCATGTGGGGAGGTTGAGGCACCCAGCCCTCCTTGCCTTTGGCCACCCCATCAGAGTTGAGGTGCTGGGCCCAGTGTACCCCCCGGGTGACTTAGTAAAGTCAGCCTTTCCTCCCCACATTTTCCTTGACCACAGCAGCTGTCCATTAGGGCCCTGTGCTGGAAAGGCAGATTTTATTTATTTATGTATTTATTTATTTATTTATTTTGAGACAGAGTCCCGCTCTGTCACCCAGGTTGGAATGCAGTGGTGCCATCTCAGCTCACTGCAACGTCCATCTCCCAGATTCAAGCGATTGTCCTGCCTCAGACTCCCAAGTAGCTGGGACTACAGGTGCCTGCCACCACATCCAGCTAATTTTTGTTTTTTCAGTAGAGATGGGTTTTCTCCATGTTGGCCAGGCTGGTCTCGAACTCCTGACCTCAGGTGATCCACCCACCTCGGCCTCCCAGAGTGCTGGGCTTACGGGCATGAGCCACCGCGCTGGCCTCGAAAGGCAGATTTTGAACCCATCAGCTGCTGAGTCCTGGTTTTCAACCTAAAGACCTGGTCACCAGTAGGACAGATGGCCCATGCCTTCCAGTGGCTGGTGTCATATTTCAGCCTACCATGGAGCCCAGTCCTGGTCTGCATGAACCACCCCCTACCCCAGATTCTGGCAGCTGTTCGGGCACCCAGACCCTGGCTGGCCACCAGTCACCAACCACCACCACCAGGAGGCCTTGCTTGGCCTGGCCTCTCTTACTTGTCTTGAGGTGGTGGAGGTCTTGGAACCTGGGCCAGACAATTTTGACCCTGGTGGGACCTTAGGAAAAAAAGCCTTCGCTGGTGTTCCTGCACGGTGCCCCAGCCTCCAGGACCAGAGCCTCCCACAGCTTCCCGGGCCAGGCGGGGCTAGGACTCACAGGCAGTGTAATGGCAGCAGTATGCTGTCAGCCACCACACTCCTCCCCGGTTCATTGGCTTATTTCCTCCTGGGACCACCCTTGCTATGGGTGAGTAGACCAAGGCGCTGAGAGGGGAAGGAACTTGTTCTTTTTTTTTTTTTTTTTTTTTGAGACGGAGTCTCGCCCTGTCGCCCAGGCTGGAGTGCAGTGGCGCAATCTTGGCTCACTGCAACCTCCGCCTCCCGGGTTCAAGTGATTCTCCTGCCTCAGCCTCCCAAGTAGCTGGGACTACAGGTGCCCGCCACCATGCCCAGCTAATTTTTTTGTATTTTTAGTAGAGACGGGGTTTCACCATGTTGGCCAGGCTGGTCTCGAACTCCTGACCTCAGGCGCTCCGTCCACCTCGGCCTCCCAAAGTGCTGGAATTACAGGCGTGAGCCACTGCGCCCGGCCAGAACTTGTTCTTAATTAGCAGGGTCGACCCCTCGGCCAGAAGCACCAGGACCCCTCCTCAAAGCCCCAGCCAGTGAGACTTGAACCCCACCTGTGACTCCAGAGCCTTCAGATTTAACCCCCTCCCCATGAACTGCCTTCCCTCGCCAGGTGGAGAAAGCCTGTCACCAGGCCATTTTTGGGGAAGTGGTGGGGCTTGCAGATGAGAGGGCTCCCTGGGCTGGAGAGGACCAGCTGGCCCCTCTAAGCTGGCTTCCTCAGCTGCTTCATGGGGCGAAGGGATGCCAAGGTCAGCACAGCTACCTCCCTCTCCCGCCTGCCCTGGGGACCTGGCAGTCCCCAGTCCCTCTCTCCTGCTGGAACTGTGACCTCCCACAGGCTTCAGATGGCACGAAACCCGGGCATGGTCAGCACACGAGCTGGCCAGCCACACGCCTCCCCAGCCACCTCCTGGGAAGACCCAGCCCAGGGGAACAGCTGCCGTGAAATTGGCAGGCAAGGGTAGAGCAAGGTTTTCTCGAGGCCTTCAGGCCCCGCCCTCCTTGGGCCAGCCAGCTCCTCTGTGTACCTGCTCAGCCCCCTCCTGTGCTGGCCAGGCACTTCCAGGGTGCAAGGCTCTCAGCCAGCCCTGTGGCTAATGAGAGGGGCCAGGAGATGCCACGATTCAAACCCCAAACAGAGAGACCAGACTACAAGCAGCAACCCTGAAGTGGGCAGGAAAAGGGGAAGCCCTGAAGTTCTAGTCCTCCAGGGAGGACTGCGTGATCTGGAACAGTCTAACTGCCTGGCATGGACAGTTAGGTGCACCACAGTGCCTCACACCCTGCAGCAAGGGGATCGGGGGTATGTGATGGTGCAAGACTTTCAAAAGCAGGCAGCAGAACAACATATGCAAACCATGTTACAAGCTTTATTAAATCTATGCTCCAAAGGCCGGGCACGGTGGCTCACGCCTGTAATCCCAGCACTTTGGGAGGCTGAGGTGCGCGGATCACCTGAGGTCGGGAGTTCAAGACCAGGCTGACCAACATGGAGAAACTCCATCTCTACTAAAAATAGAAAAATTAGCTGGGCGTGGTAGCACACACTTGTAATCCCAGCTACTCGGGAGGCTGAGGCAGGAGAATCGCTTGAACCTGGGAAGCGGAGGTTGTGGTGAGCCGAGATCACACCATTGCACTCCAGCCTGGGCAACAAGAGGGAAACTCTGTCTTAAAAAAAAAAAAAAAAAAAAAAAGCTGTGCTCTATAAGTGGATGGAAAGGTCTGGAACAATGACTACCTCTGAGGGGCAGGATTACAGGTGATTTAAACTCTAACTTTTGTTTTCTGTTTTGTAAATGTTCTGCAGTGAATAGCATCTTCTGTGTCTTTTTTTTTTTTTTTACTTTTTTTCCATTTCTGCCAAGAGCTGAACATTCCGATAAATACTGAAAAGTTTTCTAGGAAAGCTCCCAGCATCTGGCTGCACTGAACTGTCATTGAGTCATAACCCCCCACCTTTATCCAGCCCTCCTGGTGGGCCAGGCGTTTGGGGGACCAACTCAATCATTTGCTGCGACTTCCATGCTTTAGCACTGAATATCTTGTGTCCTAGGAAACCCCTCTGTCCCAGTGAAACCTTGTCACCCTGCAGTCAGCAACCTGCCTGCAGGCATGGTGCCTGGCCCCCTCTGGGAGGTGGGTGTCCCTGAGCTTCGTCTCACAGGTGAGGAAAGTTAGGTGGTTTGCCTGAGGTCACACAGCTGGGAGGCTCCAGGGCTGGAGCTCACAGCTGGGTCTCTGGCTGTGATGCCTGTGAGCTTTGCCACCACACTGCACTGTGGGTGTTGTCTTCACTGTCCGTGAGGCAGGGCTTGCAGGAGCTGTGACCTCACTGGGGTCCCCAAGGTCACCTGAGATGGGGAAGCACAGGGGGCAGGGGCACGGGCTCCCTGCCGACTCTGTACCTGCCCTGGGGGTGCTGTCTGGCCTGCTGATGCCACCCCCACCCCCAGGTCAGAGGGTGTGAGCCCCAAGGGCCTTTCTAAGGGTGTGGAGGGTTGACCTGGAACCCCCACATTGGCGGTCTGGGTGCCACTCAGATCAGCTGGGTGAAACTGGGGTCCTGGCATGGTGCCTTCCTCTCTCGGCACAGAAAGGCGGAGCAGCCCCCCAAGGCCACACAGCAGGGTGTGGCAGAGACACGATGGAGATCCAGGTCTCCCCTGTGTTTCCGAAATGGGGAAAGAAAGGCCAGGCGCAGTGGCTCACGCCTGGAATCCCAGCACTTTTTGGGAGGCGGAGGTGGGCAGATCCCTTGAGGTCAGGAGTTCGAGACCAGCCTGGCCAACATGGCGAAACCCCGTCTCTACTAAAAATACAGAAATTAGCCAGCCGTGGTGTCAGGTACCTGTTGTCCTGGCTACTCGGGAGGCTGAGGCAGGAGAATCACTTGAACCCGGAAGGCGGAGATTGCAGTGAGCCAAGATCATGCTGCAGTACTCCAGCCTGGGTGACAGAGTGAGACTCTGTCTCAAAAAAATAAAGAAAAAGAAAAGGAAGGAAAGAGCCCACCTCGCTGGTTATGAGCCTCAGGCCAGTAACTCAACTACGTTTGGAGACTGTGGCTCTGTTTCTAGCCACGGGGAAAAAAACCTATGAACAAACAGGCACAGCCCCTGCCTCCACGAAGTGATGACTTCATGCCGCAGACAGCGAACCCTCACCTCCCAACAGATGCCTCAGTGACTGCGGGGGAAAAGCCACGAAACAGAGGGCCAGATGTTGAGACTGAACCATTCAGGGCCTGAGCTGTCTGGAAGGCCGGGGCAGGTCCCTGAGGTGGTGAGTTGGGAAAGAGTGGAACATTCCAGAAAGCAAGAGCCTCAGGTATGAGTGCTCTGAGCTCCAGGGGTTCATCTTGTCCTCTATAAAGGGGGGAATGACACAGCGCAGTTGCTGGGGAAAACAGTGGGGTTCCTCAAAGAGTCACACACAGAGTTACTGTCATTACCAACCAGCGACTCCAGTCCTAGGGATCTACCAAAAGAACTGAAAACAGGCACTCGGCAAACACTTGCACACACGTGCATAGCAGCATGAGTCACGGCAGCCGAAAGGCGCAAACAACTCGATAGCCATCAATAGATGAATGGATAAACAAATTGTGGCCGGGCACAGTGGCTCACGCCTGGAATCCCAGCACTTTGGGAGGCTGAGGTAGGAAGATAGCTTGAAGCCAGGAGTTTGAGACCATCTTAGGCAGCAAAGTGGGATGCCCATCTGTAAAAAAAAAATTTTTTTTTAATTAGCTGGGCATGGTGGCACACTTGTAGTCTCGGTGGCTCAGGAGACTGAGGGAGGAGGATCTCTCGAGCCCAGGAATTCAAAGTTACAGTGAGTTATGATTGCACCACTACACTCCAGCCTGGGCAACAGAAAGAGACACCATCTCTGTCTCTCTGTTTCCCTCTCTCTCTCTTTTTAAGACAGGGTCTCACTCTGTCACCTTAGCCTCCTGGGTAGCTGGGATGAGAGGCGTGCACCACCACACTCAGCTAATTTTTGTATTTTTTTGTAGAGATGGGGTTTTGCCATGTTGCCCATGCTGGTCTCAGACTCCTGGGCTTAAGCAATCCTCCCACCTCAGCCTCCTGATAGCTGAAACTACAGGCGTATGCCATCACACATGTCTAATTTTTGTATTTTTTGTACAAACAGGGTTTTGCCATGTTGCCCAGGCTAGTCTCGGACTCCTGGGCTCAAGCAATATGCTCATCTCAGCCTCCCAAAGTGCTGGGATTATAAGTGTGACCCACCGTGCCCAGCCAGAGACATCCGTCTCTTAAAAAAAAAACACCAGGTGCGGTGGCTCACGCCTGTAATCCCAGCACTTTGGGAGGCCAAGACGGGCGGATCGCGAGGTCAGGAGATCGAGACCATCCTGGCTAACACGATGAAACCCCGTCTCTACTAAAAATACAAAAAATTAGCCAGGCGTAGTGGCAGGCGCCTGTAGTCCCAGCTACTCAGGAGGCTGAGGCAGGAGAATGGCGTGAACCCAGGAGGCGGAGCTTGCAGTGAGCCGAGATGGCACCACTGCACTCCAGCCTGGATGACTGAGCGAGACTCTGTCTCAAAAAAATCAAATAAAATAAAGAGGCCGGGCGCGGTGGCTCATGTCTGTAATCCCAGCACTTTGGGAGGCCAAGGCAAGCGGATCACTTGAGGTCAGGAGTTTGAGACCAGCCTGGCCAACATGGCAAAGCCCCGTCTCTACTAAAAATACAAAAATTAGCCAGGCGAGGCAGCGTGCGCCTGTAATCCCAGCTACTCAGGAGGCTGAGGCACGAAAATCACGTGAACCCGGGAGGTGGGCAGTGAGCCGAGATCATGCCACCACACTCCAGCCTGGGCAACAGAACGAGACTCCATCTCAAAAAAAAAAAGAAAGAGAAGATGAACAAATAGTGGTCCATCCATACAGTGGAATATTATTCGGCCATGAAAAGGAATGAAGCGCTGCCACATGGGTGGATGCTGGAAACATTATGCTAAGGAAAGGAAGGCAGACACAAAAGGCCACATGCTGTCTGATTCCATTTACATGGAGTGTCTAGAGGAGGCAAATCCTCTAGAGGAAAGCAGATTGGTGGTGTCCCAGGGGCTGGAGAGAAGGGGATGGGGAGTGGCTGCTTCGTGGGTATGGGGCATTCTTTTGGGATGATGAAATGTTTTGAAATTAGAGAGAGGAGGTGGCTGCTGACATTGTGATGTGCTGAATGCCGCTGAAGCGTGCACTCTAAAATGGTTCACTGTACAAGATGTAAATTTTGCTTCAATTTTTGAAAAATGGGAATGGGGCTGGGCACAGTGGCTCACGCCTGTAATGGGTGAACACTTGGGGAGGCTGAGGCGGGCAGGTCACCTGAGGCCAGGAGTTGGAGACCAGCCTGGCCAACATGGCAAAACCCCATCTCTACCAAAAATACAAAAAATTAGCCAAGCATGGTAGTGTGCACCTGTAATCCCAGCTACTCGGGAGGCTGAAGTATGAGAATTCCTTGAACCCAGGAGGTGGAGGTTGCAGTGAGCCAAGATCAGGCCACTGCACTACAGCCTGGGCAATAGAGCAAGACCCTGTATCAAAAAAAAAAAAAAAAGGAAAAAGGGCCGGGCGCAGTGGCTCATACCTGTAATCCCAGCACAATGGGAGGCTGAGGCGGGTGGATCACCTGAGGTCAGGAGTTTGAGACCAGTCTGTCCAACATGGCAAAGCCCCATCTCTACTGAAAGTACAAAAATTAGCTGGACGTGGTGGTGGGTGCCTGTAATCCCAGCTACTCAGGAGGCCGAGGCAGGAGAATCGCTTGAATCCGGGAGGCGGAGGTTCCAGTGAGCCAAGATCTCACCTCTGCACTCCAGCCTGGTTGACAAAGTGAAACTCTGTCTCAAAAAAAAAAAAAAAAAAAAAAAAAAAAAAAAACCCAAAGAAATAAAATGCGTATTATGTCAGGGCATGAGAAAAGCTGTATGAAAAAATTAAACAAGGTGAGGGGAGACAGCGTGGTGGGGGCTTTTTACAAACAGCGTGGTCAGGGAAGGCTTCTCCGCTAAAGGAAGTAGCTACAGGAAGGCAGGATGTGCCGGGCAGGGGAGACAGCAAAGGCAACAGCCTGAGAGGGGACCCTGCCTGGGGGTCAGTGTGGCTGAGTGGCCTGAGTGAGGAGCAGAAAGGGGAGGCGAGGTGGAAATGTGGGGGGCCAGGGCCTGGGCCTGGCTGGTGGCCCTGATGGCCCAGGGGCCTCTGTCTCCCCCCAACAGCCCTGCTCCTGGACATCATGACGGTGGCCGGCGTGCAGAAGCTCATCAAGCGGCGCGGCCCGTACGAGACGAGCCCCAGCCTCCTGGACTACCTCACCATGGACATCTACGCCTTCCCGGCCGGGCACGCCAGCCGCGCCGCCATGGTGTCCAAGTTCTTCCTCAGCCACCTGGTGCTGGCGGTGCCCCTGCGTGTGCTGCTGGTGCTCTGGGCCCTCTGCGTGGGCCTGTCCCGCGTGATGATCGGCCGCCACCACGTCACGGACGTCCTCTCCGGCTTTGTCATCGGCTACCTCCAGTTCCGTCTGGTGGAGCTGGTCTGGATGCCCTCCAGCACCTGCCAGATGCTCATCTCTGCCTGGTGAAGCGCCCGCCGGCCCACACAAGCCTCTGGGGGCAGGGCTGGCCCTAGAGAAGGGGCAGGGGGTGGCGAGGTGGCGGGCGTGGGTGGAACAGAGCGGCCAGGAGTCAGAGCGGCCACCCCCACCTCATCTTCCCCTCCTGGCTGGAGGCTGGCGAACCCAGGCCACCCCTCCCGGAGACAAGCGTGTTTGGCAGTGCCAGGCCTCTTGCCCCTTTGCTTGGACTCCAAGTCTCCTCTCTAGGCAGCCAGGACCCACCCATGGGGACAGCCCTATTTAGCTTCTGCTCTGGGAACAGCAAAAATCAGGATGGTGGGAGGGGCCGAGTCTTGTCTTGTCCTTTCATCATCATGACTGTTGAGTTCTTGGCTGTGCCCATCACGCCACAGCACGACGCCTGCCAAAATGCCCCCAACCTACTGCCTGATGCAGGTGCCATTGCCATTAGCGGTCATCGACAGCTTAGGGCAGCACTTTCCAACGGGTGCCCATGGGACACCAGCCTGCGAGATGCTTTTGGGGGAAAGGGGTTTTGTGGTTCAATAACTTTCGGAAGTGCTGCACACTCTGTCCCCAAGTTGGACATTCACAAAGGCCGTTATTGCCGTAAAGGCTCTGACAAGCCCTATAGAAAAGCTTCTTGCTAAACCTTCTTTAACCCATGTTTTCTAAACTTATTTGACCACAGAACCCTTTTCTTGGGGAACAGCTATTAACCCCCAAGGAATTATTGGTTCCTCAAGTGCGTTTTGGGAGCTGCTGCCAGAGAGCTAAAGGGCCTGGGGTGTGAGCTGACTCTCCTCTGGGGAGGCCGGGTGCACACGCCACAGCCCGAGGAAAGTGCTGGCCACCGCCCGTGGGCATCGATGAGGCTTTGGCCCCCAGGGGCCGGACTCCGTGTGACCTAATAGGTCGTTTCCAAGTCACCCGTTTTGGATGTGCATTTCATGTGACAATACAGATGACATGCAAATGGCCCTCTCCCGTGTGGCTTTTTCCTCATGCAATTCAATTGCTCTGGATGCATTCACCTTATTAACATGGAACGGGCGGAGGGGTGGGGTAATTCTTCGGCCCTAGACAGTGCCATGATGCCAGGGATCGGGGGCTCTGGGCACAGCTGGTCTGCTCCTGGACTTTACCAGGCTGGCCAGTCCCTTTGCCCTGGGGTGGCTGCCTGGTACTCCCTCAGCCCCCAGGCCCTGTGCTGGCTGCTACCTGGGGCCTGGGCAGGGACCGTTTGAGAGGCCCTCACTGTGATGCTGATGGACCAGAGACCCTCTCTCACTTCAGCCTCAGGCCTTCCCAAGCCCTCCGCCCCGACTCCTGGCTAACCTGATCCTCGTCCGCCAGGAAGTAGGCAAGTGACCAGTGAAACACAGCCAAGCCTAAGAGAGCTGCCGCGAGGGATGTGCAGGGCAGTGAGGGCTCAGAGAAAAGGCCCTGGAGCCCAGCCTTGGGGCATCAGCGCATAGGTCCCAGAAGGGGGAAGTCTGAGCCCAGATGGAGGGAATGGGTGGAGGGAGCCAGGAAGGAGGGGAAGAATGTTCTAGGCAGAGGGAGGAAAGGGGTGAGGGCCAGGAGGCAAGAGCCCCCAGGTCCTATCACAGATCGGCAGGAGGCTTGGGGACACCCGGAGCTCCCCGAACCACACTTTGAGTGTGAGCGCTCGTCTGCAGCTCTCAATAGCCCTCTGATGTGAGGTGATCGACATGCCCATTCCATAGATGGGAAAATTGAGGCCTGAGACTTGCCCAAGGTTGCCCAGCCAGGAGGCAGCACAGTGAGGTGGGAGCCAGTTTGCCTTGTTCTCGGCCGCATCCCGCCACTCTCTGCCTCTGTTTCCACGTGGCCTTCTCCCTGTGTCTGCGTCTGTCTTCCTGTCACTGTCTGTGATCCCCTTCCTATAAGAATAACAGTTATACTGGCTTACAGTCCATCCTACTCTAGTATAACTTCATCTTAACTCACATCTTTTTTTTTTTTTTTTTTTTGAGATGGAGTTTTGCTCTTGTTGTCCAGGCTGGAGTGCAGTGGCGCAATCTTGGCTCACTGCAACATCCGCCTCCTGGGTTCAAGGGATTCTCCTGCCTCAGCCTCCTGAGTAGCTGGGATTACAGGCATGTGCCACCATGCCCGGCTAACTTTTTTGTATTTTTAGTAGAGATGAGGTTTCATCATGTTGGCCAGGCTGGTCTCGAACTCCTGACCTCAGGTGATCCTTTCACCTCAGCCTCCTAAAGTGCTGGGATTACAGGCGTGAGCCACTGTGCCCAGCCCCCACATCTTAGTCACATCTACAAAGACCCTGTTTCCAAAGAAGATCACATCCATAGACACTGGGAATTAGAGCTTCAGCATCTCTTTCTGGGAGAACCCAATTCAGTCCGTAACCCACAGGACACTTTTGGGGGAGGAACACATCTTCCCCTCCTAGCTGGGTGGTCTCTGGAGTCTTTAGGATAAGGAAGGGTTGCTGAAGGATGGAGGGCTCTGGGCAAATCCTCTAAAGCTTGGAGGGGACGGTGGAGCCCCAAGAGCACCTGGCGCACCGTGAAGGGGAGAGGCTCCCAGAAGGCAGTCGGCGTGCTGCCTGGGAGCCACATCCTGTGTGATGGCAGCGGCAGCCGGTGCTGGCTCAGGACAATGCCAGCACTTCCTGCCGGTGCTGACGTCCCGTCCCAGAGCGTTGGTGTCGTTGTCTGTCAAACGGGGATGACAGGGGCCCCGTGGGGTTGATGTGTGACTCGGGGTGCCCTCCACCTGCAAACCTGACACATCACAGGTCATGCTCAGTGTTGGTCACAGGGCTCCTGGCGTTGTTGCCCCTGGTGGCAAGGAAGGAACTGGGACACGATGTGCTGACATGGCCGTTAGCACAAAGCAGACCCGGGATCTGACTCTTCCAGGCTTTCCCTGGACTTCATCACTCTCAGACACCGACGTGTCTCTAGAACCATCACTCTGCATCCCCTTTCCATGAAGACCCAAGGGCCATGGGAGGAGCTGCCAACCTCAGATCCCAGATGACAGGGAAGAGGCTGTGACTCCTTCAGGACTTGCCATCCTGCCTTGTTGCTGGACAGAGCCTGGGTGGGGAGGTCGATGCCATTTTGCATTGGTTGACAGCTTCCAGTGCACATCATGGAACAAGAGAGATGGTGTGTACCTGCTCAGGCATGGGTAATGCACTTTGTTGAGTAAAGCCAATAACTGTTTTGTTTTGTTTTTGTTTTTTCAAGAGTTGAGGTCTCTTGGCCAGGCATAGTGGCTCACGCCTGTAATCCCAGCACTTTGGGGGTCCAAGGTGGGTGGATTACCTAAGGTCAGGAGTTCGAGACTAGCCTGGCCAACATGGAGAAACCCCATCTCTACTAAAAATACAAAAATTAGCCAGACATGGTGGTGCATGCCTGTAGTCCCAGCTACTTGGGAGGCTGAGGCAGGAGAATCACTTGAACCAGGAGGCGGAGGTTGCAGTGAGCTGAGATTGAGCCACTGCACTCCAGCCTGGGTGACAGAGCGAGACTCCGTCTCAGAAAAAAAAAAAAAAAAAAAGAAGAAGAAGAGTTGGAGTCTCGCTCTGTTACCCAGACTGCAGTGCAGGGGCACGATCACACCTCACTGCAGTCTCAAACTCCTGGGCTCAAACAATCCTCCCGCCTCAGCCTCCCAAGTAGCTAAAGGCATGCACCACCACACCGGCTAATATTTTTATTTTTTTACTTTTTTTTAAAATTGAGATAGAGTCTCACTCTGTCACCCAGGCTGGAGTGCAGTGGTGTGATCTCAGCTCACTGCAACCTCCGCCACCAAGGTTCAATCGATTCTTATGCCTCAGCCTCCCGAATAGATGGGACTACAAGCACCACCACGCCCAGCTAATTTTTTTTGTATTTTTAGTAGAGACAGGTTTTGCCATGTTGACCAGGCTGGTCTGGAACTCCTGACTTCAGGTGATCCACCCGCCTCAGCCTCTCAAAGTGTTGGGATTACAGGTGTGAGCCACCACGCCCAGCCTATTTTTATTTTTGTAGGGATGAGATCTCACTATTTTGTCCAAGCTGGTCTCCTAGCCTCAAGCAATCCTCCTGCCTTGGCCTCCCAAAGTGCTAGGACTGCAGACGTGAGCCACCGCGCCTGGTGATTGACATGCCCATTCCATTTTTTTATGGTGAATTATACATGATTTTTGAATGGCAGCCGCTTCTGCATATCTGAGACACACCCCACGTGGCCCTGGCGCATTTCCCTTCTAAATATGGCTGGGTTGGATTGAACAACGAATGTGTTCTGGATTCTGGCATCAATGTCCATGAGGGATGCTGGTGTCTGTTTCTTGATTTGGTTACCAGGGGCAGGCTGGCCTCTTCTACACTTCTGAAAGAATCTGTGTAAAATTGGTATCATCTCCTTCTCCAGCCCTCAGATCCCAGATCTCTGCTCTCCCTCTAGTTCCAGCCTCTTGCAAAGCACCCTCTTCTTAGAATTGACATTCTGTTCTCAGCCATGATTTGAGGGGAGGAGTGAAGAGCGGGGCTCACACCTCCCACGGGCCTGGCCATACGTCTTCCATATGTGTCATTGTGATGACCTTATCCCTATTTTACAGATGAGGAAACTGAGGCTCAGAGAGGGAAACCCATTTCCCTAAGGTTGCCCAGCTTGGATGTGGTGGAGCCAGGATCAGAAACCAGGCCTGAGTGGCCCCAGCGCAGAGAAGCCCTCCGGAAGACAGAAACGCAGGGCACCCGCCAACCTCGGAATGAGGCTGAACTGGCGAAGCGACAGGCACAGGGAGGCGGGATGGGGGTGACTTGTTTTTCTATTTTTTAAACAGAACCAAACCCCACCGCGCCAGGCGGCTGCCTGTGCTGCCTCCGGCAGTCTTTGGCCAGACTCTGTGGGCCTCACCCTGGGCTGCAAGTTGGGTGTGGCAGGAATGGGGCCTGCTCCGTCCTTACGTGACCCCGAGAGGTCTATACAAAGGTGACACCTCCTCCACCCCTGCTTGTTCCCACCCACACCCTCTCCTGTCATCAGACAGACCCAGCCCTATGGATTCCGGCCTTCTCTGCACCAGCTGGGATCCCTGGAGCCTGGCGCTAACCCTGATTTTGCCCCATGCCCTTCCACCACCTGGTTTCTTCCTTCCCACCCCACCCACCCGGCATCACCTCCTCGCCACCCCAGCTGTCATGGCCAACATAACCACTTCCCAGAATACAGAAGAACGGGAGCCTGGAGACAGCCTGCAGGGATCATGACTATGGAAAATGGAAAGGGTGGTTTTCAATGTGTCATTTCGCCCCCAAGCAAGAGCCGTGAAGGTCTAAGGAGCGTGGCAAACTGCGGAAATGCATGGCTTGTCCTCAGTTCTGATCTGGCCAAGGAGTCTGGGTCTGGAGGGTGGACACCCGCAGCACAGCGTGTTGAGCAGGGTCTGTCAGGGGGGGGTCTCTTTACTTTTTTTTTTTCTTTTTTGAGACAGAGTCTCACTCTGTCGCCCAGGCTGGAGTGCAGTGGTACAACCTCGACTCACTGGAATCTCTACTTCCCAGGTTCAAGCTATTCTCCTACCTCAGTTTCCCAAGTAGCTGAGACTACAGACGGTGCCACCATGCCCGGCTAATTTTTTTTTCCCTTGAGACAGAGTCTCGTTCTGTTGCCCAGGCTGGAGTGCAGTGGCGAGATCTCGGCTCACTGCAAGCTCTGCCTCCCGGGTTCTCTCCATTCTCCTGCCTCAGCCTCCCGTGTAGCTGGGACTACAGGTGCCCACCACCACACCTGGCTAATTTTTTTGTATTTTTAGTAGAGACGGGGTTTCACCATTTTTTTTTTTTTTTTTTGAGACGGAGTCTCGCTCTGTCGCCCAGGCTGGAGTGCAGTGGCGGGATCTCGGCTCACTGCAAGCTCCGCCTCCCGGGTTCACGCCATTCTCTTGCCTCAGCCTCCCAAGTAGCTGGGACTACAGGCGCCCGCCACTACGCCCGGCTAATTTTTTGTATTTTTAGTAGAGATGGGGTTTCACCGTTTTAGCCGGGATGGTCTCGATCTCCTGACCTCGTGAACCACCCGCCTCGGCCTCCCAAAGTGCTGGGATTACAGGCGTGAGCCACCGCGCCCGGCCGGGGTTTCACCATATTAGCCAGGATGGTCTCGATCTCCTGACCCCGTGATCCGCCCACCTCACACCTGGGATTAGGTGTGAGGGCTACCGCGCCCGGCCTAATTTTTTGTATTTTTAGTAGAAATGGGGTTTCTCCACGTTGGCCAGGCTGGTCTCAAACTCCTGACCTCATGTGATCCGCCCGCCTCCACCTCCCAAAGTGCTGAGATTACAGGCACAAACCACTGTGCCTAACCTCCGCTTTTTTGTTTTTTGGTTTTTTTGAGACAGAGTCTCGCTCTGTCACCCAGGCTAGAGTGCAATGGTACGATCTTGGCTCACTACGACCTCCGCCTCCCAGGTTTAAGGGATTCTCCTGCCATAGCCTCCCGAGTAGCTGGGACTACCTGCGTGTGCCACCACGTCCAGCTAATTTTTGTATCTTTAGTAGAGACCGGGTTTCACCATGTGGGCCAGGCTGGTCTTGAACTCCTGACCTCAAGTAATCTGCCTGTCTTGTCCTCCCAAAGTGCTGGGATTACAGGCATGAGCCCGCTCCAGGCTGGGGGTCTCTTTTCAAGCAGAAAGGCCAGCTCGTGGAGTAGTGGGGAGAAGCAAGGGAGAGCCTTGAGCACACAACCCAGAACACACAGCCCCCTTGAGGTGGCAGGCAGGGTCCCACCTCCAGCTGTGGGCCACAGGGCTTCACTCTCTGCATGTCCAGCCACATCTCTCTCTAAGCCTCAGCTCTGTGCTTTGGGAAGGTCACTGGCTGGAAGCCCAGGGTAGGCTGAGGGGGCCAGGCTGGAGCTGGGCTGGGCTGGGTCGTGTGAGGGAAAGAGCACATAAATGGGAGTCGGGCAGACCTGGGTTCAGATTCCGGCCCTGACAGGTTGCTGACCCTTCTGAGCTTCAGCTTCTCCGTCTGTGAAATGGGGCTGATACTTGGCTTGCACAGTTGTGAGGGCTGGAGACAGGGCAATGGGACCACCCAGCCCGGCGCAGAGGGTTGCTGGAGAATGAGCCTCTTAGGCCACTGCCCCCTGGAAAGGACCCTGAGCGTTCCCTGGGCATTTAGGGACACTCTGGGGCTTGGACAGGTGGGCAGCAGGAGGGACTTGGAGAACCTCCAGGCAGGCAGCTCACCCATGTCATGATGGCACCTGTCCCCTGGCCACGGTTTGCCTGGGTACCTGGGTGTTTGGTGGCAGGGACAGGGTGGAGGTGTGTGGAGGAATCTCCGTTCCTGCCCCTGTGAGCCTGGCTTTTCTGGGAAGCTCTCATAAGAGTGTCCAAGGTATAAGCACCTCTCAGGGGTGGCGAGGGTGTTGCGTTGCCTCCTTCTACAGACGCAAATGCCACCTAATCACACAGCTCCCTCTGCAAACCCGCTCCCATCTCCATAGCAACTACAGGGCTTCGGCGCTCTTGGGCTCCTGGTCACTGTGGTTCAACTCCTAAGAGAGGGAGGGACCCCGGGTTTGTCCCCATCCAGCTCCAGGAAAGAGACGTTGGCTCGAGGAATCCGTCTCAAGGTCAAAGAGGGCGAGGTGAGGGCAGGGCGGGGACAGGCAGGCTGCAAACAGATCCGCTCTCTGCTGCTCTGGTCAGGAGGATTCTGGGAAGAGAGGACGGAGGGACAGAGATGCAGCTCTGGGTGGGAGGGCCACAGAGCTCAGCGTCCACTCATCCTGTGTGCGGCTCCCACCCGCCCCATCCAAAAAGTCTCAGGGAGGCAGCGGCACAAGGGCTGGCTCTGGGCAGTTTCCTCATCTGTAAGATGCGTCGATGCTCTGCGCCAGCGTATGGAGAGGCAGCCGCTGCAGTCTGTGCCCCCCACAGTCTGTACATTGAAATCCCAACCAAAACACGAGGGTATGAAGAGGTGGGCGTTTGGGGTCATTAGGTCATGAGGGTGGGCCCACACGACGGGATTAGTGCCCTTACAAAAAAGGCTCCGGATGCCGGGCGTTGTGGCTCACGCCGGTAATCCCAACGCTTTGGGAGGCTGAGGTAGGCGGATCACTTGAGGTCAGGAATTCAAGACCAGCCTGGCCAACATGGCAAAACCCTGTCACTACTGAAAATACAAAAATCAGCCCTGGGCAGGGTGGGGCATGCCTGTAATCCCAACTACTCAGGAGGCTGAGGGAGGAGAGTTGCTTGAAGCCAGGAGATGGAGGTTGCAGTGAGCCGAGATAGCACCATTGCACTCCAGCCTGGGTGACAAAGCAAGTCTCCATCTAAAAAAAAAAGAGGCTCCAGAGAGACCCCTTCCCCTTCCCCCAGGTGAGGATGCAGTGAGGAGGCCCCATGTATGAACCTGAGAGCGGACCCTCACCAGACGCCAAATCTGTGGGCACCTTGATCCTGGACTTTCCAGCCTCCAGAACTGTGAGAAGTCAATTTCTTCTTCTTCTTCTTCTTTTTTTTTTTGAGACAGAGTCTCGCTCTGTTGCCCAGGCTGGAGTGCAAGGGCGCGATCTCGGCTCACCACAACCTACGCCTTCCAGGTTCAAGCGATTCTCCTGCCTCAGCTTCCCAAGTAGCTGGGATTACAGGCGCCTGCCACCACGCCCGGCTAATTTTTGTATTTTTATTAGAGACAGGGTTTCACCATGCTGGCCAGGCTGGTCTGGAACTCCCAGCCTCAGGCGATCCGCCAGCCTCAGTCTCCCAAAGTGCTGGGATTACAGGCATGAGCCACCACACCCAGCCTAATTTTAAAAAATTTTTTGTAGAGATAAGGTCTAGCTCTGTTGCTCACGCTGGTCTTCAACTCCTGGGCTTAAGCAATTCTCCCGCCTTGGCCTCCCAAAATGCTAAGATTGTAAGTGTGAGCCACCTCGCCTGGCCCAATCCAAATTCTTTTTTTTTTTTTTTTTTTTTTGAGATGGAATCTTGCCCTGTCGCCCAGGCTGGAATGCAGTGGCGCAATCTCAGCTCAATCTCTGTCGCCCAGGCTGGAATGCAGTGGTGCAATCTCTGCCTCCCAGGTTCAAGTGATTCTCCTGTAGCACCTGCCACCATGCCCAGCTAATTTTTTGTATTTTTAGTAGAGACGGGGTTTCACCATGTTAGCCAGACTGGTCTCGAACTCCTGACCTCAAGTGATCCTCCTGCCTTGGCCTCCCAAAGTGCTGAAATTACAGGCATGAGCCACTGCACCCGGCCCCCCAATCCAAATTCTTATGCATGTACACACACACATTCTGAATAGGGAACTTCTCCATACTGTTTGCTAATCTGCTCTTCCACATGCTAAGATGTCATGGACCTCTCTCCCTGTAGTTTCCATCCTCACCTATAGTATTCCCTTGCACTGAGCCCTGATCACCTTCCTAACCAGTATCTGATGGGTGGATGGCCCCCAAACCCACATGGCTGGAAATGCAGGGAGTAAAGCTCTGTGACCCACACCGTGAGGTGGGGCCCTACCTGCCTCCTCGAGGGGGCTGTGTGCCCAGGGCTCTCCCTTGCTTTTCCATTAGCCTTCTCAAAGCTTTTCACGGCGCCCAAATGCAGTGGCTCACACCTATAATCCTAGCACTTTAGGGGGCCAAGGTGGGAGGATCACTTGAGCCCAGGAGTTTGAGAACATAGTGAGACCTCATCTCTACTAAAAACCAAACCCCCAGCCAAACCTGGGGACAGATCCACAGTGCAGAGACTGCCCCGGGGCATGGCCTACATTATGCCACTGGCCTGGCTGCTCTGCTTCTGGGCCCTATAGGAAGAGCACTGTGCGAGGAGTCCACCCTAGAGGAGATGCATTGGCACAGACCCCATCATGGCTTCCTGAGGCCCTGCCCAAAGGAAGCAGCTTCCCAGGCCAAGGCAATTCTCACCAGGACAAAGCTCCCCGAGTCCCCAGCCCTTCCCTGCCTGGGGAAAATCCGGGAGGGTCAGGGAAGGGGATGGCAGGAGCTAGAAAAATCCACCAACTCCCACATCCGCCGCCATCTGGCTCCAGGAAGAAACAGAACATCTGGCACCAGCTTTGGCCCATGGCGTTTATGTAAGCCATATGTGACCCCACGTGGCCCAGGCGGCCCCTCACAGGCTGGTGCCCTGGCCTCGTCCCACCTGACTTTTCCTCACGTGTGAAATAAGCGTGATAATCACGGGGCAGTCAGGGGGCGAGATGATGCTCAGAAAGCCCTGCTGCTCCCCTGAGCCCGAGCGCACAATCACTCACACACGCAGTCTCAGCCGCTGGCCTCCGTCTCCTCATATGTAAAATTATGTACGTGAGATCTCCAAGCATCCCTCCAGCTACAACAGTCCTTCAATAGTCCCTCCGTACATATCCACAGGTATTTCCATATCTAAACTTCATGCATGCATACACGTAGATGCAAACATGAGAACACATGTGTCCATATTTGCACACAGTCACATTTATACATGCACCTAGATATAAAATGCACCTTTCGCCATGGGCCAAAAGCCAGGGCCAGTTGTCCCATTTCTTCCTGGAGACAGATGGCAGTAGGTCTGGGAGTTCCTGGGTTTTTCTAGCTCCTGCCATTCCCTTCCCTGACCCTCCTGGTACACACACATCCATGTGTTCTGGTACACACACATCCATGTGTATATGTACACGCTTAGCTTTACCTACATTCACGCACAAATACTTTTTTTTTGAGACAGGTTCTTGCTCTGTCACCCAGCCTGTAGTGCAGTGGTGCAGATCTTGGCTCACTGCAACCTCCGCCTCCCAGGTTCAAGTGATTCTCATGCCTCAGCCTCCCAAGTAGCTGGGATTACAGGCATGCGCCACCACACCCAGCTAATTTTTGTATTTTTAGTAGAGACGGGGTTTCACCATGTTGGCCAGGCTGGTCTCGAACTCCTGACCTCAGCTGATCTGCCTGCCTCAGCCTCCTAAAGTGCTGGGATTACAGGCGTGGGCCACTGCGGCCGGCCGTGCACAGATGCTTACACATATGTGTGTTCTTGCACTGCTGTACACACTCACATGCCTGCATGTTCTCTTGAATGCACAAATTTACATGTATTCTGCCAGATTTAGCAAATCAATATGCAGGATGCATTATTTGGGACATATGTATACTAAAATACTATTTATCTGAAATTCAGTTTCACGGAGTGTCCTATATTTTATCCAACAATCTAACATGGATGTATAACATGCTCACACACGAAAACTCATGAAGCCATCAGGGTCCCCGGGGCCCAGCCCAGGACATGCTGTTTTGCCAGAAGAATGTCCAAGCCCTTCTCTTTGTCTGATAATTAAATCCACAGATGCTCTCCTGGCCGCAGCGCAGCCCCGGGGCCCCATTTGCCGCATTTAATAACCTGGCCCTTGGTGGGGAGGGGCCAGCTTCCAACAGGAGAGCCTTGGTTTGCTGGGATGCGAACAAAGTTTCTGTCAGCCGGGCGCGGTGGCTCACACCTATAATCCCAGCACTTTGGGAGGCTGAAGCAGGCAGAGCACCTGAGGTCGGGAGTTTGAGACTAGCCTGACCAACATGGTGAAACCCAACCTCCACTAAAAAGACAAAAATTAGCCAGCGTGGTGGCTAATGCCTATAATCCCAGCTATTCAGGAGGCTGAGGCAAGAGAATCGCTTGAACCCGGGAGGCCGAGGTTGCAGTGAGCCAAGATCGCGCCACTGCACTCCAGCCTGGGCAACAAGAGCAAAACTCCATCTCAAAAAAAAAAAAAAAAAAGTTTTTCTCGCCAGCAGCACAGCTGTGAAGTCTGGCAGCAGCGGGAGCTCTGGGAACCCTGGGGCCCCACCCGTGAGCCGAGGCCTGGGGCCTGGCCTCCAGGAGGGGTGTCCAGCTCGGGTGAGGGATGCAATCTCAGCCCCCAGGGGCCGGCTTGGCCTCTTCTCCATCCGGAGCTGCTTCTGCTGGTGGGAGACAGGTCAGGACAGGACAAGGATGCTGTGAAAGCTGCTTCCTCCACTCAAATCCTTCAGCGGGAAGGGCAAGGAACAAGGTCCTCAGGGGACCTTAGCTGGGAGAGAGGGAGTCACAGAAGGCAGGACACAGCCCTGCCCCAGCCATGAGACCTGGGTGAGACCTGGGCCCTCCTGTCCTCTCCACTCCCGCGCCTCCCCTTAGGAAAGAAGAATTCTGATGCTGAGCCCTGGGCCGGCAGATGCGCGATGAGTCTCTTAAGGGCCTCACAGGGAACAGGGTGAATTTCGTTAAGCAATCATCTATTTCCCTGATTAGTATGTGTTTTGGTTACACAAGAATGCTTTTTTATGATTTAAAAAATTAGGGGCCGGGCGCGGTGGCTCACGCCTGTAATCCCAGCACTTTGGGAGGCCGAGGTGGGCGGATCACGAGGTCAGGAGATCAAGGCCATCCTGGCTAACACCGTGAAATCCCATCTCTACTAAAAAATACAAAAAAATTAGCCCGGCGTGGTGGCGGGCGCCTCCCAGCTACTCGGGAGGCTGAGGCAGGAGAATGGCGTGAACCCGGGAGGCAGAGCTTACAGTGAGCCGAGATCGTGCCACTGCACTCTAGCCTGGGCAACAGAGCCGAGACTCGGTCTCAAAAAAAAAAAAAAAAAATTAGAACATACAAGGAAAACAAAAGCAAAAATATTTTAGTTATTCCTTTCGGATGTTTTTCGACACGTTTGTAAAAATGTAGACATATTTTGGAGGAAAAAAAAGCAATTATATTCTATAGTTTGTGACCTACTTCTTTTTCACTTACTAACATATTGTGAACAAGTTTCTGCATCAAAAAGTAAACACCAGCTGGGTGCAGTGGCTCATGCCTGTAATCCCAGCACTTTGGGAGGCCCAGGCAGGCAGATCACTTGAGGTCAGGAGTTCGACACCAGCCTGGCCAACATGGCAAAACCTCATCTCTACCAAAAAATACAAAAAATTAGCTGGGCGTGGTGGCACACACCTATAATCCCAGCTACTCGGGAGGCTGAGGTGGGAGAATCACTTGAACACAGGAGGCAAAGGTTGCAGTGAGCAAAGATCGAGCCACTGAACTCCAGCCTGGGTGACAGACTGAGACCCTGTCTCAAAAAAAAAAAAAAAACAAAAACTAAACACCAGCCGGGTGCGGTGGCTCACACCTGTAATTCCAGCACTTTGGGAGGTCGAGGCAGATAGCTTAAGCCTAAGAGTTCAAGACTAGCCTGGCCAACATGGCGAAACCCTGTCTCTACTAAAAATAGAAAAATTATCTGTGTGTTGTGGTGTAAGCCTATAATCCTAGCTATTCAGGAGGCTGAGGTGGGAGGATAGCTTGAACCTGGGAGGTGGAGGTTGCAGTGAGCCAAGATCATGCCACCCACTGCATTCCAGCCTAGGTGACAAAGTGAGACCCTGTCTCAAAAAACAAAACACCTATATCTCGACTTGTCACAGCCTCACAGTGGTCCCTGGTATGGAAGTCATTGCTTTTTTTTTTTACATTGCTCCTGGTTTTGTTTTGTTTAAATTGAGGTAAAATTCACATAAAAATATTAGGTTGGTGCAGCCGGGCACAGTGGCTCACGCCTGTAATCCCAGCACTTTGGGAGGCCAAGGCCGGTGGATCACCTGAGGCCAGGAGTTCGAGACCAGCTTGGCCAACATGGTGAAACCCCGTCTCTACTACAAATACAAAAAAATTAGCTGGGTGTAGTGGCAGGTGCCTGTAATCCCAGCTACTTGGAAGGCTGAGTCAGGAGAATCTCTTGAGCACGGGAGGCAGAGGTTGCAGTGAGCCAAGATGGCACCACTGCACTCCAGCCTGGGCAACAAGAGCGAAACTCCATCTCAAGAAAAAAAAAATAGGTTAGGTTGGTGCAAAAGTAATTGCAGGTTTTGCCATTACTTTCAGTGGCTAAAACTGCAAATACTTTTGCACTAACATGATACAATAAACTATTTTTTTAATTTTATTTATTTATTTGAGACAGTCTCACTCTATTGCCCAGGCCAGAGTGCAATGGCACAATCTCGGCTCACTGCAACCTCTGCCTCCCAAGTTCAAGCGATTCTCCTTCCTCAGCCTCCCGAGTAGCTGGGATTACAGGTGTGCAACACCATGACCGGCTAATTTTGTATTTTCAGTAGAGACGAGGCTTCACCATGTTGGTCAGGCTGGTCAACTCCTGACCTCAGGTGACCTGCCTGCCTTGGCCTCCCAAAGTGCAGGGATTACAGGCGTGAGCCACTGCGCCCAGCCCAATGAACTATTTGAGAGTGTATGATTCAGTGGTATTAGTACATTTACAGTGCTGTGCAACTACCACCTCTACTTCGTTCCAAAATATTTTCATCGCCTCAAAAGGAAACCCCATCCCGCCTCCCCCAGGCCCTAATCTGCTTTCTGTCTCTATGGATTTGCCTCTTCTAGATACTTCATGTAAATGGAATCAGACAATATGTGACCTTTTGTGTCTGGCTTCTTTCCCTTCGTGTAATGTTTTCAAGATTCATCCATGGGAGTGCACGGATCAATCAGTGCTTCATTCCTTTTTATAGCTCAATAATATTCCACTGTATTGATAATGCTATTACCCAGTCATCGGTTGATGGGCATTAAGTGTGGTTTGCACCTTTTGGCTATTGTGAACACAGTTGTTGTGGTCATTGAGGTACAAGCATTGTTGAGTGCCTGTTTTGGGTTCTCTTGGTGTATACCTGGGAGCGGAATCGCTGGTTCCTGTGGTAACTCTATGTGTCACATTTTGAGGGACCTTGAACTGTTTTCCATAGCAGCTGCACCATTTTCCATTCCCATCAACAAAGTACAACAGCTCCAGTTTCTCCACATCGTTGCCAACACTCCTTATTAACTTTTTTTCTTTTTTTTTTGACATAGAGTTTTGCTCTTGACACCCAGGCTGAAGTGCAGTGGCATGATCTCGGCTCACTGCAACATCCACCTCCCAGGTTCAAGCGATTCTCCTGCCTCAGCCTCCCGAGTAGCTGGGATTACAGGCACCTGCCACCACGCCTGGCTAATTTTTGTATTTTTAGTAGAGACGGGGTTTCACTATGTTGTCCAGGCTGGTCTCGAACTCCTGACCTCCAGTGATCCGCCTGCCTCAGCCTCACAAAGTGCTGGGATTACAGGCGTGAGCTACCGCACCCAGCCAGAGACAGGGCCTTTAAGGAGTTTATGACGTTAAAACGAGGCTGTCAGGGTGGGCCCTGATCCAATCTGACTGGTGTCCTTCTAAGTAGAGGAAACTTGGTCACACAAAGAGACACCAGGGATGCACAAGCACAGGGGAAATGGCTTGTGAGGACACGGCGAGAAGGCAGCCATCTGCAAGCCACGGAGAGAGGCCTCAGGTGAAACCAAACCTGCTGAACTTTGATCTTGGACTTCCAACCTCCAGAGCTGTGAGAAAATAAAATTTCTGTTGTGTGAGCCACACAGTCTATGGGATTGTATTATGACAGCCCTGGGAAACGAAACACTCCTCTCAGCTTGTTCACCATCTGATGTGTTCCCTGCGCATGCCCAGCCCCACAGTCCGCCCTTCCTTTGTCAGGGATCTGAGGTGTGCAGAGCCCCACACCTGTGCCGGTCAGCAGCTGCCATGTAGATAGTGGGACCCTGATGCTGCACAGAAGGTCCCTGGAAGCAGGTGGCCCCTCTCAGGATGCGTAGAATACAGCAAAGGCTTTAATTATTTTTTTTAAATACAGAAGCTCAGGTCCCACCTGAAGAGGTTTGGGTGTAATTGGTGTGGGGCGTGGGCTCCTCACGGGGATTGTTTTCCAAGCTTCCCAGGTGATTTCAGTACAGCCAAAGTTAAGAATCGATCCTGGAGCCGGGCACGGTGCCTCATGCCTGTAATCCCCGCACTTTGGGAGGCTGAGGAGGGTGGATCACGAGGTCAGGAGATCGAGATCATCCTGGCTAACACGGTGAAACCCCGTCTCTACTAAAAGTACAAAAAAATTAGCCGGGCGTGGTGGCGGGTGCCTGTAGTCCCAGCTACTCGGGAGGCTGAGGCAGGAGAATGGCATGAACCCGGGAGGCGAAGCTTGCAGTGAGCCGTGATCCTACCACTGTACTCCAGCCTGGGCAACAGAGCGAGACTCCGTCTCAAAAAAAAAAAAAAAAAGAATCAATCCTGGGCCAGGTAAGCCAGCTCACACCTATGATCCCAGCACTTTAGGGGGCCAAAGCCGGAGGGTCCCTTGAGTCCAGGAGTTCAAGACCAGCCTGGGAAATATAATTAGACTCATAGCAAGATCATGCAGCTGCAGTCAGCCATGATGGTGCCACTGCACCCCAGCATGAGCAACATGGCAAGACCCCATTTCTACTAAAAATCAAAACATAGCCCAGCATGGCGGCATGCACCTACAGTCCCAGCTACTCAGGAGGCTGAGGTAGGAGGATTGCTTGAACCCAGGAAGTTGAGGCTGCAGTGAGCCATGAATGCACCACTGCACTCCAGCCTGGGTGACAGAGCAAGACTCTGTCTCAAAAAAACAAAAAACAAGAATCAACCTAACCTCCAGGCCCCTCAGGTGGAAAGGCCAAGGGAATCCATCCAGGTATAGCCCAAGGCTCTGAGTCCGGGAAAGGATGGGGTAGTTTGTAGGGCAAAGGTCCTTCTGCCTCTGACCTGGTTCCTGGATAGCTTTGCCAAGAGGGGCCAGGTCAGGTCTCTCACGGGAGGGATCAGCAGCCCCTCACTCTTCAATGATCACATTCAAAATCTACGTGGGGGGTTGTGTTGAGATCTCAAAGGGGAGAAGGAGGAAGCCTCCATGCACTCCAGGGGGAACGGAGACCCTCAACCTTGTTCCATCTCCCCTTCCTTCCTGCCCCAAACCCAAGCAGCTGCAACATTCCACTCCACGCCCAGCAGGCACGGGGTCCGGCTAGGATTCTGTTTCTTGGGAGAGACGGGCCACGGGACTGCGTCCTGGTTTTCAGGGGCCTGGGGCGCCTGACTCTACCACCCGCGCTGTGGAGGCCGAGGCAAGGCTCGCCTGCAGATATGGGCTTGTGTTTGTTCTGTTCCTGGAAGACATGCGCTGCCACCGAGTCACTGGGCTTTTGACTCAGCTGTGTTTCCTCCTGCAGATGAACCCAAACCCAGGCTTTGGAGTCAGCAGAGCCAGCTGGGGCATCAGCCTCCCACTGGCGTCTGTGTGACTTTGGGCAATTCTCTTGACCTCTCTGAGCTTCGGTTTTCGGTCTCTCTGAAATGGGAGGAACCAACTAGACCAGCGTCTCAATCCCTGGACTCAAGCCTTGGACATCTCAAGTGGGTGAGTCCTTTCCCTTTTTGGCTGCAGAGTTGGAGCTGGGCTTCGGTTACTTGTAACCAGCACAGCTGAGTGCAGGTGGGTTGCTCTCTGCAAATGGCTGTGGAAATGAAGTGTATGAGCTTTAACCAGGGTGGGACTCAGAGGGCTCATGGGGTAACGGGCTGTTCCCCACTCCACACCCAGGAAAGGGGAAAGCCCAGTGGCCCCTTGCATTCTGGCTTCAAGTCCCTGCACAAAGCACAGTAAGAATAGCTCCCACTGATGGGAGCCCACTAGGCCATTGTTGACACTTCCCCGAACTCTCCAAGTGGGCTGTTATCATCTCGGCTCGCTAAGCAGAGTCAGGAGGTGGCTGAGCTGCAATTCTTGCTAAGAGACCACAGAGGTCCAGAAGTGGATTAATCATAATCTTTGGGTCATCACAACTCTCATTAATGAGCCATGCTGCTTTAGGTGTTTGCTTTTAAGATGGTTTTTTTGGCTCACGCCTGTAATCCCAGCACTTTGGGAGGCCGAGGTGGGTGGATCATGAGGTCAGGAGATCAAGACCAAGGTGAAACCCCGTCTCTACTAAAAATACAAAAAATTAGCTGGGTGTGGTGGCGGGCGCCTGTAGTCCCAGCTACTCGGGAGGCTGAGGCAGGAGAATGGCGTGAACCCGGGAGGCGGAGCTTGCAGTGAGCCGAGATTGCGCCACTGCACTCCAGCCTGGGCAACAGAGTGAGACTCCGTCTCAAAAAAAAAAAAAAAAAAGATGGTTTTTTGTGCTTTTTTTTTTTAAGAGATGAGGTCTCCCCCTGTCACCCCTGCTGGAGTGCAGTGACACGATCCTAGTTCACTGCAATCTCAAACTCCTGGGCTCAAGCAATCCCCTGACCTCAGCCTCCCGAGAAGCTACATTGAGTCTCTAGATCAGTTTATGAAGAACTGACATCTCTGTAATATCAGGCTTTCCTGTCCTTAAGAATGGGTTATCTCGGCCGGGCGTGGTGGCTCATGCCTGTAATCCCAGCACTTTGGGAGGCCGAGGTGGGTGGATCACGAGGTCAGGAGTTCAAGACCAGCCTGGTCAAGATGGTGAAACCTCGTCTCTACTAAAAATACAAAAAAATTAGCCAGCCGTGGTGGCAGGCGTCTGTAATCCCAGCTACTCAGGAGGCTGAGGCAGAGAATTGCTTGAACCCAGGAGGTGGAGGTATAATTGCCTGCCTAATTCTTGCCTACGTTTCATTATACTTATTCTTAGGTACTTATTATAATTTTCATACTCTTGTGAACATTATCCTTTTTTTTTCAAGGATATTTTCCAATTGTTTCTTCCTGGTATACAGAAATGAAATTAGTTTTTGTATATTTTTCTTATATCTAGGTATCTTGCCAAACTCTCCCTCTGGGGTTCCATATAGCTGGTAGTATCTGAAAATAATGTGTTTTATTTTCTCTTTCCCAATCCTTATGTTTCGAATTTATTTTTTCTAGTCTTAATGTTAGAGTGGAAGCTCCAATACTCTGTTGAACAGAAGTGATAATAGCAAACAGAACATTCTTGTTTCCAGTCTCAGAAGGAATGCTGCTAATGTTTATCCTCCCATTTCCGACTTGCCAAGAGGCTTAATCACAAATTTATGTGAACTTCTAAAAATACTTCCTCAGCATCTATTAAAATGATCCTGTAGTTTTTCCTCCTTTCATCAGTTAATACGATAAGTAACACTGATAGACTTTTCTTTTTTTTTTTTTTTGAGACGGAGTCTTGCTCTGTCACCCAGGCTGGAGTGCAGTTGCACCATCACAGCCCACTGCAGCCTCAAACTCCTTGACTCAAATGTTCCTCCCACTTCAGCCTCCCAGGTAGCTAGGGTTACACGAGCATGCCACCATTCCAGGCTAATTTTTTTTTTTTCATTTTTTTAGAGACAGGAGTTTCACTGTGTTGCCCAGGCTGGTCTCAAACTCCTGGCCTCAAGCAGACCTCCCACCTCAGCATCCCAAAGTGCTGGGATTACTTGGTGTGAACCACCATGCCTGGCCCCACCCTTTCTATTATTGATAATGCTTTTAAAGTATAAGACAACTTTGCCTCATATCAAAATATATCTTTATATCTTTTTATATATATATATAATAGATAGATAGATAGATAGATAGATAGATAGATAGATAGGCTAGGCGTGGTAACTCACGCCTGTAATCCCAGCATTTTGGGAGGTTAAACGGGCAGATCACTTAAACTCAGGAGTTGGAGAGCAGCCTGGGCAACATGGTGAAACTATGTCTCTGAAAATTATTTTTAACCTTTTTGGATCCTTAAATTTTTGGTGAGCTCTCTTTTTGTGTGTGTGCAGATCTCTTTTAAGCTTCATCAATCTGGAATTTTTTTTTCCTACCCAGTCTCTGAATCTCTTACTTATTGATTTACAGACAGGGTCTCAGTCTGCCACCCAGGCTGGAGTGCGATGGTGCAATCACAGCTCACTGCAGCCTCCACCTCCCACTTCAGTCCCCTCTGTGCCTGGGACGACAGGCATGCACCACCATGCCTGGCTAATTTTTGGGTTTTTTGTTTGTTTTGTTTTGTTTGAGACAGGGTCTAGTTCTGCCACTCAGGCTGGAGTGCAGTGGCGTGACACAGCTCACTACAACTTCTGCCTCCTGGGCTCAAGCAATCCTCCCATCTTGCCTCCCGCGTAGCTGGGACTACAGGCATGCGCCACCACACCCAGCTAACTTTTGCAATTTTTGTAGAGACAGCGTTTTGCCATGTTGCCCAGGCTGGTCTCGAACTTGTGAGCTCAAGCAATTCACCCGCCTCAGCCTCCCAAAGTGCTGGGATTACAGGCATGAGCCCCCATGCCCAACCAGTTTTTTGGTTTTTGTTTTGAGACAAGGTCTAGTTCTGTCACTTAGGCTGGAGTGCAGTGGCATGACACAGCTCACTGCAATTTCTGCCTCCTGGGCTCAAGCAATCCTCCCGTCTTGCCTCCCACGTAGCTGGGACTACAGGCATGCACCACCACACCCAGCTAATTTTTGCAATTTTTGTAGAGACGGCATTTTGCCATGTTGCCCAGGCTGGTCTCAAACTCGTCAGCTCAAGCAGTTCACCTGCCTCAGCCTCCCAAAGTGCTGGGATTACAGGCGTGAGCCACAGTACCCAGCCAGTTTTTTGGTTTTTGTTTTGAGACAGGGTCTCGCTCTGTCACCCAGGCTGGAGTGCAGTGGCACAATCTCAGCTCACTGCAGCCTCGACTTCTGGGGCTCAGGTGATTCTCCCACCTCAGCCTCTTGAGTAGCTGGGATCACAGACGCACGCCACCATGCCCACCACGCCTGTGGCGGTGTTGCTGTGGGAACCTGGCCTCTGACCTCCCAGCCCACTGATACCTGCCAGGCCAGACCAGTTTCCTCCTCTCAGGACCTTTGGTTGGCCACTGCCCTGGGCCCAGATCCCACCTCTGTGCCCAGCACCTGACCACCCACGCTTTCTTCTTCAGCCACTGTGGAGCGGCTCACATTTCTTGATTTATCTCCTGTTTGAATTGGGGAGGGGGCCGTTTCCATGAACTCTCCTTTCCGTAAGACCAACAATGCTTCAAAAAATATGCTCATCCCGGGTCAGGTGGAGGGAGCAGGTGTGTCCCTCAGGGCTCCCACAGTCATGACTCAAAAGCTGAGGCCCCTGAAGCACTGAAATCTGAGCCACTCATGTGCAACTCAAAGCCGGTGCCCCTCCGCTGTTTCCCAGGCTTCTCACTGTTGGGTGACTCTGCTGTGACACCTTAGGGGCTGGTGATGTGTCGGGAGCTGTTTCCCCCCAAGCTGAGGGGCGTGGCTGGCTTTGTTTCTAGAGTCCTCCCGGTCCCCCTCAAAAGCCTCCCTGCACCAGCCTTGCTCCCAGACCCTCAGAAGTATGTGGTGCTGTGGCCTCTGCGTGCCTCGCTGGGCTGAGCCGGCACCACCTTCCCCGTCTGCTGCTTCTGGTTTACCAACGGCTGGAAAGACAAGGCTCCAGGCTCGAGGGTTTGTGCAAAGGGAAGTGGAGTCTACACAGGGTCTGGCAAGCTCCTCTGTGATCAGGGGGACCTTGGAGGGCATGGCACAGGCTGCTCTTTGCATCTTGCCTTGGCCATGAGTGGTTCATGAATCCATTTGAAGGCATGAAAATGTGGCACCAAGAATGCACATGTTGAGGTCAAACAGCCTGGGATCCAACCCTGTTCTTCTGCTTAGGCTGGTGTGACCCTAGACAAGTGATTTCATTCATCTAAGCCTCGGTTTCTTCATCTGTACCATGGGAATAACAACTGTATCTTGTTCTCAGAGTGCTGATGAGGATTGAGTGTGCTTATCCATGTAAAGAGACTGGCTATGCCTGCTGTTTATTCATTTACTTATTTATTGAGATAGGGTCTCACTGTGTCACCCAGGCTGGAGTGCAATGATGCAATCTCGGCTCACTGCAACCTCCATCTCCTGAGCTCAAGTGATCCTCCAACCTCAGCCTCCAGAGTAGCTGGGACCACAGACATGCGCCACCGTGCCTGGCTAATTTTTTGTATTTTTGGTAGAGATGGGGTTTTCAGGGAAGGTCTCGAACTCCTGAGCTCAAGCAATCCGCCCACCTCGGCCTCCCAAAGTGCTGGGATTACAGGCATGAGGCACCATGCCTGGCCACCTGCTGTTTAATTAGTGCTAAGTGTGTGTATGTGTGAGTGTGACTGTGTGTGTGTGTGCGTGTGCGTGTATGTGGCCCACAGAGAGAGTTTCAGCAGTACCCACCAGGGCCAGCTCTATACTAAGCCCTTGACACACACTGCCACATGAAGAAAGAGCTTCCAATATCTATCATTAAGGATGAGAAAATTGAGACTCAGCAAAGCTTACTGACTTTTCCAACATCCAACCCAGCCACCTGATTTGTGTCTCCAAATCCTCAACCACCCACTATCAAGCCTGACTCATCAAGTATTGCACGAGGGAAATGGATTTTCTACAAAATAAGAAAACCCAGGCTGAGTAGTGGCTCACACCTGTAATCTCAGCACTTTGGGAGGCCGAGGCGGGTGGATCACGAGGTCAGGAGATCGAGACCATCCTGGCCAACATGGTGAAACCCTGTCTCTACTAAAAATACAAAAATTAGCCAAGCATGGTGGTGCGCGCCTGTAGTCCCAGCTACTCGGAAGGCTGAGGCAGGAGAATCGCTTGAACCCGGGAGGCGGAGGTTGCAGTGAGCCGAGATCACACCACTTCACTCCAGCCTGGTGACGAGCGAGATTCCATCTCAAAAAAAAAAAAGAAAGCCTGAGCCTTCAGGCCTGCATTCTGGCTCGTTTATTCTTTCACCAGCTGGAGTCCTCCCCCGTGGCAGGTGCTGGCTGAGCCTGGGGAGAGCAGGCCACACGGGGGAAGGTGCTTTGAGACCCTCCCCAGAAGAATCCTCCAGCCTCTGGCTAAACCCCCAGCCACCTTCACCAGCCACATCCAGGCTCCTGGGAGCAAACACGAGCTCTCTTGGCTTCCTAAGAACCAGTTGTCCCTGTCCCCACCTACCCTCACCCCAGCAGTGCAGGGAGGGGGTCCCCTCCTGAGAAGGGTCACATTCTAGGCCTGAGGGCGGCCAAGCCAGCCCAGTGGTGTTTTCTCAAGCTGCCTGAAGAAACAAGTCCAGCATCTGGCCTTCCTGCTGTGATAATCCTCTTCCTGCCCCTGCGCCCCCTCCCCACTTGGCCGGAAAGCGGCAGGCTTTCTCTTCCCCTCCTTACAAGGGAGGCCTGGCTGGAATGTGTCCCTTGATAACGGGGCTCGTGAGGGGCTTGGCATAGAATGGGCTGCCTGCTGTGGGCTCTCAGACACATGTGGGGCTGACTGATAAGGGCCCTGCTGGCCTTCTGCGCTGAGGCCCCATTTGACAAGCTGTGGGCAGGATTTGAAGAGGGGTCAGTGTTCACAGAGTACCCTGGAATCCATCAAATGTGCAGGGAGCGGGCTGGGCACAGTGGCTCATGCCTGTAATCTCAGCACTTTGGGAGGCTGAGGTGGGTGGATCACCTGAGGTCAGGAGTTCAAGACCAGCCTGGCCAACATAGTGAAACCCCATCTCTACTAAAAATACAAAAAGTAGCTAGGTGTGGTGGTGCACGCCTGTAGTCCCAGCTACTTGGGAGGCTGAGGCAGGAGAATTGCTTGAACCCGGGAGGCAGAGGTTGCAGTGAGGTGAGATCGCACCATTGCACTCCAGCCTGGCGACAGAGCGAGACTCCATCTCAAAAAAAAAATTGTGCAGGGAGCACAGCCTTGGGCGGACCCTGTGTGTGCATGGGGGTGGGAGTGAGGGGAGGGAGACCCAGTCACTGTCCCCAGGGGCTCACAGTGTAAGGGCCCCTGGGGTCAAGGACATGAAAAGAGGAATTTGCTAGGTACAAAGTTGGTTTTTTTTGTTTTGTTTTGTTTTGTTTTGTTTTGTTTTTCAGACAGGATCTCACTCTGTCACCCAGGCAGGAGTGCAGTGACACAATCATGGCTCACTACAGCCTCTACTTCCTGGGCTCAAGCGATCCTCCTGCCTCAGCCTCCAGGGTAGCTGGAACTATAGGCATGCACCACCATGCCTGACTAATTTATTAATTTTTTATAGAGACAGGGGGGTCTCACCTACCCAGGCTGGTCTCAAACTCCTGGGCTTAAGTGATCCTCCCACCTCAGCCTCCCAAAGTACTGGGATTACAGGCATAAGCCAGTGCGCCCAGCCTGAAGTTATTTTATTCACCCATTAATTGTGTCGACAAATCTACAGATGTCACACTGAATGAATGAGTCTAGAATGAAGGTTAAGAATCAGGGCTCAGATATCAGCCAGGCCCAGATTCGAGGCATAGCTCCATTACTTAGTGGCTTTGACTTACCGTGTAAGACTCCATTTCCTCATCTGTAAAATGAGGAGAACCGGCCAGCCGGGCGCAGTGACTCACGCCTGTAATCCCAGCACTCTGGGAGGCCGAGGTGGGCGGATCACCTGAGGTCAGGAGTTTGAGACCAGCCTGGCCAACATGGTAAAACCCCATCTCTACTAAAAATACAAAAATTAGCCGGGCGTGGTGGCAGCCTCCTGTAGTGTCAGCTACTTGGGAGGCTGAGGCAGGAGAAGCGCTTGAACCCGGGAGGCGGAGGTTGCAGTGAGCCCACTGAACTCCAGCCTGGGCAACAAGAGTGAAACTCCATCTAAAAAAAAAAAGAGGAGAACCAAGTACCTACCTCAAAGGCACCTCATGAGGGTTTGGGGAGATGGCACACATATTGCACGCAAAATGGGCTTGGGGACTGGTAAGCCCTCAGTAAATGTTTTGTTTTTGTTTTTTTTAGATAGTGTCTTTCTCTGTCACCCAAGCTGGAGTGTGGTGGTGTGATCTCAGCTCACTGCAACTTCCACCTGCTGGGTTCAAGTGATTCTCCTGCCTTAGCCTCCCAAGTAGCTGAGATTACAGGCCCCCACCAGCATGCCCAACTTATTTTTGTATTTTTAGTAGAGACAGGGTTTCACCATGTTGGACTGGCTGGTCTCGAACTCCTGACCTCAAGTGATTCACCTACCTCGGCCTTCCAAAGTCCTGGGATTATAGGCACAAGCCACCACACCCGGCATGTAAATGTGGTTTTTTTTGTTTTGTTTTTGTTTTTGTTTTTGTTTTTGAGAGAGTCTCACTCTGTCGCCCAGGCTGGAGTGCAGTGGTGCAGTCTCGGCTCACTGTAACCTCTGCCTCCCAGGTTTAAGCGATTCTCCTGCCTCAGCCTCCCAACTAGTGCACTCCAGCTTGGGTGACAGAGAAAGACACTAGCTGGGATTACAGGCATGTGCCACCACGCCCAGCTGATTTTTTGTATTTTTAGTAGAGATGGGGTTTCACTGTGTTAACCAGGATGATCTCAATCTCCTGACCTCGTGATCTGTCCGCCTCGGCCTCCCAAAGTGCCGGGATTACAGGCGTGAGCCACCACACCTAGCCCTGTAAACGGTTTTTAAACCATGACACTGGCTCCCAGTGCTTTGGGAGGCCAACGAGGAAGGATCCCTTGAGCCCAGGAGTTCAAGACAAGACTAGGCAACAGAGCAAGACCCTGTCTCAAAAACAAAAACAAAAACAAAAAAACACAAAAACCATGACTGCTGGAATCCCAAGGGCCCGGAGATGAAGAAGTGCTCTCCCCTCCACCTGCCTCTGCAGGGCTGTGTGGGTTGGGAGTAGCCATGAGGGCAGTGTCTGAGGACACAGGGCAGCTTCCTGGAACCTGGGCTGGGAAGAGGGTGCAAGGGGCAGAGCTGGGAGCAGGGGAGCCTCTCTCCTGGGGCCCCGGGCTTTTGTGCATGTGCCTCATTCCATCCTCTGCAGACCAGCCCCCTCTGCTATCATGGCTGCCCCTCATGGATCCCTCACCCCAAGTCCAGTTTCTCTTCCAGTTAGACAGAGCCCACCCCATGTGACCAGAGTCTCCCAGACCCGATTCCAAATGGCCAGGAGAGCTCAAACCCAGGCCCAGCTTGTGTCCAGCCCTGGCCGAGCCCACTCAGCTGAGGCTGCTGGCGGGGGCCTGTGGGTGCAGGCAGTGAGCTCTGTAAGAGAGGGGCTGCGCCACCCCTTGCTGTAGGACCCCAGCCTCCAGGCCAGGGCCCCTGTGTAGCAGGTCCTCAAAAAAGCATTTTCTAGGCCAGGTGCGGTGGTTCATGCCTGTAATTTCAGCACTTGGGAGGCTGAGGCAGGAGGATCACCTGACGACAGGAGTTTGAGAACAGCCTGGCCAACATAGTGAAACCCCGTCTTTACTAAAAATACAAAAATTAGCCGGGCGTGGTGGTGGGCGCCTGTAATTCCAGCTGAGGCAGAAGAATGGCTTGCACTCTGGAGACAGAGGTCACAGTGAGCTGAGATCACGCCCCTGCACTCCAGCCTGGGCAACAGAGCGAGATTCCGTCTCAAAAAAAAAAAAAAAAAAAAAAAAAAGCATTTTCCAGGACAGCTCTTGCTTCTTAGCCCTTCGCATACATCAAACCGTTTAGGAACACTGTCTAATTACAGCCGGGGCAGGACAGTTCTTGTCTCCATTTCACAGTCCGGGGAAGTGCTTTACCCCAGGCCACGTGGCAACTCAGGCCTGCAAGGCCCCAGCCAGGGGTGGGCAGGGCCGGTGGGAGGGAGAGGGTGCCTGGGGAGTTAAGAATATCCCTGCAGTGCTCAGCCTCTGGGTCTTGTGATGCCGAAACTCAAGCGCCCCCTGACTCAGCAGGATATTAATAAGCCTGGCCGGTTCCCAGGGGGCCGGCTCTGCCAGGGGCTGGAACAGAAGGACTCCCAGCCCTGCGGCCCGGATCCCCCTCCCCATGGCAACACAGCCCCACCCCTACTCCTTCTCCAGGTGCCCCCTAGCAGCCCCACAGCCCAGAGTCTCCCAGAACAAATTAATGTGGGGGAGCCCCCCAACCCACTGCTGAGCATATTGGGCAAATCTCACCGAGCTGAAGGGACCCTTCCTAGAAGGGATCCAGGAGGAAAGACAGAGCCAAGCAGCCTGGGAGAGGGAAGGGGTTTGAGCAGCCAACAGTGTGGGTTTGGGATGGGAGCTGAGTTGCAGCCCTGGTTCTCCCATTTCTAAGGTGCTCACTTGGGACAAATCCCTTATCAACACTAAGCCTTGGTTCCTTCCTTCCTTCCTTCTTTTCTTTTCTTTTCTTTTCTCCTTCTTCCCTCCCTCCCTCCCTCTCTCTCTCTCTCTCTCTTTCTTTTTGAAACAAGGTGTCATTCTGTCACCCAGGCTGGAACACAGTGGCACAATCATAGCTCACTGCAGCCTTGACCTCCTGGGCTCAAGCAATCCTCCCACATCAGCCTCCTGAGTAGCTGCGACTATAGGCCTGTGCCACCACACCCAGCTAACATTTGTATTTGTTTTTGTAGACACGGGGGTCTCACCATGTTGCCGAGGCTGGCCTCAACTCCTGTGCTGAAGCCATCCTCTGGCCTCAGCCTCCCAAAGTGCTGGGACTACAGGCATGAGCCACACACTGCTCGGCCTGAGCCTTGGTTTCTTTTTTCTTTTCTTTCCTTTCTTTTTTTTTTTTTTTTTTTTTTTGAGACAGACTCTCGCTCTGTCGCCCAGGCTGGAGTGCAGTGGGTGGCACGATTTCGGCTCACTGCAAGCTCCGCCTCCCGGATTCACGCCATTCTCCTGCCTCAGCCTCCCGAGTAGCTGGGACTACAGGCATCCACCACCACACCCGGCTAATTTTTTGTATTTGTTAGTAGAGATGGGGTTTCACTGTGTTAGCCAGGATGGTCTCGATCTCCTGACCTCGTGATCTGCCTGCCTCGGCCTCCCAGAGTGCTGGGATTACAGGCGTGAGCCACCCGTGCCTGGCCTTTTTTTTTTTTTTTTTTTTTTTGAGACAGAGTCTTACTCTGTCGCCCAGGCTGGAGTATAGTGGCTCGATCTTGGCTCACTGCAACATCCGCCTCCCAGGTTCAAGTGATTCTTATGCCTCAGCCTTCCAAGTAGAGATGGGGTTTCTCTCTATTTTTAGTAGAGACGGGGTTTCACCATGTTGGCCAGGCTGGTCCTCGATTTCTTAATGTGTAAAGTGGGGATGGTAATGGTACTTCATTTCTGGTTTTGCTATAAGGACCCAGTGAGGCAGCTGTCCTGAAGGGCGAGCCTTGGGAGCCCTGGCTGTCCAGGCTGGTCTCAATGGACCCGGCTGTCAGGGCCACTCTCGGCTGAGTTTCTGTCCTACAGCGCCCTCTAGTGGGAAAAGGTGGTCATTGCAGGGGCATCCAACTCAGGTGGCCAGGGAGCTTTCCTATCCCAAGTTGGAGTCCAAAATGTGCCCTTTCTGATCAAGTTAAATTCATGGCCCTTATTACATATGCACCAGCATGGTACGGCGAAGGAGGACAAAGAGAATGAGACCCATTCCCTTCCCTTTGGAGGCTCAAAGGGCAGCACTGCCTGGTTTGGGCATCAATGTGACAGTCAAGTCTGGGTCCTGGTCCTGCCCTCTCAGTGGCCTGCACAAGCCACACCCTCCCTGAGCTCCAGAGTCCTCCTCTGTAAACAGGATCACAAAACTTTCCGGTGGTAAGAGCTACGGAGAGGAACTAGGAAGAGCCAGCAGGAGGCTTGTGTTTGAGATGCGATGGCCAGGGAGCCCACCTTTGAGGAAATACCCGAAGCAGTGAGGGAGAGATCTTTGCAGAGACCTGGGAGGCCAGCGAAGGCCTGTGCCAGTTCAAGGAAGAGCGAGAGGTCAGTGGGGTCAGCGCGGAGCGATGGGGGCCGGAGGAGATGAGGGGAGAGGGGCTGTGTGTCACGATCAGTGCAGTAGGATGCGTAATGAAGGGCCCTGGCCCAGGTGGCCATGGAGGCCTCCCAGAGCAAGGAGTGTCCAAGCTGCGGGTGGCAGAGAGGGGTGGGAGAGCTCGGAAGACCTGATCCCAGTGCGGCCCCAACACTAACATCCTCTGTGGTCCAAGATCAGCCCACATCCCCTGAGCTCAGTTTCCTCATCTGCAACATGAGGGAGCTGGCCTAGCTACAGCCCCTCTTTCTCTAATCTGACACCTGCCGCTGGGGCCAGGGCTCCAGCCTGACTGCGTAATGCACAGGGACCCCCAGCTAGCTCAGGGTAGGCGGCGTTCGTGAAAGGTCCTCACACCCTCCAGTCCAGGCTTTTGCAACCCCTGGGCCTCAGCTGGATGTGTGAGTGGAGTAGGGGCAGCATCAGATCTTTTGACCTGAGGAAGGCCAGCAGCAAATGCCCCAGGATCTGAGAGCTTGCTGTGCTCGCTGCTACCAAGTTGTCTTTGCTTACAGGCTGTTAAGGGGTGAATTGTGCGTCCCCAAAAAAATATGCTGATGTTCTAACCTCCAGTCCCTCAGAATGTGACCTCATGTGGTCTTTACCGAGGTAACCGGGTTAAGATGCGGTCATCGGGGGGTGAGACCCTAATCCAATATGACCGGTGTCCTTATAAAAAGGGGAAATGTGGCCCGGTGCAGTGGCTCACGCCTGTAATCCCAACACTTTAGGAGGCTGAAGTGGGAGGAGCCCAGGAGTTTGAGATCAGCCTGAGCAACATAGGAAGACTCTGTCTCAATAACAACATAAAACTAGCCGGGTGTGGTGGCACCACATGCCATGGTCCCAGACACTCCGAAGGCTGAGGCAGGAGGATCACTTCAGCCCAGAAGTTTGAGGCTGCAGTGAGCTAGGATCACACCACTGCACTCCAGCCTGGGCCACAGAGTAAGACTCCATCTCAAAAATATGAAATTAAAATCAAAAGGAGGGGGGCAGGCGTATTGGCTCATGCCTGTAATCCCAGCACTTTGGGAGGCCAAGGCAAGTGGATCACTTGAGGTCAGGAGTTCGAGACCAGCCTGGCCAACATGGTGAAATCTCGTCTCTACTAAAAATATAAAAATTCGCCAGGCATGGTGGTGCATGCCTATAATCCCAGCTACTTGGGAAGCTGAGGCAGAAGAATCACTTGAACCTGGGAGGCAGAGGTTGCAGTGAGCCAAGATCATGCCCCTGCACTCTAGCTTGGGCAACAGAGCAAGACTCTGTCTCAAAATAAATAAATAAATAAAAAATAGAAAGGAGAAATGGCCACACAGAGAAGACATGCAGAAGGAAAGAGGGAAAGCAACATTAACACGCAGAGAGAAGGCCGGGCGCAGTGGCTCACGCCTGTAATCCCAGCACTTTGGGAGGCTGAGATGGGTGGATCACCTGAGCCCAGGAGTTCGAGCCCAGCCTGGACAACATGGTGAAACTCCATCTCTACTAAATACAAAAATTAGCCAGGCATGGTGGTGAATGCCTGTAATCCCAGCTACTTGGGAGGCTGAGGCAGGAGAATTGCTTGAACCTGGGAGGCGGAGGTTACAGTGAGCTGTGATTGCACAACTGCACTCCAGCCTGGGTGACAGAGCTCTGTCTCAAAAAAAAAAAAAAAGACACAGGGAGAAGACAGGCTGTGAAGAGGGAGGACAGGAGTGACTCCGCCACACTCCAAGGAACACTGGAGGCTGCTGGAGGCTGGAGAGAGGCCTGGGCAGAAGGATTCCCAGCACCTTCAGACGCAGCGTGGCCGAGGCTGCAGAGAGGCCTGGGAGGGAGGATTCCCAGCACCTTCAGACACAGCGTGGCCCTTTCCACCCCCTCACTTTGGACCTCAAGCCTCCAGAAATTTGGGGCAGAACATTTCTGTGTTCTAAGCCACCAGTTTGTGACATTTTGTTACCGTAGCCCTGAGAAACTACGCCACAGCTCTTCCAGTGTGCCAAAGACAGGAAGGCTACCCCCAAATTCATAAGTTCATGTTGATATTTCTTTCTTTTTTTAACACTTTATTTATTTATTTATTTTTATTTTATTTTTTAAATTATACTTTAAGTTCTAGGGTACACGTGCACAACATGCAGGTTTGTTACATGTGTATGCATGTGGCATGTTGGTTTGCTGCACCCATTAACTCATCATTTACATTAGGTATTTCTCCTAATGCTATCTCTCCCCCCTCCCCCCACCCCACAACAGGCCCCAGTGTGTGATGTTTCCCATCCTGCGTCCAAGTGTTCTCATTGTTCACTTCCCACCTGTGAGTGAGAACATGCAGTGTTTGGTTTTCTGTCCTTGCGATAGTTTGCTCAGAATGATGGTTTCCAGCTTCATCCATGTCCCTGCAAAGGACATGAACTCATCCTTTTTATGGCTGCATAGTATTCCATGATGTATACATGCCACATTTTCTTAATCCAGTCTATCACTGATGGACATTTGGGTTGGTTCCAAGTCTTGGCTATTGTGAATAGTGCCGCAATAAACATACGTGTGTATGTGTCTTTATATTAGCATGATTTATAATCCTTTGGGTGTATACCCAGTAATGGGATCGCTGGGTCAAATGGTATTTCTAGTTCTAGATCCTAGAGGAATCACCACACTGTCTTCCACAATGGTTGAACTAGTTTACACTCCCACCAACAGTGTAAAAGTGTTCCTATTTCTCCACATCCTCTCCAGCACCTGTTGTTTCCTGACTTTTTAATGATCACCATTCTAACTGGTGTGAGATGGTATCTCACTGTGGTTTTGATTTGCATTTCTCTGATGGCCAGTGATGATGAGCATCTTTTCATGTGTCTGTTGGCTGCATAAATGTCTTCTTTTGAGAAGTGGTTGTTCATATCCTTTGCCCACTTTTTGATGCGGTTGTTTGATTTTTTTTCTTGTAAATTTGTTTCTTTGTAGATTCTGGATATTAGCCCTTTGTCTGATGGGTAGATTGCAAAAATTTTCTCCCATTCTGTAGGTTCACTCTGATAGTAATTTCTTTTGCTGTGCAGAAGCTGTTTAGTTTAATTAGATCCCATTTGTCTATTTTGGCTTTTGTTGCCATTGCTTTTGGTGTTTTAGTCATGAAGTCCTTGCCCATGCCTATGTCCTGAATGGTATTGCCTAGGTTTTCTTCTAGGGTTTTTATGGTTTTAGGTCTAACATTTAAGTCTTTAATCCTTCTTGAATTAATTTTTGTATAAGGCATAAGGAAGGGATCCAGTTTCAGCTTTCTACATATGGCTAGACAGTTTTCCCAGCACCATTTATTAAATAGGGAATCCTTTCCCCATTTCTTGTTTTTGTCAGGTTTGTCAAAGATCAGATGGTTGTAGATGTGTGGTATTATTTCTGAGGGCTCTGTTCTGTTCCATTGGTCTATATCTCTGTTTTGGTACCAGTATCATGCTGTTTTGGTTACTGTAGCCTTGTAGTATGGTTCAAAGTCAGGTAGCATGATACCTTCAGCTTTGTTCTTTTTGCTTAGGATTGACTTGGCGATGCGGGCTCTTTTCTGGTTCCATATGAACTTTAAAGTAGTTGTTTCCAATTCTGTGAAGAAAGTCATTGGTAGCTTGACAGGGATGGCATTAAATCTATAAATTACCTTGGGCAGTATGGCCGTTTTCACCATATTGATTCTTCCTATCCATGAGCATGGAATGTTCTTCCATTTGTTTGTGTCCTCTTTTATTTCGTTGAGCAGTGGTTTGTAGTTCTCCTTGAAGAGGTCCTTCATATCCCTTATAAATTGGATTCCTAGGTATTTTATTCTCTTTGAAGCAATTGTGAATGGGAGTTCACTCATGATTTGGCTCTTGTTTGTCTGTTATTAGTGTACCGGAATGCTTGTGATTTTTGCACATTGATTTTGTATCCTGAGACTTTGCTGAAGTTGCTTATCAGCTTAAGGAGATTTTGGGCTGAGATGATGGGGTTTTCTAAATATACAATCAAGTCATCTGCAAAGAGGGAAAATTTGACTTCCTCTTTTCCTAACTGAATACCCTTTATTTCTTTCTCCTGCCTGATTGTCCTGGCCAGAACTTCCAACACTATGTTGAATAGGAGTGGTGAGAGAGGGCATCCCTGTCTTGTGCCAGTTTTCAAAGGGAATGCTTCCAGTTTTTGCCCATTCAGTATGATATTGGCTGTGGATTTGTCATAAATAGCTCTTATTATTTTTAGATACATCCCATCAATACCTAGTTTATTGAGAGTTTTTAGCATGAAAGGCTGTTGAATTTGTTGAAGGACTTTTCTGCATCTATTGAGATAATCATGTGGTTTTTGTCTTTGGTTCTGTTTATGTGATGGGTTACGTTTATTGATTTGTGTATGTTGAACCTGCCTTGCATCCTGGGGTGAAGCCAACTTGATCGTGGTGGATAAGCTTTTTGATGTGCTGCTGGATTTGGTTTGGCATATTTTATTGAGGATTTTCGCATCGATGTTCATCAGGGATATTGGTCTAAAATTCTCTTTTTTTGTTGTTTCTCTGCCAGGCTTTGGTATCAGGAGATGCTGGCCTCCTAAAATTAGTTAGGGAGGATTCCCTCTTTTTCTATTGATTGGAATAGTTTCAGAAGGAATGGTGCCAGCTCCTCTTTGTACCTCTGGTAGAATTTGGCTATGAATCCATCTGGTCCTGGACTTTTTTTGGTTGGTAGGCTATTAACCATTGCGTCAATTTCAGAGCCCGTTATTGGTCTATTCAGGGATTCAACTTCTCCTGGTTTAATCTTGGGAGGGTGTATGTGTCCAGGAATTTATCCATTTCTTCTAGATTTTCTAATTTATTTGCATAGAGGTGTTTTTAGCATTCTCTGATGGTAGTTTGTATTTCTGTGAGATCGGTGGTGATATCCCCTTTATCATTTTTTATTGTGTCTATTTGATTCTTCTCTCTTTTCTTCTTTTCTTTTCTTTTTTTTTTTTTTTTTTTTTTGAGACGGAGTCTCACACTGTCGCCCAGGCTGGAGTGCAGTGGTGCAATCTCAGCTCACTGCAAGCTCCGCCTCACGGGTTCACGCCGTTCTCCTGCCTCAGCCTCCTGAGTAGCTGGGACTACAGGCGTCCACCACCACGCCTGGCTAATTTTTTTTTTTTTTTGTATTTTTAGTAGAGACGGGGTTTCACTGTGTTAGCCAGGATAGTCTCGATCTCCTGACCTCGTGATCCGCCCGCCTCGGCCTCCCAAAGTGCTGGGATTACAGGCGTGAGCCACCGTGCCCGGCCTCTTTTCTTCTTTATTAGTCTTGCTAACGGTCTATCTATTTTGTTGATCTTTTCAAAAAACCAGCTCCTAGATTCATTTATTTTTTGAAGGGTTTTTATGTCTCTATCTCCTTCAGTTCTGCTCTGATCTTAGTTATTTCTTGCCTTCTGCTAGCTTTTGAATTTGTTTGCTCTTGCTTCTCTAGTTCTTTTAATTGTGATGTTAGGGTGTCAATTTTAGATTTTTCCTGCTTTCTCTTGTGGGCATTTAGTGCTATAAATTTCCCTCTATACACTGCTTTAAATGTGTCCCAGAGATTCTGGTACATTGTGTCTTTGTTCTCATTGGTTTCAAAGAACATCTTTATTTCTGCCTTCATTTCATTATTTACCCAGTAGTCATTCAGGAGCAGATTGTTCAGTTTCCATGTAGTTGTGCAGTTTTGAGTGAGTTTCTTAATCCTGAGTTCTAATTTGATTGCACGTGGTCTGAGAGACAGTTTGTTACGATTTCTGTTCTTTTACATTTGCTGAGGAGTGCTTTACTTCCAACTATGTGGTCAATTTTGGAATAAGTGCAATGTGGTGCTGAGAAGAATGTATATTCTGTTGATTTGGGGTGGAGAGTTCTGTAGATGTCTATTAGGTCCACTTGGTGCAGAGCTGAGTTCAGTTCCTGGATATCTTTGTTAACCTTCTGTCTTGTTGATCTGTCTAATGCTGACGGTGGGGTGTTAAAGTCTCCCATTATTATTGTGTGGGAATCTAAGTCTCTTTGTAGGTCTCTAAGGACTTGCTTTATGAATCTGGGTGCTCCTGTATTGGGTGCATATATATTTAGGATAGTTAGCTCTTCTTGTTGAATTGATCCCTTTACCATTATGTAATGGCCTTCTGTGTCTCTTTTGATTTCTGTTGGTTTAAAGTCTGTTTTATCAGAGACTAGGATTGCAACCCCTGCTTTTTTTGTTTTCCATTTGCTTGGTAGATCTTCCTCCATCCCTTTATTTTGAGCTTATGTGTGTCTTTGCATATGAGATGGGTCTCCTGAATACAGCACACTGATCGGTCTTGACTCTTTATCCAATTTGCCAGTCTGTGTCTTTTAATTGGGGCATTTAGCCCATTTACATTTAAGGTTAATATTGCTATGTGTGAATGTGATCCTGTCATTATGATGTTAGCTGGTTATTTTACCCGTTAGTTGATGTAGTTTCTTCCTAGCATTGAGGGTCTTTGCAATTTGGCATGTTTTTGCAGTGGCCGGTACCGGTTGTTCCTTTCCATGTTTAGTGCTTTCTTCAGGAGCTCTTGTAAGGCAGGCCTGGTGGTAACAAAATCTTTCAGCCTTTGCTTGTCTGTAAAGGATTTTATTTCTCCTTCACTTATGAAGCTTAGTTTGGCTGAATATGAAATTCTGGGTTGAAAATTCTTTTCTTTAAGAATGTTGAATATTGGCCCCCACTCTCTTCTGGCTTGTAGAGTTTCTGCTGAGAGATCTGCTGTTAGTCTGATGGGCTTCCCTTTGTGGGTAACCCAACCTTTCTCTCTGGCTGCCCTTAATATTTTTTCCTTCAGTTCAACCTTGGTGAATCTGACAGTTATGTGTCTTGGGGTTGTTCCTCTTGAGGAGTATCTTTGTGGTGTTCTCTGTATTTCCTGAATTTGAATGTTGGCCTGCCTTGCTAGATTGGGGAAGTTCTCCTGGATAATATCCTGAAGAGTGTTTTCCAGCTTGGTTCCATTCTCCCCGTCACTCTCAGGTACACCAATCAAAGGTAGATTTGGGCTTTTCACCTGGTCCCATATTTCTTGGAGGCTTTGTTCTTTTTTCTCTAAACTTCTCTTCTCGCTTCATTTCATTCATGTGATCTTCAATCACTGATACCCTTTCTTGCACTTGATCAAATCGGCTACTGAAGCTTGTGCATGCGTCACGTAGTTCTCGTGCCATGGTTTTCAGCTCCATCAGGTCATTTAAGGTCTTCTCTATGCTGTTTATTCTAGATAGCCATTCATCTAATCCTTTTTCAAGGTTTTTAGCTTCTTTGCAATGGGTTCAAACCTCCTCCTTTAGCTCAGAGAAGTTTGTCATTACCGACCTTCTGAAGCCTACTTCTGTCAACTTGTCAAAGTCATTCCCTGTCCAGCTTTGTTCCATTGCTGGCGAGGAGCTGCGATCCTTTGGAGGAGAAGAGGCACTCTGGTTTTTAGAATTTGCAGCTTTTCTGCTCTGGTTTCTCCCCATCTTTGTGGTTTTATCTACCTTTGGTCTTTGATGTTGGTGACCTACAGATGGGGTTTTGGTGTGGATGTCCTTTTTGTTGATATTGATGCTATTCCTTTCTGTTTGTTAGTTTTCCTTCTAACAGTCAGGACCCTCAGCTGAAGGTCTGTTGGAGTTTGCTGGAGGTCCACTCCAGACCCTGTTTGCCTGGGTATCACCAGCAGAGGCTGCAGAAAAGCAAATATTGCAGAACAGCAAATGTTGCTGCCTGATCCTTCCTCTGAAAACTTCGTCTCAGAGGGGCACCCGGCTGTACGAGGTGTCAGTCGGCCCCTACTGGGAGGTGTCTCACAGTTAGGCTAGTCAAGGGTCAGGGACCCACTTGAGGAGGCAGTCTGTCCATTCTCAGAGCTCCAACTCCATGCCGGGAGAACCACTGCTTGCTTCAAAGCTGTCAGACAGGGCCATTTAAGTCTGCAGAAGTTTCTGCTGCCTTTTGTTCAGCTATGCCCTGTCCCCAGAGGTGGAGTCTACAGAGGCAGACAGGCCTTGTTGAGCTGCAGTGGGCTCTACCCAGTTCGAGCTTCCAGGCCACTTTGTTTACCTAGTCAAGCCTCAGCAATGGCAGACGCCCCTCCTGCAGCCTGGCTGCCGCCTCACGGTTTGATCTCAGACTGCTACACTAGCAGTGAGCAAGGCTCCATGGGCATGGGACCTGCTGAGCCAGGCGCAGGATATAATCTCCTAGTGTGCTGTTTGCTAAGACCATTAGAAAAGTGCAGTATTAGGGCGGGAGTGTCCCAATTTTCCAGGTACCATCTGTCACTGTTTCCCTTGGCTAGGAAAGGGAAATCCCCTGACCCCTTGCACTTCCTGGGTGAGGCGATGCCCCGCCCTGCTTCAGCTCACACTCCATGGGCTGCACCCACTGTCCAACCAGTCCCAATGAGATGAACCTGGTACCTCAGTTGGAAATGCAGAAATCACCCGTCTTCTGCGTCAATCATGCTGGGAGCTGTAGACTGGAGTTGTTCATATTCGGCCATCTTGGAATGATCCTTTTTTTTTTTTCTTTTTTGAGACACAGTCTTGCTCTGTCACCAGGCTGGAGTGCAATGGCAGGATCTCACTGCAACCTCCGACTCCCTGGTTCAAGCAATTCTCCTGCCTTAGCCTCCCAAGTAGCTGGGATTATAGGCATGTGCCACCACGCCAGGCTAATTTTTGTATTTTTATTAGAGACAGGGTTTCACCATGTTGGCCAGGATGGTCTCAATCTCCTGACCTCATGATCCGCCCGCCTTGGCCTCCCAAAGTGCTGGGATAACAGGCTTGAGCCACTGCACCCGGCCATGTTGATATTTCTAATTAAAATTCAAAACTCACAGTTGTTTCTTTCGTATTTGCATCCCTTTTCTCCTACATATTTATTTCCATTGTCCTACAATACACATTAAATAGTTTCAAGATTAATTTTGGGTTTTCTTAGAGACAGGGTCTCATTCAGTCACCCAGGCTGGAGTGTAGTGGTGAGATCTTGGCTCACTGCAGCCTCGACCTCCTGGGCTCAGGTGATCCTCCTGCCTCAGCCTCCCAACTAGCTGGGACCACAGGTGCACACCACCCTGGCCAGCTAATATTTTAATTTTTTGTAGAGATGGGATCTCGCTATGTTGCCAGGGCTGGTCAATTCCTGGGCTCAAGCAATCTTCCCTCCTTGGCCTCCCAAAGTGCTGGGATTACAGGCATGAGCCACTGTGCCCAACCTCGAAATTAACTTTAAAGAAGCAAAATCCCAGGGCCGGGCACAGTGGCTCACGCCTAGAATCCCAGCACTTTGGGAGGCCAAGGTGGGCAGATCATCTGAGGTCAGGAGTGCGAGACCAGCCTGACCAACATGGAGAAATCCCGTCTCTACTAAAAATACAAAATTAGCCAGGCTTGGTGACACATGCCTGTAATCCCAGCCACCTGGGAGGCTGAGGCAGGAGAATCGCTTGAATCCAGGAGAAGGAGGTTACAGTGAGCCAAGATCGCACCATTGCACTCCAGCCTGGGCAACAAGAGTGAAACTCTGTCTCAAAAAAATAAAAAATAAAAAGCAAAATCCCAACCAATCTAAGGGTTTTTATATTTATTCTTCCCCCATATTTGTACAATGCTCAAACCTGTCTTGACTCAAGTCTCAGCTCAAATGTCACCCCTCCGGGAGGCCTGAGCACCTGCTACTACCCTGACCACTGCGCCCATCACATTCCCAACATTGCCCAATATGGTGTCTCTATTTAAGTCTCTGTTTACTGTTTCCCCTTCCAGAATGTCAGCGTGGTACAGGCAGTGGTTGCTGTCCATTTCTTCTCTGCTGTGTCCCCAGTGCCCAGAACAGTACCTGGGACATAGCTGGCATTCAGTAAATATTTATAAAATGGATGGATGGAACTGGGCACGGTAGCTCGCATCTGTAATCCCAGCACTTCGGGAGGCCAAGGCAGGCGGATCACTTGAGGTCCGGAGTTCGAGAGCAGCCTGATGAACATGGTGAAACCCCATCTCTAATGAAAATACAAAAATTAACCAGGTGTGGTGGTGCACGCCTGTAATCCCAGCTACTCAGGAGGCTGAGGCAGGAGAATCACTTGAACCCAGGAGGCAGAATTTGCAGTGAGCCGAGATTATGCCATTGCACTCCAGCCTGGGTGACAGAGCAAGACTCTGTCTCAAAACAAAAAAAGAGTGGATGGATGGATGGATGAACTCACCTGCTGGTTGTCTCTGCTGAGCTAACTTCACACATATGCCAGCCTCGTTTCTAGAACATTCCATAGGCTATGAGGTACCTGTTGGAAATAAATGCAGATGTAGGTGGTCACCCTCACAGCACATTGGGGCCACAGCTTGGAAGTCCCCTGGCCACTGTGTCACCTCGGACCTAGGATGCCTTTCCATTGAGACATTCAGATGGCCTTAGTGCCACAGAGGGACGAGGTCCGTGGACATTCTGGTCTCCAGCTTTCCAGGAAACGGGAGGCTCCTGGCAGCGCCCTGGCTGCCAAGACAAGGCTCCTCCAAGCCTGGCTGACTCAGCATATTCTCCAGGCTTCTGCTGAGACACCCCTTCCCGGTGATGGCCCCTCTGGAGTCCCTGTCATGGGAACTTGTGTGTGGGATGCTTCCTTCTCTTTCACGGCATTGTCTGTGCGGGTTCTGCCTGAGCACATGAAGTGCGTTCACTGTGCCCAGCATGGTGCCTGGTACACACAGGGCTCAACGCGCTCCATTTGAAGGTGAGTGAAGGAGGCAGCGTGTCCACTAAAGACGCTCCCTCTATGTGCCTCTGCCTTGAGAGTGGGCGTGGGGGGAGGCGTGGCAGACCGGAGGCAGAGCTTCCTGGGCGCCAAGGCAAAGGGAGGAAACAAAAGCCATGTCTGGCTAAAGGCCAGACTCAAACCATGGGGGCAGCGGCAGGGAGTCTTCAGTGATGTGGAAAGATGGGTTCTGCTGCTCATCTCAGAGGAGAGGACAAGAAACCCAGACATGCTAGGCCGTGTGCGGTGGCTCACGCCTGTAATCCCAGCACTTTGGGAGGCCAAGGCAGGCGGATCATGAGGTCAGGAGATCGAGATCATCCTGGCTAACATGGTGAAACCCCGTCTCTACTAAAAATACAAAAATAAAATTAGCTGGGTGTGGTGGTGGATGCCTATAGTCCCAGCTACTCGGGAGGCTGAGGTGGGAGAATGGCGTGAACCCGGGAGGCGGAGCTTGCAGTGGTGCAGAGATCATGCCACTGCACTCCAGCCTGGGCGACAGAGCATGACTCCGTCTCAAAAAAAAATACAAAAATTTAGCCGGGCATGGTGGTGTGCACCTGTAGTCCCAGCTACTTGGGAGGCTGAGGCGGGAGAATTGATTGAACCTGGGAGGTGGAGGTTGCAGTGAGCCGAGATCGCGCCATTGCACTCCAGCCTGGGCAACAGGGTGAGACTCCATCTCAAAAAAAAAAAAAGAAAGAAAGAAACCCAGACATGCCTGTTCCAGAAGCAAAGGGAAGAGTGGAGTCCAGGCTCTAGAACGTCCAGCCTCTGCCATTCCCCTCCCACCCTCACTGTCTGCCCGTGACCTTTCCAGGCTGTCTGGAGCCCCCTACACTGGGCCCAGGTGGATCTTATCAATTCACTCAACAAATATTTGCTGAACTCCCATCTGGGCTGGCTCTGCCTGTGAGGCTAGGAACGTCAAAAGGAACCCAGGCAGCCAACCCTCCAGGACCTTGGGGTGGTGTGAAGGCCCCAGATTTCTGAAAGTGGAACAAAGCCAGACCCTGTGGCCGCCACCTTCTGGCCAACCTCAGATGGAGCCTTCCAGACACATCAACTCCCAGGGCTGTGGAAAGAAAAGGTGCGTTTTCTGGAGACTTACAGAGGGGTGGGGTGGGGGGCGCTGCGGGCCAAACAGCCATACTCGGTGTCCTCTCCCCCACAGCCCTTGCTCTCCCTTCCCCTCTCTCAACCCTCCCAAACCCCTCACACCTGCCCCTCTGCCTCCCTCATCCCCCAACCCTCTTGGCCTCTTCACCTGCTCCTGAACAGCACAGCAAGCTCCAGGGAGGCTGGGCGGCAGCAGGCTCCCTGGAAAATGGGAGGGGGCTGGGCACACTGGTTCATGTCTGTAATCCCAGAGCTTTTGGAGGCCGAGAAGGGAGGAGTGTTTGAGCCCAGGAGATGGAGGCCAGCCTGGGCAACATAGGGAGACCCCGCCACCCCCATCTCTACAAAAAATTTAAAAATAACCCAGGCGTGGTGGTGCACACCTGTAGCCCCAGCTACTTAGGAGGCTGAGGTGGGAGGATCACTTGAGGCCTGGGAGTTTGAGGCTGCAGTGAGCCAAAATTGCACCACTGCACTCCAGCCTGGGCAACAGAGCAAGACCCTGTCTCACATACACACAACAAAAAAGTGACTAGTGTGATAGAGGAAGTGAGTCCTCAATTTTAGTTGTTATTAATTAGAATTAATTAGCTAGCAGCTTCTGGATGGGACAGTGCAGCTCTAGAGGCTTCATCAGACTCAGGTTTACTTTCTGGGTGAGACAACCCCATGGGCGGGGTGTGCTGCATTCAGGTAGGAAGCCTGAGCCCTGAGCCCAAGCCCAGGCTCGAGGGCTGAGTGAAGGTCTACATCCCTGAGGATGTGTGGCCTTTCTGGCGCCACCTGCTCCTCCTGGAGTCTGAGGCTTTCTGCTCTTCCAGCCTGGGGGTGCCAGGCTGCTAGGGGTGGCACCTTTCCCTCCCCAGGAAAAGATGCAAAATCCCCTGATGGCACAGGCAGCCCCTCCCCAGAATGGACGGGATGGAAAGGGGACAAGTGGCAATGGCCCCAAACCAGGACCTCAGCTCATGGGTTCCCGGGTCCCTGGGGAAAGGGCTGAGGTCCTTCCTGCACTCAGCAAACAGGAACTGCGCGCTGAGCACCCAGCTGGAAATCAGCCATGGACAGGACAGACCTCTTCCCTCCCCCAACAAGCTCACGGTCTAGCCGAGGAGACTCATGTTGAAACATATAAATGGCCACTTCGCCAGGTCATAGCCATGGTAGTGGGGCTCGGAAGGAGAAGCCCATGGCGTTATGAGGGCGTGTGGAGCGGCGGTCGCCAAGGAGGGCTTCCCTGGGGGAGTGACAGTGAAGCAGAGCCCCCAGACCTGAGCGGGACTTGACCAGAAAGGAGGGAGGAAGAGTGTGGCCGGCAGAGGGAGCTGCGAGTGCAAGGCTGACAGGCAGGAAGGCCCGGGCGCTTGCAGGGAGATGCAAGTCTGAGGACGATGGCCCGGCTACGGCTGTTCCGCTGGGGCTGTTCCTGCTCTCCTTCCGCCCTGGGGGAGATGTTCCAATTCTACCCGGCGCTCCCCAGTCCGTGGACTCAGTCTTTCCTTGTGGGCTCCATTTCCCAGCTTCTAATCTCTCTGCGGCTCAACCCCTCTTCCCCTCTGTGTAGCCATGAGGCCCGGAGCCACCCCAAGAGCAGCCTTGGAGGCCTGATTGAGACAGCATCACCCCATCCCTGAGCCCAGAGCATGGAGAAAGCTTAGGTCACGGTGGAGCCTTTCTTGTTTTTTGTTTGCTTGTTGTTTGTTTGTTTGTTTGTTTGTGACGGAGTCTCGCTCTGTCGCCCAGGCTGGAGTGCAGTGGCGCGATCTCGGCTCACTGCAAGCTCCTCCTCCCGGGTTCACGCCTTTCTCCCGCCTCAGCCTCCCGAGTAGCTGGGACTACAGGCGCCCACTACCACGCCCACGCCCGGCTAATTTTTTTTTTTTTTGCATTTTTAGTAGAGACGGGGTTTCACCCTATTAGCCAGGATGGTCTCGATTTCCTGACCTCGTGATCCGCCCGCCTCGGCCTCCCAAAGTGCTGGGATTACGGGCGTGAGCCACTGCGCCCGGCCACGGTGGAGCCTTTCATGGAAAGGCCCGGGAAACAAACTATGACTCAGGCCAGGGACAGGGCTGGTCCTTATCGACTGCTTCACCCCCAGCCTGAAAGAGTGTGGTCAGAGGCTGGCACCACTGTGGCTGGGGACGTCCTGATTTCTCCCCTGCAGAATGTGGTTATTCTGGCGCTGGGGTGGCCCTGAAGCTTAGCTATGAGGGAAGCCTGTTCTTAGATACCCCAGCCTTGGGAGAGAAGAGCTGTGTACTGCCGCTGATAATGAACAGTGGCTGGCCGGGCATGGTGGCTCAGGCCTGTAATCCCAGCACTTTAGGAGGCCCAGGAGGAGTTTGGAAAACTGCTTGACCCCAGGAGTTGGAGGCTGCAGTGAGCCATGATCGTGCAACTGCACTCCAGCCTGGTCCACAGAGCAAGATCCTGCCTCAAAAAAAAAAAAAAAATTCTTTCTTGGCCGGGCATGGTGGCTCATGCTTGTAATCCCAGGACTTTGGAAGGCTAAGATTAGAGGATTCCTTTGAGACCAGCCTGGGCAACATAATAAGACCCTGTCTGTATGTGAAAAATTTTAAAAACTTAAAAAAAAAAAAGTCTTTCTTCAATAATAAATTAACCCTTAATGTAACTTTTAAAATTTTTACTTTATAAACTTTTTTGAACTTTTTCACTCTTACAATAATGCTTAGTTTATAATGCAAATATATTGCATAGCTGTACAAAAATATTTTCTTTATATCCTTATTCTATAATCTTTTTTCTATTTTTAAAATTTCTTATTTTTTATTTTTTTACTTTTATTTTTTATTTTTATTTATTTATTTATTTTGAGACGGAGTCTCGCTCTGTCACCAGGCTGGAGTGCAGTGGCGTGATCTTGGCTCACTGCAACCTCCAACTCCCAGGTCCAAGTGATTCTCCTGCCTCAGCCTCCTGAGTAGTTGGAATTACAGGCACGCGCCATCACACCCGCCTAATTTTTGTATTTTTATTAGAGACGGGGTTTCACCATGTTGGCCAGGATGGTCTCAATCTCCTGACCTTGTGATCCAACCACCTCAACCTCCCAAAGTGCTGGGATTACAGGTGTGAGCCACCATACCTGGCCTATTTTTTTACTTTTAAAAGTTTTTTGTTAAAAACTGAGACACAAGCCAGGTGAGGTAAGATATGCCTGCAGTCCCACCTACGGGAGGCTGAGGCAAGGGGATGACCTGAACCCAGTCTGGGCAACACAGTGAGGCCCTGTCTCTTATTTAAACAAAACAAAACAAAGACATTAGCACACACATGAGCCTAGGCCTACACAGGGATAGAATCATCAGTATCACTGTTGTCCACCTCCACATCTTGACCACCTAGAAGGTTTTCAGGGGCAATAACATGCATGAAGCTGAGATATGTGATAATAATGCCAGTGGGCTTGGTGGCTCATGCCTGTAATCCCAGCCCTTTGGGAGGCTAAGGTGGGCAGATCACTTGAGCCCAGGAGTTCAACACCAGCCTGGGCAACATGGCAAGACCCCGTCTCTACCAAAAAATACAAAAAGTTAGCCAGGTGTGGGGGCTTGCACCTGTAGTCCCAGCTACTTGGGAGGCTGAGGTGGGAGGATCGCCTGAGAGTAGGAGGCGGAGGTTGCGGTGAGCTGAGATGGCACCACTGCACTCCTGGGTGACACAGCAAGACTCTGTCTCAAAAAAAAAAAACAAGGCTGGGTGTGGTGGCTCTCGCCTGTAATCCCAGCACTTTGGGAAGCTGAGGTGGGTGGATCACCTGAGGTCAGGAGTACAAGACCAGCCTGGCCAACATGGAGAAATCCCATCTCTACTAAAAAAGTACAAAAATTAGCTGGGCATGGTGTTGTATGCCTGTAATCCCAGCTACTCGGGAGGCTGAGGCAAGAGAATTGCTTGAACCCAGGAGGCGGAGGTTGCAGTGAGCTGAGATTACACCGCTGCACTCCAGCCTGGGCAATAGAGCCACACTCTGTCTCAAAAAGAAATAATAAAAAATACTAGGTTCAATACATAATCATATGCTCCTGCTGTTCTTTTACACCAGCATCACCACAAACACATGAGTAACACATTGTCGTAGACATTGTGACAGCTACGATAGACTGGGCGATAGGAATTTTTCAGCTCCATTATAATCGCATGGGACGACAGTCATACGTGCGGCCCATCATTAACCAAAACATTGTGGTGTGGGACTGTACCACATCGTGCTTGTCCATTCCTCTGCTGAGGGATGTTTCAATTGTTCCCACCTTTTGGCTGTTGTGAATAACCTCGCTATGAATGTTGGCGTACGAGTTCCTGTTTGAGTCCCTGCTTTCAATCCTGTGGGCATAGACCTAGGAATGGAATTGCCGTGTCATATGGTAACTCTGTGTTGAACTTTCTGAGGAATAGCCAAACCGATTTCCAAAGTAGAGACACCATTTTCGTTCCCACCAGCCATTTCTCCACATTCTTGCCAACACTTGTTACTTCCCATTTTTTTAATTAGAGCCGGCTCTAATAAAAATTAGTGGGTATGAAGTTGTATTTCATAGTGGTTTTGCTTTGTTTGGGACAAGGTCTCATTCTGTCACCCAGGCTGGAGTGCAGTGGCCCGATCTCTGCTCATTGCAGCCTCAACCTCCCGGGCTCAAGTGATCCTCCTGTTTCAGCCCTCTTTGCTCATTTTAAAATTGAATTGTCACCTGTAATCCCTGCACTTTGGGAGACCAAGGCAGGCAGATCACTTGAGGCCAGGAGTTTGAGACCAGCCTGGCCAACATGGTGAAACTCTGTCTCCACTAAAAATATAAAAATTAGCCGGGTGTGGTGGCATGCACCTGTAATCCCAGCCACTCAGGAGGTTAAAGCAGGAGAATCACTCGAACCCGGGAGGCGGAGGTTGCAGTGAGCCAAGATTGCGCCACTGCACTCCAGCCTGGGTGACAGAGCAAGACTCCGTCTTAAAAAAAAAAAAAAAAAAAAAAAGGCCGGGCGCAACGGCTCACGCTTGTAATCCCAACACTTTGGGAGAATGAGGCGGGCGGATCATGAGGTCTGGAGATCAAGACCATCCTGGCCAACATGGTGAAACCTTGTCTCTATTAAAATACAAAAAATTAGCCGGGCGTGGTGGTACACGCCTGTAGTCCCAGCCACTCAGGAGACTGAAGCAGGGGAATCGCTTCAACCCTGGAGGCGGAGGTTGCAGTGAGCCGAGATCGTGCCACTGCACTCCAGCCTGGCGACAGAGTGAGACTCCGTCTCAAGAAAAAAAAAATTGAATTATAGGGGTTATTTATATAATCTGGAAATTAAACCCTCATCAATATGTGATTTGCAAATGTTTTCTTCTGTGGATTTTTTCATCCTTCATAGTGTCCTTTGATGCATAGAAGTCTTTAATTTTAATGAAGTATGATTTATCCATTTTTTCTTTTGTTGCCTGTGCTTTTGGTGTTGTTTAAAAAACCAACGCCAAATGGCCGGGCACAGTGGCTCACGCCTGTAATCCCAGCACTTTGGGAGGCCAAGGCGGGCGGATCACGAGGTCAGGAGATCAAGACCATCCTGGCTAACATGGTGAAACCCCACCAGGCTGGTCTCAAACTCCTGGCCTCTACTAAAAAAAAATACAAAAAATTAGCAGGGCGCGGTGGCGGGCGCCTGTAGTCCCAGCTACTTGGGAGGCTGAGGCAGGAGAATGGCGTGAACCCGAGAGGCAGAGCTTGTAGTGAGCCGAGATAGCGCCACTGCTCTCTAGCCTGAGCAACAGAGCAAGATTCTGTCAAAAAAAAAAACAAAAACAAAAAAACCAAAGCCAACCTCATGCAAATTTTCCCAGATATAGATATAGACATAGATATAGATATATAGTTTGTTTTTTTTTTTTGAGACGGAGTCTCACTCTGTCACCCGGGCTGGATTGCAGTGGCCGGATCTCAGCTCACTGCAACCTCCGCCTCCCCGGTTCAAGTGATTCTCCTGCCTCAGCCTTCTGAGTAACTGGGATTACAGCCGCACACCACCATGCCTGGGTAATTTTGTATTTTTAGTAGAGACGGGGTTTCACCATGTTGGTCAGGCTGATCTCGAACTCCTGACCTCAAGTGATCCACTCACCTAGGCCTCCCAAAGTGCTGGAATTATAGGCATGAGCCACGTCACCCAGGCTCCCATGTATTTTCTTCTAAAAATTTTATAGTTTTTTGCCTCTTAAGTTTTGGTGTTCAATCCATTTTGAGTAAATTTCTGTATGTGGTGTAAGACAAGGATCCAACTTCATTCTTCCGCATGTGGATACCCTGTTTACCTAACACCACTTATTGAAGAGGCTTCTTTCTCCCATTAAATGGTCTTGGCAACTTTGTTGAAAAGCACTTGACCATAGAGGTATGGGCTTATTTCTGGGTTCTCATTTTTATTCCATTGTCTATGTGTCTAGCCTTATGTCACTATCACCTGCTTTGATTACTGTAGCTTTGTAGTACGTTTTGAAATCTGGAAGTCTAAATCATCCACCTTTATTATTCTTTTTCAAGATCATTTTTGGCTCTTCTAGGTTCCTTTAAATTGCATATGAATTTAGGATGGATTCCATATGAATTTAGGATAGATTTAGCGATCTGCCCGCCTCAGCCTCTCAAAGTGCTGGGCTTATAGGCATGAGCCACTGTGCCTGGCCAGGTTGACTCTACTTTTTAATATGTTCAAAATCGACATAATGGAGAGTTAGTAAGAAGAAAGTTGGTCAGGTGCGGTGGCTCACACCTATAATCCTAACACTTTGGGAGGCTGAGGTGGATAGATCACTTGAGGCCAGGCATTCGAGAATAGCCTGGCCAACATGGTGACACCCCATCTCTACTAAAAATACAGAAATTACCTGTAGTCCCAGCTACCTGGGAGGCTGAGGCAGGAGAATCACTTGAACCTGGGAGGCGGAGGTTGCAGCGAGCCAAGATCGTGCCATTGCACTCCGTCTCAAAAACAAACAAACAAAACCAGGCTGGGGGTGGTGGCTCATGCCTGTTATCCCAGAACTTTGGGAGGCTGAGACAGGTGGATCACGAGGTCAGGAGTTCAAGATCAACCTGGCCAACATGGTGAAACCCCATCTCTACTAAAAATACAAAAATTAGCTGGGCGTGGTGGTGGGCGCCTGTAATCCCAGCTACTCGGGAGGCTGAGGCAGGAGAATTGCTTGAACTTGGGAGGCAGAGGCTGCAGTGAGCGAAGATCGCGCCACTGCACTCCAGCCTGGATGACTCCATCTCAAAAAAAAAGGCCAAGTGTGGTGGCTCACACCTGTAATCCCGGCACTTTGGGAGGCCGAGGTGGGTGGATCACCTGAAGTCAGGAGTTTGAGACCAGCCTGACCAACATAGTGAAACCTCATCTCTACTAAAAATACAAAATTAGCTGGGTGTGGTGGCACATGCCTGTAGTTCCAGCTACTTGGGAGGCTGAGGCAGGAGAATGACTTGAACCTGGGAGGTGGAAGTTGCAGTGAGCAAAAGTCACACCATTGCACTCCAGCCTGGGCAATAAGAGAGAAACTCCATCTCAAAAAAAAAAAAAAAAAAAAAAAAGAAGAGCTCATGTCATCCGCAAATAGAGACAGTTTTACTTCCTTCCCAATGTGGATGCCTTTTACTTCCCTTTCTTGCCTAATTGTTCTGGCGAGAACGTCCAGTGCACTGCTGATAGAAGTGACCAGAGCAGGCATCCTTGGGTTGTTTCTGCAGAGGCTGAACTTTTAACCGCATGATGGACTTTTTCTGCTGAGTCGTCCTGATTCTTGGTTTGTGGGGAAAAGCAAGAGAGATCAGATTGTTACTGTGTCTGTGTAGAAAGAAGTAGACATAGGAGACTCCATTTTGTTATGTACTAAGAAAAATTCTTCTGCCTTGAGATTCTGTGACCTTACCCCCAACCCCGTGCTCTCTGAAACATGTGCTGTGTCAACTCAGAGTTGAATGGATTAAGGGCGGTGCAAGATGTGCTTTGTTAAACAGATGCTTGAAGGCAGCATGCTCCTTAAGAGTCATCACCACTCCCTAATCTCAAGTACCCAGGGACACAAAAACTGCGGAAGGCCGCAGGGACCTCTGCCTAGGAAAGCCAGGTATTGTCCAAGGTTTCTCCCCATGTGATAGTCTGAAATATGGCCTCGTGGGAAGGGAAAGACCTGACCGTCCCCCAGCCCGACACCCGTAAAGGGTCTGTGCTGAGGAGGATTAGTAAAAGAGGAAGGAATGCCTCTTGCAGTTGAGACAAGAGGAAGGCATCTGTCTCCTGCCTGTCCCTGGGCAATGGAATGTCTCGGTATAAAACCCGATTGTATGCTCCATCTACTGAGATAGGGAAAAACCGCCTTAGGGCTGGAGGTGGGACCTGCGGGCAGCAATACTGCTTTGTAAAGCATTGAGATGTTTATGTGTATGCATATCTAAAAGCACAGCACTTAATCCTTTACATTGTCTATGATGCAAAGACCTTTGTTCACGCGTTTGTCTGCTGACCCTCTCCCCACAATTGTCTTGTGACCCTGACACATCCCCCTCTTCGAGAAACACCCACAGATGATCAGTAAATACTAAGGGAACTCAGAGGCTGGCGGGATCCTCCATATGCTGAACGCTGGTTCCCCGGGTCCCCTTATTTCTTTCTCTATACTTTGTCTGTGTCTTTTTCTTTTCCAAATCTCTCGTCCCACCTTACGAGAAACACCCACAGGTGTGTAGGGGCAACCCACCCCTACAGGTTTGGGGCCGGAGATTACAGTTTGTGTGTCTACGCCAAAGGCACGGGTGGAAACGGGGAAAGCCAGCCAGTTAGCCGCCACGTGGGCTTTGGTGCAGCCCCACCAGGTGGTTGCTTATGTCCACACGTGTAGCAGTGAGAAGGTGCCCTGGCATGACTAACTCCCTTCTCCATTTTGCTCGTAACTTCCCTCCCCTCCCCCGACACCCTACTGGCTATGGTGATGATATCTTTTAGGTTAACTGCTTTTGCCTGTCTCTGCATGTAGGCCAAACTTATTATGGGAGAAATTTAGTTTATAGTTTAACTTTGAAGCAAGGATGATGATAATAGTCTCTCCCTAAAACTAATCCTCCCTCCCTTCCCCCACAGAAGATGAGGAGGTTGTACACACAAGTAACAATGTTATGTTACAAATGTACATAAGCTGGCATGGGTGACTCGTGTGTCTGTAATCCTACCACTTTGGCAGTCAGAGGCAGTGAAGTGGCATCGTTTGGGGAAATACCCAAGGATCGTTGTCTTGACCTAAGGAAAATGAAGACGCAGACGCACGAGGAGTCAGAAAGTTGGGGCCGGGCGCGGTGGCTCACGCCAGTAATCCCAGCACTTTGGGAGGCCAAGACAGGAGGATCACCTGAGGTCAGGAGTTCGAGACCAGCCTGGCTAACATGGCGAAACCCCGTTTCTAGTAAAAATACAAAAAATTAGCCAGGCATGGTGGCGTGCGCCTGTAATCCCAGCTACTTGGGAGGCTAAGGCAGGAGAATAGCTTGAACCCGGGAGGCGGAGGTTGCAGTGAGCCGAGATCGTGCCATTGCACTCCAGCCTGGGCAACAGAGACTCTGTCTCAAGAAAGAAAAAAAAAGAGAGCAGAAAGTTTAATAGGTGAAAGAAGAAAGAGAAAAGCTCCCCCGTGCAGAGGGAGGGGGTTCCGTTCATGGCAGGATGTGGTTGGTTTTACAGAGGGGCTTGAAGAGGTGGTGTCTGATTTACATAGGGCCCAGAGGATTCATTGGACAAAGTGTGTCATTTACCTGGAGCTTGAAGAGG